>NC_000014.9:52035955-52338985 GCF_000001405.40 Homo sapiens
ACCTCAGCCTCCCAAAGTGCTGGGATTACAGGCATAAGCCAGTATGCCTGGCCTTCAGTTGAGAAGTAATTCACATACCATACAATTCATCCGTTTAAAGTACATAATTAAACAATTTCGTCTATTCAGTGTTATCCAACCGTCACCACAATCAATTTCAGAACATTTTCATCACCCCCAAAATTAACCCTGTACCCTTTAGCTATTAACGCCCTATGCTCTCATTATCTCTTAGCCCTGGGCAACCATGAATATGCTTTCTATGTATGTGGATTTGCCTATTTTGGATATTTCACATAATTGTAACCATTCAGTATGCTGTCCTTTGTCACTGACTACCTTCACTTAAGGTTTTCAGAGTTCATCCATGTTGCAGCATGTATCCGTACTTCATTCCTTTTTATGGTTGAATAATATTCCAGTATATGAATATATTTTTTGGTGTCCATCAACTGATGGGCATGTATGTTGCTTCCACCTTTTGGCTATTATGAATACTGCCACTATGAATATACACGAATAAGTTTTTGTGGGGATCTATGTTTTCATTTCTTTTGGGTATATAGAAAGGAGTAGAATTGCTCCATTAAATGGTAACTTTGTGTTTCACTTTGAGAAACCACTATTTTGTTTTTCACAGTAGCCACATCATTTTATAATCACACCAGCAACGTATGAGGGTTCCGAATTTTCCATGTTCTCGCCAACACTTGTTATTACCCGTTTTTTGATTATACTCGACCACATGATGTAAAGTAGTATCTCATTGTGGTTTTGATTTGCATTTCCCTGATGACTAATGATGCTGAGCATCTTTACACATGCCCATTGGGTATCTGTATATCTTTTTGGAGAGAGGTCCTTGCAGAGCTTTTGCCCATCTTTTAGTTAGCTTGTTTTTTTATTGAGTTGTAAGATACTTCGTATACTCTAGAACAAATATCACATGATTTAAAATACTGTCTCCCATTCTATGGCTGTGTTTTCACTTTGTTAATAATGTCCTCTGAAGCACAAACTGTTAAAATTTTGATGACACCCAGTTTATTTTGCTGTTGCTTGTGCTTTTAGTGTCGTACCTAAGAAACCATTAGCAAATTCAAAGTCACAAAAATTTACCCATATGTTTTCTTCTAAAAGTTTTAACTCTTACACTTAGGTCTGTTGGCCCATTTTGAGTTGGATATGCTGTGAGGTAAAAGGTTCAACTTCATTCTTTTGTATGTGGTCACTCAGTGGTCCCAGCACCATAGTTAACAATAGTTTAAAAGACTATTCTTTCTCCATTGAATTGTTTTGGCACTGTGTTTTTTGTTTTGTTTTGTCTTTTAACCATCAGAATTCTATTATTATTATACTTTAAGTTTTAGGGTACATGTTTACAACGTGCAGGTTTGTTACATATGTGTACATGTGCCATGTTGGTGAGCTGCACCCATTAACTCGTCATTTAGCATTAGGTATATCTCCTAATGCTATCCCTCCCCACTCCCGGCACTGTTGTTGAAAAAGCAATTGACTTTTAATGTGAGTATTTCTGGGTTCCCACTTCTGTTCCTTTGATCTTTACATGTATCCTTACGCCAGGACCACACTGTCTTGATTACTCTAGATTTCGAGTTTGAGAAATACAAGTCTGACTTTATTCTTTTCCAAGATTGTTTTGGCTATTCTGTGTTCTTTGAATTTCCATATAAATTCTAGAATCAGCTTGCCAATTTCTTCAAAGAGCCAGCTGAGATTCTGATAGGGATTATGTTGAATTAATAGATCAATTTGGGAAGTATTCACATCTTAACAGTATTAAGTCTTCCAATCCATGAATGTGGAACATCTTCCCATTTAACTGGGTCTTAAATTTTTTTCCAAAAATGTTTTGTGGGATGCAATGTACAAGTACTGCACTTCTTTTTAAAAATTTATCTCTTTTTGAAACAATTTCTTAATCTTTAGTTTGCTCATTGCTACTATAGAGAAATACAATTTGGTGTACTGATCTTGCATATCTTATAACATTGCGAACTTGTTCTTTAGTTCTAATAGTGTTTTAGTGAATTCCTGAGATTTTCTACACAAAATGTCATCTGAGACTAATTTTACTTTGTCCTTTTCCAATTTAGATGGCTTTTATTTTGTGTTCTTGCCTAATCACCCTGGCTAGAAATTCTAGTACTGAATTGAATAAAAGTGGCAACAGCAGACATCCTTGTCTTGTTCCTAAGCTTCAGGGAAAAGCATCCAGTCTTTCACCATTAAGTATAATGTTCTGGGAATCATGGAGGGGGAGGTTATACATCAAGTTCTATGATGTTTGGTTTTTCCAGATACTAGCTCTTTGCTCCACCTTAGTTTTGGATGAAATTCTTCTCATCTGTTTTAGCTAAAATGTCACTTTCTTGGGGACATCTTTTCTGAATCTTCAAACTAGACTCACAGTGCCCTGCTCTCATCACACTTGTAACAAATACTTGTCAGCATCACTCTCCCTCCTAATTCCAGTCTGCCTTGTTCACAGGTATATTCCTGATTGGCACGCACAGTTGGGTATTGCTATAAACCAGCTTCACATACTATGCTCTATTTCCTGACTTTGGCAGGGACACTGTTCCCTGCCCTAAAACTCTTTTCTGCCTCTGTTTCCAACTCAAGGGCAAGGATCTGCTCTATTCATCCTTATACCTAGCACATAACACAGCATGGCACTAGGTAACCCTTAGTAACCTCTGTGAATCATTCTAACTCTACTTAAAAGGATGTCATTTTTACCCAACAACAAAAAAGGAAACCTTACCTTTGACCGGGCCAATTTGATTGGTCACAGCAAATCTAAGCACTCTTTCTTCGTCATTATACAAGGCAAAGACCCGGTCCACGTTCAGCTGCTGGGTGGTGGGGAAGGACGGGTGTCTGGGGGCGTGCCTGCACACCTGGTAAGTGATGTTCTGGTGGATGCGGTAGGACCATGTTTGGTTGATTGCACCAAAAGTCAGAGAGTAGTCTCTGGAACTTGTAGAGGTCACAGCTGCAACAAACACAGTGGTAATTTTTTAAAAATATTAAATACAGAGATTTTCATGTGAGGTGGATTTTTCTGCAGTTTTTTTCATCTAATTCTTGGAGTGTGTTCCCTTGGGAACCTCCTGAGTTTATATGAAAAAATGTGTAAGGAAATCCCAAAAACCTGAGTGGATGCAAAGCCACAGTGCTGAGAGGGAGAAGGCACTACAATTGTCCATGTTATTATACACAAAGAATAAGTGTTACTAAGGGCCAGCCATGCCAACAGTGCTCTCTACATACTGCCTCATTTATTCCTCACAACAGCCTGGTGAGGTGGGCACTAAATCATGTGATCAGAGGCTCACAAAGGTTAAGTAGCCTAAGATGCAATGCTGCCACATGGTAGAGCTGGAACTGAAACTCACATTGGTTTGACTCTACACCCTAAATTTTAAACCAATCCATCTTCTACATTTCACAGAAGTGACGACTTCCAACACCTCGCACTTCAGTAAATCTGAAGGATTCCAGAGAAGGGAAAGGGTTGTCTCTCACCATCTGAGTCTAGGAGTCAAGCTCAGGTCAGTGATCCGGACACTGACCATTTTGTTCACAGCCCAGGTCTCTGCTTCCCCTTGTCTTCCCTACATCTCCTGCCAGGCTGCCAGCTCTCAGCATAGGAGCAGCAGGGGTCAGAGGAAAGGCACAACTCAATCCGGATTGCTGTGCTGCACAACAGCAGCTGTGATGGAGGCAGCATCCTGTGCGCAGGTAGTACTTTCACAGAACACATCACGCTTCGCACACATTGATCACATAATATAGAAAAAGCATTTTTAGTTCCATGTGAAAGATGAGAAAATACATTCTCAGATATTAAGAGGCCTTTCCCTATAGATATTAAATGGCAAGTCCAGGATATAAATTCTTATCTTTTGACTCCAAATCTAGCATTAGTTTTATAATAAATTATAGCATCTCTGTGTTTTTTGGTTTTGTTTTTGAGATGGAGTCTTGCTTTGTCGCCCAGGCTGGAGTACAATGGCACAATCTCGGCTCACTGCAACCTCCACTTCCCAGGTTCAGATGATTCTCCTGCCTCAGCCTCCCAAGTAGCTGGGATCGCAGGAGCGTGCCACCACACCCTGCTAATTTTTGTATTTTTAGTAGAAACAGGTTTTCACCATGTTGGCCAGGCTGGTCTTGAACTCCTGACCTCAGGTGATCCACCCACCTTGGCCTCCCAAAGTGGTGGGATTACAGGCATGAGCCATTGCACCTGGCCTCTTTCTGTGATTTTTTTTTTTTTTAAAGCAGCCTGAACTCATCAGCTGAAACAAGGTTGAGATAAATATAAATTCCAATAATCACTATTTTTCCATGTTGCAGAAAGTAGGATGGTTAAAAACTGTATATAATTATACCATCCCTACCCACCCCATGGACAATGTTGCTATTGATTTTATTATTTGAAAATACTATGTAGGGATATAGATATTCTTATGTATAGCAGCCATTCTGCTCACTTACACGATATATTTCATGGTAACAATAAGAGTAATAACATAATAGAGCTCATTTTATGTTCCATGCACTGTTCTAAGGACATGCCATGTAAGTCATTTAAGCCTTGTATCTATCTTGTGAGATGGGCATAATCCCCATTTTACAGATGTGAAGACTGGTTATACATACTGGAGTCGGAGTAGTGGTACAGCTCCTTGTAGGGAGAGATGTGGGCTGTGAAATTTGCTGAGACGTAAGGCACCTGGCCTTGAATGTTGGTCTTAATGCTCAGGTAGTTCTCTGGGTCAAGTCCCTCAGCAGTTTGAGTGATACGAACCGTCTCCTCTCCCGGGTAGAATGTAACTTCCATGTCATGGGTAAAGGCAGCACCTGGAGATGAAAAACATTCAGCACAGGGATGAAAAGAGGTCTTGCTTAAACAGTTACCAGTATATACTGCCCGCTCCCAATTTCTACTGCTGTTGGAGATCGTGCCTAAGGAGATTATCTGATATCTGAGAGTAAGCACTATCAGCTGTTGATTCCATAAGTTCCCAAACTTTTCCATTGAAGAATATGGTTTCATCCTGCCTTACCTCACCCAGCTTCTCTTTGAACAAGCTTGTATTCTGTGAGAAATACTCTTGGGAACGTCCTTGACTTTTCTCTAAGGTTGCTAGACTTAGCAAAAAACAAACAAACAAATAAACCTAACAACAAAAAAACAAAAACAAATAAACTACCACCTAAGACATTCAGGGTTTTGTTTGAATTTCAGATAAGTATGTCTCATGAAATATGTGGGTAATACTTATACTAGAAAATTGTTTATCTGAAATACAAATTTATCCAGGTGTGCCATTTTTTATCTACTTTTGACCCAAGGGCTTTATTCAAATTTTGATTAAAGCAAGAACCTATTAACAGCTACCGAGCTCTGCAGTTAAAGATGGAGAAAGAACTTCTCACAAAACTATTTTTAATGCAATAAAGATAAAACCTCTAGCAAACAAGTTTTCAGGTTGGAAGGTGAGAATCCAAAAAGTATCTTCTAAATCCTTGTTGTCAACGGGTGGCCTTTCCAGCAACACTGGTACCTCACCTCCTAGCTTGGTAGAAAAGCAAAATCACGGACCCCACCCCAGGCCTGCTGAACCAGAATTTACATTTTGACAAGACCTCCAAGTGATGTGTGTGCAGGTTCAAGTCTGGGGTGCACCGGCCTATACTATTATAGGTTGTGGAGCTGGGAGGAGAAGAGCACCCCTTCCCCATGAAGTAAAATCATCCCCAGGTGCCCCAAGTACCATTTTTGCATTTGACAGATCTGTGCATAATTTAAAAAGCCTGACAAATATGCTGCAACAAATTGGGGTAAGAGGACACAAATGTTCTGAATGGAATCATCCTGTTTCTCAGAACAGCTGGGAGAACATTTAGACGAAATCACTGCCTTTCAAAAATCAGTGATGTGAGGTCAAACCATTCCCAACAACCTGTGGCCAGAAAACTACACACATGTGGCTCTAGTACATTAAACAAGTGATTCCTCTGTCACTGCGTAAAGGCCTAAAGACAGTGCCCCAAGGAGCACCACTGCCAAAGCAATGCTGACTACCGGCCTTCTCAGAGGCCCTACTCACCTGCGAGGCTGAAGCCGTTCTCAGAGCCAGGTTTTTCTAAAGCAAAGAGCCAGCCAAACAGGCCTCCAATTGGTGTGAGGGGGAGGAGGGCCTGGGCTGCTGGCTGTGGGATGTGGCTGATGGCCGTGTAGGCTCTGCCATCATTGCCCACGATATACGCATGCAGGTCCACATCAGTGAAGTGCACGGGTGTATGGCCCACGTGGAGGTGGCCACTCACTTTCCCATTCACTCGGTGAGGTGCCCCTAAAAGACAGCAAATCCAGTTAGGCTTGGACGTCATCCTGGCTAGAGATGGGTGTACCCAGGTATAATTATTCCACTGACAACTTCCAAAACTCACTCTTTAGCAAGTCACTTTAATGATTTCCTAACCAACCAATTATCCATCTATGAAACAGTCCTGCCTCCAGTCTGTTTTCTCCCCTCCTCCTTCTACTCCACTACACTTTGGCTCTAATGAGCTGGCAGAAGGAAGCATTTCTGGATAATCCTCAAATTGGGAATCAGCCCAAACCAGTTCATTCCTCACACATTTATTGAGCACCTGCAAGTTGATAGCACTCTGATTTAAGTAGTGGAGATGTTTGGTCCATAAAGCAGAGCTCACAGTGGTAGCTGGAAACAGGTAAGCAGCAGGAATAGACACACAGGAGTTCCTGGCCCCAGTCAATTACCTTCAGGCAGACAGTGCTTCCCATTTCCATAAAACTTGGATTGGCAGTGGCAGCAGAAGCCAGTGGCATAGTCCGTGCAGAAGGCATGCCGGGAGCATTGTCTGTGGTTGTGTTCACAGGTTTCCTTGTTGGCAGCATTATACGTGAAGACTGAAAAATAAAACAAACTTGCCTTAAAAGGACTAAATGATTCCAATGTCACTGCTGCATCGGGGACACAACATCTGCTCCATAGAAGCAGTTTAGATCATAACAAACAGTTTTTGATGTTTAAGAGACCGGCATAACATTCAACCCAAGGGAATTAATCTGCTTTGTCTGCTGGCAAGAAGAATTGCTTACTGCTCCCGGCTGGGTCCCATTGCAGAGTTGGTGAACTAAGATGAGACTGCACCCGTGGGTTTGAGTGCAGTAAAATGAAAGCAAACCAGTAAGTACATGTTAGGTTGAACTTCATGAAACCACTATTTTTGTGGGTCAAAAAGGGCTAAATATCAGCACTTTTATATGGTTCAACCTAAACACATCCTGAGAGGAAGACATAATAGAGAAGCTAACAAATGTCTTATGTCTAACCATCCTTCTTTTAGGGAACACTGAACTTAAAAAAGATAATAGCTGGTCTCGCTACCAAGATTGTTTTGAGGGAAGGGTCTTAAAGAACACACGCACCTACCTCAAAGAAAAGGCATGGGGAGAAGGGGACAGAGGAGGGCAAAACAACAGGGATTCAAGCTATTAAAATGCCCTATGCCCTTGGCAGGGTTTAACTATGATGGGTATGGTACAAGCATGATTTCCACGCAGTAGCAGACAGCTTGGGCCCCACTCGCAGATCTTCCAAGAAATTATGGAGGACTAGGATAAATTCAGTGCTCTGGCAGCTGTTTCTTCCATTTCCTACTTATTCTGCCCATTAAAAGAAGAGGGCCATCTGTGCTGCAAAGAAATGGGGAAACTGGAGCAAATGCCATAGTTCATAAAGGAAATAGCCAAGGGGGTAGGGTGTGGCGGGGGTTGTGGATGGACAGGAGGGTGCTTTCTCCGGGGCACTAGGAAATATGCCAATCCCAAGCATGGCCACCAGGAGGCCAAGCGGCTGCACACACCTCTGCCTCCACATCCCCAGGAGGTGGAGTTGGCTGGAGACTCCAGGAGCATGCTGTTGAGCAGGGATGGCATGGAATTCTAGTGTGAGACACGGATGCTGGCATGAAGGAGGACACCCACCCTACTCTTAGGAAAAACCAAGTGGTAGTTGTGTTCCAGGTCTATCTGGAAACGAGGAGACAGGAGGGGAGGAAGAAATCCAAAGATCAATCTTTACCCAGTATTCCCAGGGAGAACAGAAAGTAAAGGAGCTAATGAGACATAGCATTATAGGTACAATGTCACCAAGATAAAGACCTCCATCAGCAAATAAAAATATAACAAAGTTAACACTTCAATCGCGCTTAACATATACAAGCTTTACATTTAACAACCTTTTTTTTTTTTTTTTTTTTTGAAACGGAGTCTCGCTCTGTCGCCCAGGCTGGAGTGCAGTGGCACGATCACAGCTCACTGCAAGCTCCACCTCCCAGGTTCACGCCATTCTCTTGCCTCAGCCTCCTGAGTAGCTGGGACTACAGGCACCCACCACCACGCCTGACTAATTTTTTGTATTTTTTAGTAGAGACAGGGTTTCACCATGTTAGCCAGGATGGTCCTGATCTCCTGACCTCGTGATCCACCTGCCTCGGCCTCCCAAAGTGCTGGGATAACAGGCGTGAGCCACCCCGCCCGGCCAACAACTCTTAATTTGCACAACAACCCTAGGTAGCAGGGACTTTTTTTTGTTGCTGTTGTTGAGACAGGGTTTTGCTCTGTCACCCAAGCTGGAGAGCAGTGGTGCCATCTCGGCTCACTGAAAGCTCGACTTCCCAGGCTCAAGTGATCCTCCTATTTCAGCCTTTTGAGTAGCCGCAGCCACAAGCATGCATCACACCTGCCTACTTTATTTTTTGGTAGGGTGGGTTGGGGGGAGGGGTCTCCCTGCGTTGCCCAGGTTGGTCTCGGTCTCGAACTCCTGGGCTCAAGTGATCTTCCCACCTAGGCCTCCCAAAATGCTGGGATTACAGGTATGAGCCACCACTCTGGCCAGGGACAATTTTTTAACCCGTTTGCAGATAAAGCTGAGGCACAGTAGACTAAAGCACCTGAAGTCGCATAGGCAGTGAGTGGCAAAGGTGGGAACCGAACCTAGGACATCTAGCTGGAGAATCTTAACTGCTACTCTCCACGACCCCTTCAATGGGATCCAAGTACGGAGATCATGAGCACTAGATTAGGGGTCACCACATGTCTGGGGTTAATCAGCACAGACTTCAAGTATAATTCGAGTCATACTTTATAAACTGGGTTTAATGGTAGAAGCAAGCAGGGAAGATTATCGAGATGACTATTACAGCATGTTGAAAAACAGCACAGGTAAGAAATGAGAGTAGCAGCAGCGGCATTAGCTTTTGAACAGTACTGGAGTGCTGCCTGCAGATCCTTGGGAAAGCAGCAAGCTGAGGGTTGGCAGGACAGACAGTGTAGGTTCAAGTGGAAAATCTGATTAGAACATAGTAGGAATGAAGTTATGACTCAAGATTTAGTATAGGGCCTTGATGACTTGGCTAAGAAATTCCAGTTTGATAAAAATAGAAAATTAGGCATGACTCAACTTTATTTAAACAAGAAAGTGACAAGCTTAACTTAAACAGAAAAGTGATATAAAACTCAAGGCAGAAAAAAAAAAAAAAAAAACCCAGGATGGATCATGGTAAAATAGATGGCTGTGAAGAAAACTGTATCACTGTCTATTAGTTTAAGAAAGGGAAAAAAACATTTAGAGTAAAAGGAAATGAATGTAACTTGGATGTGTCAAAATCTCAGGTTTCTCCAGCTCAGAAATTCACAACTAAGTGTAAGGAAGCAGCTACAGGAGGGACTCACACACTCACCAGTGTGCTCATGGCTTAAGGGCCATCAGGACTTTCTCCCAGAGCTCAAGGAATGAGGGGCTGCAGAAAGCGCCAAGCTCTAGGACTCAACCTCAGCCCTCCCTCGGGGGCTTTGTGGAAACTATGCAAACTGTCTTTCAGCTTCCTCATCTCTAAAATAAGTAGAACACCTCTTCCTCACCCCTGCATTGCCAGAAGTCGCATTTCTTCTTAATGTACTTCTGAACACCAAGTAAAAAGGCAATCTGCTATAGGTCTAAAGAACAGCCATTTGGCTGGGCCCGGCAGCTCACACCTGTAATCCCAGCACTTTGGGAGGCCGAGGCAGGCGGATCACGAGGTCAGGAGACTGAGACCATCCTGGCTAACACGGTGAAACCCCGTCTCTACTAAAAATACAAAAAATTAGCCAGGCGTGGTGGTGGGCGCCTGTAGTCCCAGCTACTCGGGAGGCTGAGGCAGGAGAATGGCGTGAATCTGGCAGGCGGAGCTTGCAGTGAGCCGAGATCGCACCACTGCACTCCAGCCTGGGCGACAGAGAGAGACTCCATCTCAAAAAAAAAAAAAAAAAAAAGCCGTTTTCATAATATTCAGATAAAAATCAATCCAAACTTTACAAGCTGTTCTGCCCACAAATTAAGGAAATAACAGGCTTGGATTGTATCTTATTTCAGTTATTTTGTGAAGCCTTATTCTGCAACCCAATTCTTATTCTGAGGCTGAATTATGAAACAAGGAGAGAGAAGATGGAGGAGAGACAGTCTAGATATGGAGAGTTAAACTAGGTGGAGTCATAGCTTTTATCTAAGTAAAAAGAGGCAGGGCGATGCAGCCAGCAACTTACAAGTGCAACTGTGCAAAGGTTTATAAATAGATTGGAAGCTGTACTACATTTTTCTATTACAGAAAAAGAAGTTATAACAATGAGCAGGCTCCCATGAAAGGCTATTATGAGACTTAAACTGTAATTACAATGGGCTAACTAGTTACTGTTAAGCTAACCTGGGAGTCTTTTTAAACAGTTTTGTGGAATATTGTATTTTTAGGATGGTACTTACTGAGCCAAGAACACACACTGTCTCTTTCAGCTTCATAACAGCCACATGAAGGAAAGAAGATGGATCAGCCCCTAATCCGGGGGAAGGCAAGCCTCCATTTATAATCCCTCTTCCACGCCTGCCTTCATACCCAAGTGCACACACAGGTTTGCACACTTACCATTTACAATGGCAGCTTGTTAGGTGAAAGGTAAATGCTTCTTACAATTTTTGTTCATTCATTCACTAATTCAACAAGTATTTACTGAGCATTCACTATAGACCTGTACCTAGTCTAGAAACTGAGGACATGGCAGGGAGCAAAAGAGACAAAAATTCACATCCTGAAGCTTACATTCTCCCCAGCAGCAGTCAATAAACAAGTAAATTACTTAGTGGGGTGGATGTGTAAGAGCTGTGCAAAGAAATACAGCAGAGAAAGACAAGAGGGTGGGAGGGGGCAGGTGTACATGGCTCTTTTTAATAGCATGGTCAGGGAAGACCTCAGGAGAAGGTGACTGAGCAGAGGCCAGGAGGAGGTGAGGGAGTGAACCCCACAGATGAGGGCAGGCGTGGTGCTGTGTCAGGCAGGAGGGGTGTGTGGGCATGTGGGAGGGATGGTGAGAGAAGAGGTGGCCTGGGTCATTCATGCAGGGTCTCAGAGATCACAGGAAGGATTTGAGCTTTCATCTGAGTGAGATGGGAAGCACTAGAGGGTTTCGAGCAGAAGAGTAACATGCTCCGACTACAGTAAATCAGACAGGAGCTGGTCCCTTGGTGGTAAGAAGTGCTGGTACAGGGGATAAGAAGGGCCCAGGTCTGGGATATTCTGAAGGTGGAACCGAGAGGGTTTGCTGGTAGACTGGATGTGGGATGATGTTCAGTCCTGATGTGGGAAACCAAAAGGGTGGAGCTGCCAGTTACTGAGATAGGGAGACTGAGGAGGAGCAGGTTTGTGGGGTTCAGTTCTGACAACAGCATGAGGCATCAAGGAAATTCACCAAGGGGTGAATAACAACTTACACCCTCAGCACAGCACCATGCAGTCCTTCACACGGAGAGCTGCATTTCTCCCGGTGGATTCCAGAGACCACTGCATCAGGATCACCTGAGATTTCTGTTAAAAATGCAAATTCTGAGGGCCCACCTTAGACCTACCAGTTCCACTCTCTGGGTGCATCCTAGCAATCTACACTTTAGCCACCCCGCCAGTGATTCTCACACCAATTGGTGTTGATAGAAGGCTTGGGATACAACAAGCCTTGGATTTCTGAGCTAGGTGTTGCTCATCAATGTCGTTAACAAATTTAATCTGACCAATTGGCAGCTCCTGGGGTGGGCAGAATGTTAGGAAATTTCTCGTGCTCATTTCTGGCCACCTGAGAAGCTGAGCTCAGTGCTTACGGCCCATTTGGGCATCCATCCACAAGAATACAACGTGAAGATTCTTTAGTGAAAGTAATACAGACGCACAGCAGCCAGATAGCCCTTCCCTGAAGAAGGGGGAGACCTGGAGCTAGAACGGTGCTGAGCCCACGTGCAGCTATTTATCCAGGGCGAGAAAAGCCAGACCTCCGGCCAACGTGACTGCTCAAATTTCTATGGGAATTGCAGTGAAATTCAAAGAGGCTGAACTTCTTGAAGGCTGGGAATCAAGATCTGGATCCCAGCTAGATGAGATGTGCAATAAACCCACCCGAGGAAAAGTGGCACTTTTTCTTTTCGGTGGTCATTTTCATGTCCCTATCATGGCTTTGAGTGTATTTTCATGCACTTCTTCCTATTCTAGTTAGAAGATATCTCCATTTTATAAATGAGAAAATTGAGGCCTACAGAGATGAAACAATCTTCTGGCTCTAAATCCCATCAAATTGAGGGGGCATCAGAATCACTGAAGTGCAGAGGAATATGGCAGGGTCAGACAAGAGGGTGAGAGAGGGCAGGCACACCTGGCTCTTTGAAATAGTATGGTCAGGGAAGACCTCGGGAGAAGGAGACATTTGGGCAGAGGCCTGGAGGTGTTGAAGGAGTGAGGTGGCTTAAAAATGCAGTTTCTGGTTCAGAAGGTAGAGGAGGCGCTTGGAAATCAGTGTTTTTAACCAGGCTCCCAGCTGAGTGAGAGGAAGGTGGATGAGTGCCCACACTTTGAGAAATACAGTTTCTAGTCCATGGCCTCCTCTGGGACCCACACTATGCCAGGAAGCTCCTGCCACGGAGAGTCAGACCATAAAGAAGTTTGCTGACACCTCAGGGCACAGCAGGAGGGTGGAGGCTGGCCAGGTTTGAATGAACTCATTTTGTCATGGATTTGTTAACTGAGGTTTGATAGTTGCTAAAGGATTCTTAACATGAAGATTTTTTAAATCTCTTTTTTTTCTATTTAATGTTTTTTTTGTTTGTTTTTAACTTTTCTCATGTCCTTAATAGAAAGAAAAATGGGGTGGGGAGATATCAGAGGAAAGAAAGAAATGCCCTGCCAAAGGACTTGAGACTTGTCCTAACTAGGAGTTCGTAACAAAAATGGAAAATTCTCCTCTGCACTTGTTCTGAGCCATCTTTCAATCTTCATTTTCCCAGAAACACTTAAGCACCTGTCTGCAGCCCTTGGCCGGCCTGCCCTTCTTCACAGAAGGCCCTGGGCCAGACACAGGGGAGGTTCCATGGTGTCGACTGGGTTCACTGGGCCAACACAGAGGGACACAGGAGGCTTCGTGCACAGGGCTGCTTCAGGACAGCTGGAGCAACTACTAACAATTTTTACTGCTACCTCAAAAAAAAAAAAAGTCATTTTCACCGCAGGAAAAATTCTTCTAAGTTTTCCCATCTCTCAGAATGACAGACTAGTTAGAAAAACCATATCCAACTTTATAACAAACAGTGGAATGCTTTTTCGTCCAGTTTTCATGTTTGTTTAATTTTGATGTGTGTGGCATGTAATGATGCTGGTGGCAGTGATCACGACCCTGGGGGTGGCCTTTTACAACTGCTGGCATGACACTAACAGGCTCTCTCCACTTCTGGTGAAGGGAGAGGGGCCCTACCATGGAATCTCCTCATATAGGTGTCTTCACAGGCATCGGGGGGCGGCGGCTCCTGGTCACAGACCCTCTGCAACCTGGAGGTGCACCCAGGGGATGGTCTTTGGCACCTGGAGGGTTGCACTGGCAGCAGAACCTGCTTAAATTCTTCTCAGGGTGGAAGTTGAGCTTGCAACACACTCCTGCAGCCTTTCACAAGGCCAAAAGTGGAGTGGGACTACATGAGGTTTCTGAAAGCCAGGTGTCCTTCCTCCTAACTCATCATGCAGATTGAGATTAAATTAAGCTGCGTATAGCACTGCCTCAGCAGGCTTAAGAATAACTAAGACCCCTATCAGTAAACCTCATTCCTTTCTACTCACAACACAGGCAGTCCCATGGTCCCAGGCAGCTGAAGCCCTCACTGGCAACTCTCTCACCCCACTGCCTTAATCAACCTTTGTCTCTGTCTCTCTCCCTCCTTTCCTCCCTCCTCATTCCCATCTCTGCAACTCCGCTCTTGTCACTTCTCTGTTCATAATGTTTTCACACATTCTCCCTCTCAGACTTTGACCCCAGGCCTGGCTCAAGCCCCTCCTTCCTCACAAAGACTTCCCCAACAGCAGTGACACTCCTGGACAGTGCCTTTGACTCTCTGTCACCCTACAGCTTTCTCTAATTTCTTCATGACTTTGTTGCAGTCTTTGCCCTTGCTAGACAAGTCACTAAGTATTTCCAAGCTCAGTTTCCATCTCTGTAAAATGGGAAGGATGATTGTACCTACCCTACAGGACAACTTTTTTTTTCAGACAATATTTCTCTCTGTTGCTCAGGCTATGCAGTGGTACAATCATGGCTCACTGTAGCCTGGAACTCTTGGGCTCAAGTGATCCTCCCACCTCAGTCTCCCGAGTAGCTAGGACCACAGGTGAGCACCACCACACCCGGCTAATTTTTAAAATTGTTTATAGAGGCAAGGTCTCCCTATGTTGCCCAGGCTGGTCTCGAACTCCCCACAGGGCAATTCTGAGGACTAACTGTGATAATGCAATCTAATGCCAAGTTCTCACTTTAGAGCAGCAGGCTGCACTTAGCAAATGCCAGCCAAAACTTCCACTAGCACCGAGTCAGAGACAGGTACACGGCAGGTGCTTGGGTAACTTTTTGACTTGACAACAAAACGACCAGAGCTCCCTGGAAACAAGACTCCTCAGAGAAAGCATGCTTGCACATCCATCTACTGCTGTTCTGTGGCCTAGGAAGACAGAGCTCGAGTGTGGCCAGGACATTCCTGCCTGGTGTAGATATGATCTGAAAATCTAAATTTCTGAACAAAAAGAAAGGTCTGTAAAATGAGTCCCTAAGGGGAAAAAAATGTAAAAAGGAGTGATATTTTCTGGGCCTTTAACTAAATCTTAATTTCTTGGTTTAGCAAGATGACTACCCTAAAGCTTCAAAGGGAAACTAAAATGTATTGGGCAGGGTGCTTCCCAAGCTCAATTTCAGTTCTTGCAAGTATATGACGAGGTCTTCATTAACTCTGTTTTAGAGCTGAGGAGAGCCAAGGGTCAAACAGACTACATGTCTTGCCCCAAACCACATAGCAGAGCTGGGAGTCAAGGTCAAGTCCAACCAGCACCAAAACCATGTGCTTTCTATTCCATCAGCAGAAAAAGCCAGGCAGATGCCACATGGCTGGGTACTTAGTACCGGACAATGTTCTGTGTCTCTGCCACTCCCACCCCACAGCTTCCCGGAGGAAGCCCACACTTACCAGACAGACCTCTGAGCCTCCAATGTTTTATGTGAAAGAAACAGTCACTGCATCCCCTCAAAAGTATTTAACAATTGCATGCTTCTATACTTCATACATCCCCGTAAATTCTTTTAAAACAAAAACTGGATTTTTTTTGTCTAAGTTTCAAACACTTCTAGATTTCTTCCTCCAAAATGCGTATTAACCAGCTTTTTCACAGGCGTTTTTTGCCATTACCAGGATGTCTATAGTAGACTGCATCCGGCAGCTGATAAATATCATAGTTCATGCCCCACAAGGGTTATAGCTGTGCCTCTGTTCTACTCTATGGCTGGTTCCTGAAGCCTCCTGCACTTTACTCCAGTGATCTCAAGCTCTCAGAGCCCAAAGCAGGGTGTGCAGTCCCTTCTTAACCCTTTAATACATGACTCCATAGATCTGCTTTTTAATATTCCCACGCTCTTCCCAGGGAAGGAAATCACAACCCACAAATGAGAAGGCCATTCAGGAATGCGTCTTTACCTCAAATCCCTTTGTGAAAATCTTTGATACTTGGCCTTAAAATGTATTTAGAGGAAACTCATACTGTAAATTCTGGAGATTCTCAGAAGGATCTGAAGGTTCTAAAGACTTCCAATAAAATTTACATCTTCAACTTCATGGAAATGTGGTCCCTTAGGCACAAATTAATGTGAAACTCTTTAATAAGCACATTCTTCATTCTCTACCCATCCTCCACCCCATTCCCACTGTTTTAAATCTTCTAAAATTAGTAACAGCAGCCACTATTTATTAAGAACCAGTGAGTGCAGACACGAAGCCAAGAACTTCACATACGCTGTCTCATTGAATCCTCCCAAGTAATTCCTGAGAAATCAGAGGCTTATGGGTTACATAAGTTACTTCAGGTCACCCAGCAAGCTTGGCAGCCAGGATTCAAACTCGAAGCCGACACCAATGTACTCCCTCGAATCCTTACACAATGCCACATTAGTCAGAAAATATTTTCTTCCCTCCTGAAATTAGTACCTCTCCATGCAATAGCCTGCAGATAATACCAGAGCAGAACCCAGAAGGCCCTCTCTGCTAGGTCAGCCATGTTTTTGCCACAACAGTGACAGGAAACAGAAAAGGTGGAAAAACATGGAGATTCAGAACAAAGCAGTCACCTCTGACCTCTTTCTTCCTATCAGAGGTCAGATGAGCAGTCCCTGGAACAAACAATCTGGAGTCAGTTTCCCATTCACATCTTTCCATGTCTGATGGGGAAGAAACAGCTGGCATGACAAGTCTCAACAAGGACTAGAAGACTGACATAGACCCCATGTCCATGATAATTAACCACCGCCTGCTTTCGCCATCTCCCTCCTCGCCTCTCAGTCCGATCAGTGGGTCATGAAATGAGGACAAGGCTCCAGGGAGGTTCATGCCACAGCTGCATAGCCATGAACCAGAAATGACAACAGACACAGGTGTTTAGTCATTTTCTTTCCCTGTGGGCTCTCCTCTCCCACACATCACAAGCATATCTCCCCAACCAAGGGAAGCGCTAGGCTTGTCTCACAACAGAGTATGAATCTGGCATGTTCATCTGAGCCAGCACAACTCACCACTTTAAAAAGCACAAACCCGTCCATCACTGGAATGTGTATGAAGCCGCAAAATGTTTTACCTTTGCTGAACTTTCAAACTGAAATAGTTCATTACACTTGAGAGCGTAGCTGGCATAACAAACCCAGTTTTCCCCCACTCACTTCATGAGGCCCATATTTTAAAAAAACATTATTAATGATCAAGAGATTCCGAACAGAATCTGCCTGCCAAGATTTATTTGGCAAAGGAAATTTACTCTATCTCTTGAAACACAGGGATTAAAAATTAGATCCAATCTTCTTTTTGCTAAACTTTTCACCTACCCACTTAAGAGAAAAATCACAACGCTATGCAAAACCAGCATGGTTAAGATGAAACCTTAGCACCCAGTTTTCTAATGCACTCACCCTCGGTGTTGGAACCTATGTTGTCTTCCAGTCCCACCTCATACGTCCCTCGACTTAAGGGTGTAGTGTGACCTGAAGCAGGGTAACTTCGAAGAACAATTTCTTCTTCAGGATGAGCTGGGGGAACATCCATTTCCGAAGGCACTGGCCCTCCATCTGGGTAGGGCTGGATGCTTCCGTTTTCGGGGTACGGTGGTGGGGTTTCCCAGGAAGGAGCCAGTGAATCTCTGTCTACCTCTGGTGGAGCTGGGCTTCTGGTCTCTCTCTCATCCCAGGGCTCAACTTGGCCTTTTAAATCTGGGCCCCCTACCTCTCCCAGAGATGTTCCTTCTTTGGTGTGAGGATCCAAGGTGGAAGATTCTGTTTCAGGATAGAATGGCCAATAAGTAGGTGTTGGATGCAAGGGGGAGGACAGATCAGAATCTGGAGGGGAGATCCTACCCTCTAAAGGCTTTGTATCCACTTTGGATTGGAAGGAAACATCAATGCTGCTGTGGCCATTCAATGCCTCCTCTGGTTCACCCGGAAGGTATTCAGCTTCCTCCTCATTCACATCATAGTAATCCAAATTGTCCTCATTATAGTCACTTTCCAGGGCTGTAGCATGGCTGAAGGAACGTCCCAGGGGAACAGAAGAGTGGGCAGCGGAAAGGTCTCCAACTGCAGCTGGCCTGACATTGTCCAACGGGGAAGTGCTGCCGATATGGAAAGCCCACACTCCAGGGATCCCCAGGTTGCTTAGTCTAAATAAAAAGGAAACAGTCATTGTAACAAATGTAACAAAAGTGTCCATTCACCCACCTTCCTAGAAGGTGAACAACTTATTTTAAAACGGAAAGACAGCTGGGCATGGTGGCTCACACTTATAATCCCAGCACTTTGCAAGGCCAAAGTAGGAGGATGACTTAAGCCCAGGAGTTTGAGACCAGTCTAGGCAACATAGTGAGACCCTGCCTCTACAAAACCCTTTTCTAAAAAACTTAGCCAGGCATGGTGCCACATGCCTGTGCTTCTAGCTACTCAGTAGGCTGAGGCAGGAGGGTCACTTGAGCCCAGCAGTTCCAGGTTACAGTGGGCTTTGGTTGCAACCACTGCACCCCAGCCTGTGTGGCAGAGTGAGACCCTGTCTCAAAAAAACAAAAAACCTGAAAGGCTATTAAGATCAGGTTCAGTTTTCACTGGTATATAAAACCAAATAAAAGCAGACTTACATGGTAACTAAAGGGATCATACTGGACTTTTGATGTGAACTACCTTTTATTTAACATTATGTTTCAAAGCTGTATGCCACAGAATGCCAGATCATCAAATTATCAATCTGCCCCATAATCCAAATGGTTTATCTAAAATCTGGCTATTTGAAAATAAACAAGGAATGTAGGAATGTTTCATCCTTCCTCTACTTGTCTGGAAACATAACACATTTTAAAAATGTATGCTTAAAACTCTACCAAATACTGACACCCAAATGACTACGACATACTTTCATGAATTGGTGATGCCCCTTCCCTGTGCCAAGTGTTTCACATTCTTCAATACAATCTGCAAATAGAGGTGATCATATTCAATTTTATAGAGGGGAAAATAGGCTTTAAAAGGCTAACTGATCTTCTGAAGGTCACATAACAAACAATTGGATCCGAATTCAGTTAACACCAAAGCCCATGCTCTACTCATCTATGTTATATTATGACAGAAAACCATACCACACACTGCAGTCAATAAGCATCTGAATTATCATTACTCTACAGAATATTAAAGACATTTCATTGTTTATTCACTTGAACTGATTAATTCCCTAATCCACAAAGAATGGTGAGTCAATGTAAAAAAATTCAAATAAATACAAATGCCAAAACCTAAAAAATTTGTTTTTGCACTGAAAAAGTTAAGGAGCAAATAAGAAAGTAGCTTAGAAGTCTTTTAAAGACTTCTGGAAACAGCTCTCTCGTTTTCTCCATGAGAAAAGAACATGAACTCCATTGAGTTTCCAAATATCCCAATAACCCATTATTTTAGAGTCAATGGTATACCCTAAAGAGAACAACTACATATGATTTCTAAAAATATGGGAAAACTTGAGTGAACAAGAGTCTGGTTAGGTTGAATATGCCAGTTTGTATACTCCTCTGATATTTGTACAAAACACTATGCTCACATTCTCCCAAGCAATGGAATTTCCTCAAAAGTCAGTCAATGAGGAATAACAGTCCATGCCTAATAAGATAATAAAAACTTCACTAAATTGTATAAGAACAAAAGATTTTCCTTCATTTGGGTGGGTACTCATCATGTTCATGTGGATTTCTATAGTAACAATATTTTTCAGTACAATTTGAAAATGTCTTTCTCTTGTGTGTGTTTGTGTGTGTGTGTGTGTATGCATGTACATATATGTATATGCTGTGGTTACTGTTGTGGTAAATTTAGGGAAAAAAGCATAGAAAGAAAAACTGATTTTGTGTGCAATATGCTATACATATTTGTTAAGTTCATAAGAATTAATGTTGGTGTTTATTGGCAAGCAAATAAGGAAAACTAAAGACAGTAGGAGAAAATCCTGAAGTTCTGAGGATATTGAGTTTATTATCACATTAGAGGTGGTGCAACTATGAAATTTCTTCTTGAAGTTAGAAACAGAAACTATAAAATCTTCAAACAGTGGAAAAATACAGATTATGGCCAATAAAAGCTAAATAAAATAACCTTCTAATTATATATAAATCACTATCTGGGTTTTGTCATTATGCATAATGGAAAAGTAACCAATTTGAGTTTATTTTAAAATCCAAGGTCATTTGGAAAGCTTAGTAATAGAAAGAACTTAATTTATTTCTACAAAGGAAAATTGGGTTACAAAATGGGATGACAATGCCTTCCTCCCTGGGTTGTTAGGAGAATTAAGTGAGAAAACCACATTAAAATGCCTAGCACTGACCAGGTACGGTGGTTCATGCCTGAAATCCCAGCACTTTGGGAAATCAAGGTGGGCGGATCACCTGAGGTTAGGAGTTCAAGACCAGCCTGGCCAACATGGTGAAACCCCACTATAAATACAAAAAAAATAGTCAGGTGTGATGGTGTGTGCCTGTAATCCCAGCTACTCTGGAGGCTAAGGCAGAAGAAAAGCTTGAACCCAGGAGGCAGAGGTTGCAGTGAACCGAGGTCATGCCACTGCACTCCAGCCTGGATGACAGAACGAGACTCCATCTCAAAAAAATAAATAAATAAAATGCCTATCACTGGCCCTAAACATCATAAATACTTATTAACTACTGTCTTGTCTTCCAGAAGATAGAAAAGTATGATTTCAAAATATACACGTGTGAATTCGTATTTAAATTTGCAGAGGAAGAGTATGACAAACATTATGAACTATATAATTTATGACCTTTGAGCTCACAGTTGTGAGACAAATTTGAGGAAGAAAACAATTGACTAGGAAAATAACTTTACTCTTAATTACTTATTTATTTAGAGGTAGGGTCTCCCTCTGTCACCCAGGCTGGAGCATAGTGGTGTGATTGATCATGGCTCACTGTAGCCTCAACCCCCTGGGCTCAAGTGATCCTCCCACTTCAGCCTCCCAAATAGCTGGGTCTACGGGTGCACACCACCACACCCAGCTAATTTTTTAAATTTTTAGTAGAGATTAGGTCTCGCTATGTTGCCCAGGCTGGCCTTGAATGCCTGAGCTCAAGCAATCCTCCCACCTTGGCCTCCCAAAGCGCTGGGATTAGAACCACCTTGCCCAGCCTAACTTTACCCTTAAGAGATGCATACTAAGGCATTTAGCAATGAACTGGCATGATGTTTGTGACTTACTTTAAAACATTTAAACAGGCCGGGTATGGTGGCTTACACCCATAATCCCTGCACTTTGGGAGGCTGAGGCAGGTGGATCACCTGAGGTCAGGAGTTTTAGACCAGCCTGGCCAACATGATGAAACCCAGTCTCTACGAAAAATACAAAAATTAGCCGGGTGTGGTGGTGGGCGCCTGTAATCCCAGCTACTGGGAGGCTGAGGCAGGAGAATTGCTTGAACCCAGGAGGCAGAGGTTGCAATGAGCACAAGATCACACCACTACACTCCAGCCTGGGCGACAAGAGCGAACCTCCGTCTCAAAAAAAAAAAAAAAAAAAAAAAAGAAAAGAAAAAAATGTAAACAAACAAAAAAATGAATATGGCAAAATGTTTACAATGTATAAATCTAGGTGATGGGCATTTGGGTGTTCATCTAGTTATTCTCTCCACTTTTCTGTATATTTTTGAAATTTTAAATAATGAAAAGTGAAATAGAAGATTATATTGAAGGACATTTCTATAAATTTGATGTACAGAAGTTCTTCCTAAGAATAACAACAAGATCCAAAATCAGAAAGGAAAAGACCAGTAACTTTGACAATCTGAAATGTACAACTTTTAAATCATACACCCTTTCTCAGCAATTCCACTTTTAAGAATTTGTTTTAGGGAGAAACGAGAATGTGAGCAATGTTTATTATGCTGTTTACTGCAATGATATTTATAACAAGAAAAATCAGAAATACATGAAATGTTCATTAATAAGCTGTCTTTATACATATATGACATAACGTTTTGTAGCCTTAAAATGGTAGTATAGACAGACATCTGACTAAAAGACCCCTATAAGAAGTGATTAATGTGAAAACACCACTTACATAGCAAAAGAACCATTTTGGTTTTAAAAGTTTTGTATATACCTAAATTCTAGAAGGACCATTAACACTTGTTATCACTTGAAGTAGTGATCATGGATAACTTTTACTTTTATTTCACATTATTCTGCATTGCTTGTACTTTATTATTTGTATTAAGCATGGATTACAATAAAGAAAAATACGTGAGTCATTTGGCCCCATATCTTACTCTGCTTTCGCCAAGCAATTCAGAGATTTCTGGGAAGTATCAAAGATAAAAATGAGGGAAGGCATGAAAGGGGGTAAGTGGAAATGCTGTCTGTGTGTTTGTGTGTCACACGTGATTGTGGATGTTAGTTCCAAGAGACCTTTATGGCTCTGCTCAGGGAACACAACTGCTTTTTCCCACAGGTCTTTTGGCCCCACTGTCTCCTGTCTCCTGTGTAGATGCCAGCACTTACCCAGGGCTCTGTAATTGTTGATCTATTTGTCTATCAACCCTAATAGGGTACAAGCTGCTGATGTGCAGGACCAGTGTCTTAGAAATCTTTGTATTCCATGTGCTTGGCCATTGTGACCTCTCTATAATAATAAATCTATGGAATAATAAATCTATGAGCTCCCAAGTAGAAGAGAGGGTGGAACCAGAGGAGGGAGAGTAAGGAACTGAGTTTGCTCCAGAGTCCAGACTAAGCGGCAGCCTAGATGGAGCCCTAAAGATGCCCAATGTGGATCATAAGGATGGGAAAGGAAACAAGGACTCAGCATAAGATAAAATAAGTAGTTCAGCACTCCAGACTTGAGCTTGGATTTTGGCTTTGCCACTTAACTTTGAGATCATAGGCAATTTACTTAACTTCCCTAAGCTCCTCTGTAAAACTGGGAAAATAGTAGTACTAACCTACAATTCTTGTGAGTTTTAATTAAGATAACATCTGGAAAGTGTTTAGCATGATGCTTGGCAAGTAGTAAGTTTTCAATAAATGTCAGCTCTGAGTAAGCAAACCTGGCTATAGTGGTCTCTTTCTGGTAGCCGAGCAGAGTGGATGGCATGCTAAAAGTGTAAGGTGTTTCTATACCTACCCAGGATTGATTTAATGAAGTCAAGAAGCAGTTAAAGGAGGCCAGGAAGTAACCAATGTATTCTATCTGGCTTCTATATTCAGGAAACGAATAAAAGCGAGGGCACCCCTACCTCCCCTCACACACCCCCCAAAAAACCCTGAAGTCAATAAATATCCTACTGGCACTATCTGTACTGGCAAAATGCAGAAGAGCTTATTATTGCACTAGCTAAGTAAGCCCTCTGGATCATTCATTCATTCACCCATCTATTTATTAAATGCCCATTATGGGCAGACACTGATGAGTCTAAGGAATGGGTTCAATTCATTTTAGGTAATGAAGCCAGAGAGACATCCTCAGACTTCTGGAAACCTATAAATCTTAGTTATTTTTCCTGCAAATTACATTGCTCAATTTAATGTTTAACAGTATCTGTCCAAAAGACTAAATCACAATGTTTCCTCCTGTGAAATGATTAATCTGGAAAACCTCAAACTGGGCAGTTTATGACTGGATATTTTTATGTGGTTCCAAGAGCAATGTTTTTCATAGCAAGCCTCAGTGGCTCTACAAATACACACACATACTGTTCTGTTTCCAGTATCTATACCCAATAGAGCAGGAAAAATAAAGGACCTTTTATGTTTTGGTGAACTTGATCCTTCCAGGGTTGAATCTAGTTCCTTGGTTTTGACTTGATGCCTTACTTAGAAGCCACCAATATATTATGTAATGGTCTTATGGTCACTTGTGTTCAGGTACTTCCTAAAAGTCCTTATATTCAAATAGGAAAGGGCTTCAGCTCAATGTTACTTACTGATAGAGATTTTTCACAGACTGTTCAGTGCTAGTCAAGCTGAAATATGGTCCTTCTGACTTCAGATCATCAGCCTCCCCTCGGCAGAAGCCCACCCGAGCTGGAAGCTGAAGCTGGACATTGTAAGACTCTTTGGGGCGGGTTCCAAGGAACTGCAGGCCGTTGGCAGGATAAAGAAAGAGGGCGTAGCTATCAGACCCATCAGATGCCAAAACTGCCTGGAAAGTGTTCAGCTGTGAGGAAAAAAAAAAAAAAAGAGAGAGAGAGAGAGAGAAACATCCTGTAAAAAACAAATAAAAGAAGAAAGAAACAGAATGCAAGCAAAGCATCATAACGTGCAAAGAACTTCCCCTTTTTCAGGATTCCTCCAAATTGTTTTTAAACATAACCTTCTTTAAAATTTCCTCTTCAAGTTAACAATATAATTTCATAAGCAATATTATTTATTATTGCAAATACCATTTGTCAATTTAGATTAATAGTTGAAATACGCATTGGTAAAACATAGGTTAAAAAATATATACTTTGTAAGGTTTCAAACTTCTCTCATGTAAACTCTTTCAGAGCTAAGAGCAATCAGCAAAATTAACTTGTCCATCCTGCAGTCACTGCCCTAGTTTATAACCCTAGGCACTCAGCATCTCTCATTTGCATCATTCATTCATTCATTCATTCATCCATTTATTAAATGACCACTATGGGCAGGCACTGTGTTAGGCACTAGTTGGTCAAAAGGCCTCCTTACTGTCTCACAGCATCACTCTCTTTCCTCTTCCATCTACCCTTTCATACGAGCATCAGGGTTATCCTCATTTCACAGATGAGAAAAAGACACAGGGGCTAACAGGTCTTCCTCAGGTCAGGTGGCAAGTATGTGGTGGTGGGCCAGCCAGCTCTAGAGCCCACACCCTAGGACACCCTAACCCCTCCTCAACATGGCATTCAAGGTGAGTTGTAACCTGGCTGCATACGTCCCTCCCAGGCTCAGTTCCACTGCATCTTTGTCAGACTATTTAATAGTCCCCATTTGTACCATGTCCTTGGATGCTTCTACACTTTGTTCGTGGTTCCCTGTGCCTAGAAAGCCTCCTAACCTTCAAATGCTGCCACTCAGAGGTGTTTGTGATTCCCTATAGAATAATTTCTGTTCTCTGAACCTCTGTAACACCTTTATGGGCATCTCTAGTGAGCATTCACCTCATTATGCTTGGTTAGTTGTTTATATGTTTGTAAACACCATTCATTTATTCATTCATACACTAATTCAAACAGCCAAGTGTCTACTTAAGCACCAGACGTTATGCTTGATGCTGAGGATGTGAAGGAGCAAAAGACAGGCTTTGCCCAGGAGAGTCTCACGGTGTAGGACTGGGAAACAGCCATGGTTGAAATGGTAGGAGAGTCACTGGAGAAGGTGGTAGAGGCCAAGAGCCGGGGTGTGTGTCCAGGATCTCAGGGTGGAGGTTGGGAGGTGTCACAGAGGCAGCTGGTGAATGTTATAAACACTGCAGGAGCCAACACAGACCAGAGAGGGACCAGGAGCCTGAATCAGCTGCCAATTCAACACCCAGGTCCTTATAGGATCACTCCTTAACATTCTGTTTACCCTCATATTTTCAACAAGATGAGATTTTTGCCTTTACCTTCATTCAGCGACCGCTCCTCCTAAAGATCTGTGAACAGTGCTTGATTCTCAAAAAGCTGTTATGTTTAGGCTTCTGAAACTGTCTCTCTCTCACTAAATCACACTACTTTTACAATTTAGTAAGGAACTGGGAAGGTATTTTTAAAACACAACTTACTTCACAAATAATGTGACTCTTAGAAATATTATTTACTGGTAAGTATCATTACCTTTCCATTCTGCTAGACAGACAAACTCGGGCACAGAGAAGAACATCACATTTCACTGAAGGAAACAGCAAGGAAGGAATGGGCTCTTCCCTTTGTTCTAAGTCTACTCCCACAGTTGTTCTAGCTCTTTTCTAATGTTAATTTTTCCTTTCAATGTTTAATTTCAAAGTAAGGTTTTGAGGTTTTGCTAATAGGATAAAGAAATATAGATGTAACACACTTTTCAAGAGAAAATAAAATACAATCAGCAGTTCTTTTAGTTCTCTAACCCAGAAAAAACAACATCTTGCTTTGCTTTTTTCATTCATTCAATTCACAAAGTAACAGGTGCCTAGTTTATTTGTTATTGTTCCAGTTGTTGATTGTTCATCAGCAAAGCTTGACTTTTCCAAAAACAAAAAGCAAGAAATGTTTTTAGAGCTTCTCAATACTAGGAAGCCACAACTACTGCCAAATATAAACAAAGGCTGTTCTGCCTCATGTCTATCCATAAGATAGTCGACATCATCAACTAATGTGGACTCAATAACTTCAGAGTTATACATTAGTCAGAATAAAGAAAAATCAACTAGGGAAAGAAAAGTACTAGAGGAAGGAGAAAAAACCCCATTTCAAAAAGCTAAGCTTTCAAAGCTCCTGGCATTGATCTGCCATAATAAATGTGAGATAGGAGAGAATCCTGGTTCTAAATTTAGAGAAATTCCATAAGATAAGGAGGTTGTAGAGACTGTGAAGAATTGAAGGGGATGGGGAAGGGGGGAAGAGAGTAGTAAACAGAGCTGTGAAGAGGAGAGTCTGACTTTTTGCTGTGAACTCTGGGCATTTAGCACTTTATTTTATTCATTCATTCATTCAACCAGCCAACAAATTCATTTCAATTAAAATTTATTCAACATCTTCTATATACTGTTCTTGAGATGAGCACTCATTATGGGTGGCAAGTATTTAATTTCTTTGTCTCCACCAAAATAGGCAAATATCAGAGGAAGGAAACAACTTCCTTTTAAGTAGAATTTATGATCCCAAAGTACACGCCAAAAGAGTTTGGCTGTTTAAAAGCCACCCACACACTAAATGATCACTTGTAAAGTTCTTGGTCAGTTCTACAAAATTCTACATCTAATTGCTAAAGAGCCCACTTCATGAAGTCTTGAAGGGCTCCCCCTCTCAAAAAACTCCTTGACTGGCTTCCAAACAGGAAAGGTCCTCACATTCCTAGATACAAGCTTTTGCAAGAGCCGCACAGGCTCTGTCTCCAAAGAGAAGCCCTCAGATGGGCTGCCAAACCTGACAAACGAGTCACTGGTTCCCAGCTCCCCCAGGATCCCAGAGAGGAGAGAGGGGCCTCCACAGGGAGAGGAGCAGCACAGAGAGGATCAGGGTGAGTGGCTGCAGGCCCTGTTATCAGAAAGAGAGAAAAGCCAGAGCCCTCTGCAGAAACCAGAGCCTGACTCTCCCTCCCAGGTACAGGACATCCCAATCAATGTTGAAGTGACACTCATCAGAGCCAGGCTGATGCATGCAACATACACCCCTCTAAGAGTTTCTAATTTTTTCAATTCATTTAATTAACTGCAGCTATCTGGACAAAAATCAGAATAGTGACATCCTTTTCTTCAAGGGGCTTGCCTATAGAGGCTTATCAAAATGAAAATGAAAATGGAAATGAAGAATTAGGGTGACTCTTATAGGGGTCACAAAGTTCTCTTTGTCATCTTCCTCAGGACCACATGTCCTCTAGAGCTCTAGGATCATTGGGTCTGGCCTCCAGTGTTTGCTGTGAACACTAACCTCCATTCCTTAGTGTAGTTCTTCATCTCCCACTGCCTGTAGGACACTGTCACATGGGGGACTGTCCCTCATTTATTTTACTGCACTAAATCCTACAGATCCTGCCAAAAATTCAAAGACAAATGCTGAGTGCTATCACATCCCTAATACTATATCCTTCCTGATACTCTTCAGCAAAACGTCAGCATTTCTAATTTCCATATATGGTTCAGCATTAACCAATTTCCATATATGTCTCTATTCTCTTCATCTTCACAGTGATATCTCAGACTCAGTCTGAACTCTCTTGGATGGGCTGTAGACCACCCCTCTTCTAAACCTTGTCTCCAGAAGTCAAAAAGCTACAATAAAGTCCTGCTTTTACCTCTCATTTTCTCTGTGAAATCCAACCACCTCCATCAATGACTATCAACCTTTGAACCAAGTCAACATGTCTCAGTCTCCACCCAGATGGAGGCCTCCATTGGGCAGTGTCTTAATTTGTCTTCTGTTGTTTACAACAAAATACTTGAAATTGGGTAATTCACAAAGAAAAGGAATTTACTTCTTACAATTATGGAGGCTGAGAAGTCCAAAGTTGAGAGGTCACATCTGGTGAGGGCCTTCTGGCTAGTGGTGACTGCAGAGTGCCAGGGTACTTACGGTATCACATGGCGACAAAGCTGAGTGTGCTAATGTGCTAGCTCAGGTCTCAATTCCTCTTCTTATAAAGCAACCAGGCCCACTCCATGATAATCCAGTAATCCATGAATGAATAAATTAATCCATTCCTGAGGGCAGAGCCCTCATGACCCAGTCACCTTTCAAAGGCCCCACCTCTCAATACTGTCACATTGAGGATTAAGTTTCAACATGATTTTCAGAGGGGACAAATATTCAACCATAGCGGGCAACCTTGCACTCATCTGTCTTATGTTACTGCCTGTGACTCCTTCATCCATTTCTCTGGCCCCTTTGCTAATAGGTTGCTCTCTCAACCTTCTCCTGGGTCATGTTTTTGCTCAGAACAATCTCTCTTGATACCTCATTCTCAATATCCATTCTTTTTAGCCCTTTCAACCTGACTTAAATTCCAGATAAACAAAACATTCCCCACATTACAGAGATCTATATAACTCAGCTGTCTCTAACCCCATCCCTAAAATGACAAAAACAAAACACTCCTCTTTCCCCACAAAAAGCACAGCTAAACATTAGTCCTCTATGTCTCCCATCAATAAGTATTTCAAAGGTCTACACCATAACTTTTTTGCTCTGTGAACTACCTATGAGAGTTCAAGAAATCTCAGATTAACTGAATTGACAAACACTATTTGTTCACATTTTTTTTTCAGATACAATTACACCTTGACATTCCTGCAATATCAGGTGCAACATCTGGTCACACCTGACAGGAATATCCATGGAGAAAAAGGGCACCAACTGCAATTGTTTTTAATGGCAAAGATGCCATTGCTTTGAATCTTCCAGTTTCCAGTAACTTTGCAATATAAAGTTAGTAAGCCAAACTTTAAGAACGCCATGTAGAACTCAGTCCTTCAAGCAAATTAGATTACTGTTTGCCAAAGTCTATCTCCAAAGAACTATTAAAACAAGAACTCAAGTCCCAGAGCTCTTTAAAATATTGGAAGAAACTTCAATGTGGGTAATTGAAAGAACATCCCCTATCCAAACAGAATCCTCCTTTCTTTTTTTTTTTTTTTCCCCTTTCTTTTTTATTTATTTATTTATTTATTTATTTATTTTTTATTATACTCTAAGTTTTAGGGTACATGTGCACATTGTGCAGGTTAGTTACATATGTATACATGTGCCATGCTGGTGCGCTGCACCCACTAACGTGTCATCTAGCATTAGGTATATCTCCCAATGCTATCCCTCCCCCCTCCCCCAACCCCACCACAGTCCCCAGAGTGTGATATTCCCCTTCCTGTGTCCATGTGATCTCATTGTTCAATTCCCACCTATGAGTGAGAATATGCAGTGTTTGGTTTTTTGTTCTTGCGATAGTTTACTGAGAATGATGGTTTCCAATTTCATCCATGTCCCTACAAAGGACATGAACTCATCATTTTTTAAGGCTGCATAGTATTCCATGGTGTATATGTGCCACATTTTCTTAATCCAGTCTATCATTGTTGGACATTTGGGTTGGTTCCAAGTCTTTGCTATTGTGAATAGTGCCGCAATAAACATACGTGTGCATGTGTCTTTATAGCAGCATGATTTATAGTCCTTTGGGTATATACCCAGTAATGGGATGGCTGGGTCAAATGGTATTTCTAGTTTTCTTAATGAAACATTCTGAAGCCAACTAGCAAATGGTAATGTCTGCAGGTGGATTTTAATTAGAAAAGTAAAAGAGAGATGGAATTTACAAATCTCTTCTACCCTAAACCTCCCCCACCCCAGAAAAGGACCAGACAAAAGTTTTAATTCCAAAAACCTTGCATTTAAAGAGTCCTTATGCAACATAGAGAGTAACAGGATGGTTACCAGAGGCTGGGAAGGGTAGTAGGGGTCAGGGGAAGGTGGACACAGTTAACGGGTACCAAAAAAAAAAAAATAGAAGGAATGAATAAGACCTACCATTTGATAGCACAACAGGGTGACTATAACCTGTGATAACAGGTTATTATAGTCAATAATAACTTAATTGTACATTTTTAAATAACTAAGAGTGTAATTAGATTGTGTGTAATACAAAGGATAAATGCTTGGGGGGATGGATACCCCATTCTCCAAGATGTGATTATTACGTATTGCATGCCTGTACCAAAACATCCCATGTACCCCATAAATATATACACCTACTATGTACCCTCAAAAATTAAAAAATAAAGAGTCCCCATACAAAAGATATAAGTCACAGCATCCTTACAAGATAGAGATCAGTGACATGGGCAAGCAACCTCACCTCTTACAGGGGGCATGTACCATCCTTCTATAGTGAAGAAGCATTTCCGTAAGTTAAAATTGAGATGAATCATATGGTTTCAGCCCCTAGAGTATGGTATTTTAGATTCAGGTCTAATTCCATAGAAGGAAGCCCTTACTTTCTTCAGGAATGAGGCAGTTTGCCATTTACCAAGCACGCTGGCCCCACTCATATCCATTTGGAGGACTTCAAATGTTGATGACAAGACTAAAGACCAGGAGCCTGGAATTTTTTACTTTCCGCAGGTAGAGACTGTAAAGCACATTGACGGCAGACTCCTATAAACTAAGAAACTTGTAAACTGGTACCTGGAAGGCAATTAGGCAGAAGTTATCAAGAACTTTATCAAAAGTGCATCCTCTCTGACCTACCAATTGCACTTCCTGGAATGTCAACTAAGAACATGTGCAAAGATTTAGCTTTTTAAAAAGTGATTCACGCTATTATTTATAATAATGAAAAACCAGAAAAAGCCTTAATGGCCCAACACTGGTTGAGCATACTGTGGTACACCCACTATTATACAGGATAATAGCAGGATACAGTAGTATGCATCATTATAAATGATGTAGAAATACATTTATTGACATTGAAACATATTTACAATACACTATTCTGTGAAAAAAGCAAGTTATAAAACAGTATGTGCAGTGTAAACTCATCATTGTTAATAGACAGCAATAAAGATATGCAGAAGAAAAAACTCTGAAAATGTACGCAGAAAAATGTTTATCAGTGGTGGGAAAATGAGTGGTTGTTTTCTTTTTTAAAATTATCTGTATTTTCTGATTTTTTCCCCTTCAATGAACATATAATTAGAAATACTTGTATACTTAGAGATGGTTCTAAAAATAAGCAACCAAACAGTAAATTGCCTTATGTTCAAAGGGGCTCCCACATCTGCACTCCCGCTCTCATATCCGCTAAGCATTTTTTTCCTCAAGGGAGTGACCACCTGCCAGGGCCTCAGAAGATGCCTAGAGACAACGTCTTTCCTCACTCCCAAGCCACTCCAGCCCTGCTGCCTCCAAGGTCAGGTTCAGCGCAAGAGTAGGCTCAGAAACAACTCCGAGCCAGTCCCTGGGTCGCTGCCCCAGAATTTAAGCCCATCCTTCAATTTCCTCAGCAGTCAAATATCCCTGGTCACTTACCTCTCCCGAGGGCAGCGCCCCGCGCTTGACCTCCTCGTAAGCGCCTACCTGCTCCCAGGTGGCCAGGAAGGCGTGGGTGGGGGTAAAGCGCGCAGAGCGCGGGAAGCCAGCGCGCACATAGCGGGCGGCCAGGCCCAGCACTGCGGGGGAGGTGTCCTCTCGGTACAGGACTCGGCCTCTGCCGTGGCTCGTGTCGATGTCCGCCAGAAAAGGGGCGATGGCCGGGAAGTCGGTGGGGAAATCATAGTCCACATACTGCGTTTCCCTGGGGAAGTCCTGAGTGGAGATGATGCCGTTGGTGCCCACCTGGGAGAGGAGAGGGACAAAAAGGTGACAGTCGCTCAAGCCCAAGGACGCTACCCTTTCGCGCAGGGAGGGAAGGGAACTGACTTAGGCAAAAAGCCTCTCTCTCCTTCCCCACTGGCCAGGGAGTCTGGATTCAGGGAAACAAGCGCAACTTTTGCGACTGTCCCAGCTCCGCGCTGCAGTAGGTCCAGGGGCCCTAAAACTCGTTCACCTATCTTCTCACTCCCCTCACAACCCCGGAGCCCCATGTCCTCGGAGAGGAAGCCTCCAGGTCTGAAGAGGGAACACCCCAGCTCCGCAGACGGGCACAGCCTTCTCGCGGTCCTAACTGCAAAGCCCGCTGGCCGCCCTAGCAACGCCACCTTTTCTGCCTGGGACGCGTACGTGGCTGCGAACAATTCTTGCTCTCCCCTCCAGGTCATTCTTGCTCCCCTACAGCAGCGGGGCAGGCAGCGGCATCGCTCTCTGGCCGGGTACCACCGCAAGGGTGCTGGGGGGCTCCAGGAGTGGGGTCTGTTTCCTCCCCTCTGGAGGCAGGGTTTCCGTGAGACCGACCCCAGGGAAGAAGCTGCGGGAAAAGTGCCAGGAGGGGGCTGAACTTACGTAGAGGTTGCTGAATCGGGCTTCGTAGAAGTGCAGGGGATTCGCCAGCTTCACCACGGCTGAGCTTTCGTCGTCGCCTTCCTGCAGGAGCTGGTCCCCCCACGACTCCCCGTGTGGGAAGAGCTCGTCTGGGTGCAGCGCCGCGGCCCGCAACATTAGCAACGGCAGCAGCAGTAGCACTGGTAACGACGACAGCACCGGCCGCCCGGCCACCCGGTCCCCCTCCATGCTCGCTCGGCCGTGCGCTTACCCGCTGCACAACGCGTCCCGCCCCGGCCTCCAGCCCACTCTCCGCGCCGCGCCAGCCTCGAACCTGGATCTCCGCGGGCGCCTGGGCGGGGCGGGACTCCAGGCCCACCCAGCAAGCTAATTGGCTGAGGCCCTCGGCTGGGGACCAATCACCGGCTCTGAGAAAGTTCGGCAGTGGCCACCACATCTGGTTCTCGTTAACTTTTCTAAGGCAGCGGCCGCTGGAGCAGCGGGGCTGGCGGGGTAAAAGCTCCTGGCCAGGGCTGCCTGGAGCTGCCCCTTCCACTCCGCCCCCAGGGAGCTCCCGGGTCATCCTCTCATCCGGGCTGCCCCGCGGCCCCCAAGGAGCCCCACCCCCGGGACCAAATGGCCCGCAAGGTTTGGGGCAGCGGCGTTGCAGGAGATGAGCTCAGCGCAAAGGGAACCCCGCAGCGGCGAGTGCGGCTGCTGGCCTGCGCGCTGTGGCCCCAACAGGCTGGCAGGGCGCGGGCGGGTGGCGGGGTTGCGGTATGAGCTTTGCTCCCTGCCCTGGGGTCCCGGGCGCTCCTGGCTCTGGAGGCCTGGCCATCGGTCCGAAAAGCAAAGGGACATTGTCGTGGTCCCCTCGGCCGCTTCGCTCCACCCAGAGACGCCCTGAGGAGAAGCGAGCCTTTGTACGAAGGCAGAGGGCTGACTCCTAAGTTCTGTCCCCCTCCCGAAGGCCGGCCGCTAGGGAAGACTTGGCCACCCTCTGGAAGTACCTTCCCCCGGGAAAACCGCAGCAGGAAAGACCATGAAATACTACTGTGTGTGATCCGCTCCGTTTGGGGAGTAGGATGAGGCATCCCGCTTGGTTACCAGGCAGAAAGGGGCGAGTCGCGGGGATGGGAAGACCCTGATCTCTTGCCCATTGCTGCGGCCGTCGGAGATGCCCTCCCCCGCGGCCACGGAGGCGGTAACCTGAGCTGCTCCGCAGGACTGGAAACCGCACAACCTCGAAACCAGCTGCGCAGGAGAAGGGGAACCCCATCCACCATAAACATCCCCTCTGCGAAGCCTCAGGAGCTGGAGGAGATTTTATTACCATTTTTATTATCAAGAGCTTAAAATTTCCCAGACAGTCTGTTTTCTCTCCCAGGCCCCCCATGAGGTCCTTAAAAGCAAAGATATTTAAAAAGAACGAAAGAAAGAAAAAAACCAAAAAGCAAATCCTTGGAAATGCCTTAAAGGACTCTCCAGAGACACACTGCTCTTTGTAGGTGTTTATTCCTATGGGCCCACTGGACCAAACGCTAAAAAACGTGAAGACATCAGACTGTGAGACTCATAGAGCAGACACAAAATGGAAAACTGGCCCAAAGCAGTTTGCTTCCTCAGAGTGGAGAGTTGTATATTTGATGTTCCAAAAATATATTTATGCTTGCACATATATTTTCTCATTCTTTCTGGGGTCAGGTATTTTTATTTTACTGAGGATGAAATGAAAGTTCAAAGACAGATGACTTGACTTGCCCAACATCATCTGAAGTTACTCCCTGATATAAAACTACTGGCCCTCTGTAGTTTTACTTTATCTCTCGATTCAGCATAATAATAATAACTAACATTTATTTAGTGGTACTAAGCTATGAGCTTTGGGGCAAGCAAACACTGAGATGGTCTCCAATGATCCCCATTTCCTGGTGTTCATTCCCCTGTATAATCTCTGCCCTGGGAGTGTGGACTGGCCTTGTGATTTCTAACAAACATAGTGTGGCAAGAGTGATGAGAAGAAGGCTAAATAAGATTGTGGCTTCTTCCTTGTTAGTTGACTTTCCCTCTCATTGATTTTGATGAAGCAAGCTGTTATGTCGGGGAGGCCCACATAGCAAGGAACTGAGGAGGGCAGCCTCTGGCCAACAGTCAGCAAGGAACTGAATTCTGCCAACAACCATGTCAGTGAGCTTGGAAACGGATCCTTCCCCAGTTGGGTCTTGAGATGGTATCTCAGCGCTGGCTGACATTTGATTGCAGCCTTGCAAGAGACCCTGAAGCAGAGGACCCAGCTAAGCCAGGTGCAGATTCCAGACCCACCAAAACTGAGAATTATAGTTTTGGTTAGATTATAATTATAGTTTTGGTGGGATTCCAGACCAACCAAAACTGAGAATTACAGCTTCAGCTTCAGAAGCTGAAGAAGCTGTGTGTTGCTTTAAGCTATTACATTTTGGGATAATTTGTTATGCAGCAATAGACAACTGATAACAGGTAGTCGTTGTGTTAAGGAAACTAAAGCTCAGATGGGATTTTAAAAAAATCAGTTATTATCACATGGCTGGTAAGTACCAAAGCTGAGATTTGAACCCAATTCTGTCTGATCTCTAAACCTCCACTCCTAACCACTAAATTATATTGCAGCAAGGCCCTTTGGAAAGTAGCTCTAGTTTATGTCTCTAACTTTATCTCCCGTCACAGCCACCCTGAAGTCTCACCTGAAGCTGAGACTTTAATTCTCCAATACAACATCCTCACAGGTAAGTCCTTTTACCTACAGTAAAAGGTCAATTTCTTGGTCAATTTCAAGCCAACACCTTCTCATCTTTAAGGCTTGAATCAAAACCCTCCTCCTTCAGGAATCTGGGAAGAGAAAAGAATTCCCCACATCTTTTGCAAAAATCTCATTAATAATCCACCCCATTTAGCTTATAATCAATAAATAACCATAAGTATAATCAGTCAAGCAGCCGACGCCACTGCTCTGCCTATTCTTTTGTTTCTTTACTTATCTAATAAAGTCACTTTCACTTTACTTTGTAGACTCACTCCAAATTCTTTCTTGCACCAGATCCAGGAGCCCTCTCTTAGGGTCTGGATCAGGAACTCTTTCCAGTAACACTACTGCCCCCTTTTGAGCTATGTATTCATCCTTGAAACTGCTTGCTATTGCCACAAGTAACTATACATTAACCTAATAATGTCACACTGGACACTATCACTCATAGCCTATAGCTTAACAGTGCATAGCCAATCAGTGAGCAATGTTGTTTCTGTAAACCAATGTGAATTCCTTACAAACAATTTCATATCGGCCTACTCCCTGTCCCCCTTTTCTGCCTGTAAAAAACCTGCTTGTAATAAAGGCGGCATGAAGCTCATATCCAGGGTTACTTGGGTCTAAGTCTTCCGGGCAACTGTCCTCACTTTGGCTCAAGTAAATGTTTTGTTATATTTTGTGCCTCTGTCTTTTCCTTTCAGGTGGACGAAGCTTTCCTGGAATCCACAGTCTGATTTAGAAGCCCTTTCTCCTTGCTTCCATGTGCCCTGTGCTTGCCGTGATCATACCTCCTATCACACATCTCTCCCATAATCCTGATCTCCACATGCTTCCCTTACCACCACCACCACCACCACCACCACCACACCTGGAGGGCAGGGATTTTGCCTTCTTCAGTGTCTGCCGCAATGCCTGCCTGGCTCACTTGAAGTGTAAGAAATGTTTGTTGAATGAGTGAAGACAAGCAAGCCAGCCTGGGACTAGGACCCATGTCTGCTGGCTCAGAATGCAACATTCTTTCCCCTACACCACCTTTCCTGCTAATCTGACCTGACTCTTGTAATCCTCTTTACCAGGCTGCCTAGCAACTCACCTACCACTGCTCTCCCATTTTTGTCATTCTTTCATTCATTCATCCATTCAACAACAATTTCCTGAAAGTACACCATGACAAACACAACTCTGCAAGAAATAAAGGAGTACAAAATGTGGCCCCTGACCTTAAAGAGCTCATGATCTGGTTGGGGAAACAGAGCATAAGAGGATGTCACTAGTTTTGAATCTGATGCAATCTGAGTACAAAAAAATAGTTCCAATAGAGAAGATGCTAAAACGAACAGTTTTGTTTTCCTGTCTGCATAAAGTGGCTGAATTCTCCCTGAAATAGGAGGCTTTGGACAGCTGTGCTTAAGAGAACATGCCTTTGAGCTTTTATTCTGATATTATTTTTAAAAGACGCTATGGCACCAAGAGTGGTTTCTTCTTTAAAATGTCATTTTGTGTCTTGGGGAAAAAGAAAAAAATCTGCCGTGGCTCTTTCACCAGTCAAAGTAAATACTGAAGAAATACTTTGCTTGTATCCACAGCTCTCTTTGCAAGAGTAGAATTTCCATGACCTGCCAGACTGGCTGAAGAGGCAAAGGCCCCTTTCAGGCTGGGGGTTATAGAGGACGTCTGTAGCAGTTTTTACCCTTCTTGGATTGGATCCTCAGGGTACATCACAGCATTGCTTGAAAAGTAAGATTATTTAGATACAGGGCTTTTCATCAAGCCAAGGATGCTACCAGATGCCTTGCCAATAGACCTTATCAAGAGTCTCCACAGTTACATATTTTTTGTGGTTATATTGTTGTTATAAATACCAAGACTTCAAGAATGATGATACTTCCTGTTATTTTAATCATGAGAATGGAAGCATATTTGCTCCACAGTGTGGCAAATGGATGTTGGTATTTAAGAGCAAGTTCTATGTATAGCACCGATGGGTGTGTGTACATGTTTGTATTGGAGGTGGGCTTGGCAGGAAATGTCCCAGTTCTTGTTGCACACAGTGATTCTTTGCATAATTTTACTATCCATTAAATTCCAGGGTGTGTGTGCTAGCATGTAGAGAAAATAGACTCGAACAAGTTAGTATGTCTTCACAGACTCAGGCTTAATTGAAAGTAGGTTAGGCCTAAGGAGAACCATGAAGTGAGAAAGTATTTAAATTAAAATGTGCAATATGAAAAGACTGTTCAAGCTTTTGATATGAATCACTGCAGATGCAATTCTGCTGTGACATTTTTAAGTAGAGAGAGGGTTGGTGTGGCAGACACTATTGGAACCTCTCCCAACAGCCATCCCCTCTTTTTTTTTTTTTTTTTTTTTTTTTTTTGGTTTTAGAAACCCCATATTGTTCAGGTAAAGGGTGCAATAAGCCCGGGAATGATGGGTTGCTTCCTCAGCCCTGGCAGATGCCCTAAGATTGGTGGAAGCCAATCATGATTAAGCCTTTCACCCTTATAGTGATACAGTCTCCTGTAACTTCAACCCTTCCCTCCCTGTTGGCCTCTTCCCCTCTGCCTCTAAATCCCCTCTGCCCAGTCTTACCCATAAAAATAAAAAACAAATTTCCCTACTTATTTGTTGCCTTAGTTTTATTTCTCTTACTTTCAAAAACTCTACTGGAAAGGAATTTATACTTCCTGCCTCCTTCTTTCCACTGCAAAAATAATCTTCCCAACCCCATCACTGAACTGCTCAGGGAAAGACCAACAGCAAAATCATATTACCAAACCCTATAGGTAGTTTTTGTTTTTATCTTACTGGGCCTTTTTGTTTCTGATCCTACTGACCACTCATTTCTAGAAATTCTCTACTCCCTTGACTTTTCCAGCCATTTTGTTGTAGTATCTCCTGTGAATTTCTCATGCTCTGCTTCCGATGTCTAAATGTATGGCATGACCATGGCCTACTGCTCTTCTCATGTCATGCTGTCCTGGAGTGTCTTGACTCCTCTGATGGCCCAGCTTCCCACCTATATTCTAATGACTCTCAAATATATCCCCAGGCCTGAGCCTTCACTTAAGTTTAGAACTAACATCCAGCTCCCTGCTGAACATCTCCCCGAGACAATACCTAAGTCTTCATCTAGCATAACTAGATTCAATACTCAGTATTTCTGAGTTTTCCATTTTAGTCCATGGCAACAATATTTGCCCTTTCTCGATTACCATTGGCCTATCTCAGGTCCTCACCAACTGTCACCTGCTAGCTTTTGTGGCAGAAATGATAGGTTCATTTCTTCAACCCTTATTTCCAACCTCCTTCTCCCTGGCCCCCATCACTATAGAAGTAAGATTATTACTTTCTCAGTCTCTCTTGCAGCCAAAGGTGGCCATTTGGTATAGTCCTGTTCTAACTTCCAGACATCTCATGAAAGTCTGGGGGTTTCTGGAAAGGTTTTGTGTTGGTGATTTAAGGGAATAGTTGTATCTTTCCCCATTCTTGCTACCTTAAACATGGAGGTGATGTTTTGAGCTTGGCCAGCCATCTTCTCACTGTGAGGTACAACAATGAGGACAAAAGCATGGCCAAGCAAAAACACAGAGGGGAGCTGAGTATCTAAGCCAGTCAGTACCTGCCTTCACCATATTCCTTGGCATGTGAGCAAACAGATCCCTATAAGCTGAGTCCACTGTTGCATGCAGCAGCACCCACTCCTCACGATTGAGCCTTTCCCCCAATTCTTTCTCTACATATGTCTAAAAATACATCTGACCACCACACGTTCCTTTCATGGATCTCCCTCACCTCTGGGGAAAGCTAAGGCTGTCCAGCAGGGAAAGCCCTTTGTAGCTTGGCTTCTGTCACCTTCTGCCCTTTCCCACATTATATCTTAGCAATGATGAGCTACTTCAAGGTCACCACCCACACAAGCGGCTGGACCCTGGTGGGCCTCTGCAAAGGCTGTTCCTTGCCTGTAACACCTTTCCCATCTTCTGATGATCTCTCATTCCTTTCAGTACTCAGTTCAGACATCACATCACATTGGCAGCCTCTCTCAGTTCCAGCTTCCACGGAGAACCTCTCCCCCAGCGCATGCACAACACCCGGGCACACCCCTGTCTGAGCTCCTCACTTATGTGGCTGAAATGGTCTGTTTATGTCTGTCCCCTCCACTGTCTTCAAGGGTAGTTTTCATGGAATGATACATTATTTACTTCTTTTTTCCTTATGCCTGCTTATCTACTCAGTTTCTCTATTTCAGACTGTTTTTACCATGAGCACAGGAAAAGAGAAGGGCCTTAGAAATGCCCTGAGACTTGATAGTCCCACATAGTCACTGGAATGTGAGCCACCCCTTGAGGATAGGACTGTATCTTCCTCATTCTCCATCTCATGGGTTTAGCACAGTGCCTATCTGTTACAGAAGGGCTGTTCAGTAAACCTTTGGTGATTCGAATTAGGGAAAAAGTCCTCTAAAGAAATCTTTCATAACTCCTGTACTTATTTCCTGAATAACCCACTCCCTGATTCTTCACATATTTGTTACATTTTGGATTGTTGCAGAAAAAGGGGGATTAGAACGTTCGGCTTTTTTGTTAGCAGAGAGACACCTTCCCTGCTAATTATGTTTGAAAATGTTATTGCTAATGGCTTTATTTTCCTCCAGAAAGAATAGTGCAGAAAGGCCAGTATTGCTGTCTCCCCTCTTGTAACTCCTACTGAAAGAACAGGCTGAATCACACAATTTAGCACTTAATAATATAACATGAATATCCATCTTCTTTACGAAGACTTCTCTTCCCACCCAGACTGTAGTTCCTCAAAGGTACTACTTTTCACTTCCTTTAAGACTCCAATAGCTACCGTATACAATGTTGAATAAATAAGGGCTGGTCAACTTCTAATGAGTTGGGTGACTGCCCAAGAGTGATGCCAGTATGTGCTGTCTCCATTGGGTAGTGGCCACCGCTGAGTTTCCAGAGGCTGTTGTCCTTGGCTTCTTCTGTGCTTCTTTCCTAGACATGCTTTGCTTCTTACGAAATGGTGTCACCTCATTTCTGTTGCATGTGACCTGCTGGCCACTGTCACCTCCTCTGGAAGTTGATGCATGAGTCAGAACAATGTGAATGAAGCCAATAATAATAATAGCAAGCCTTAATTGAACTTTTATAATGTAGTGTGCTCCGGTTAAGCACTGTGCATGCAATATGTGCAACATTTAATTCACCCAAGGAACATGCCCAGTTTGCAGATAAGGAAACTAAGCTGAGGGGGATTAAGTAACTTGATCAAGAACCAAGCCAGTGAGAATGGAAGGCAGAATTCAAACCCAGGAGGTCAGCCGAGCGTGGTGGCTCACTCCTATAAACCCAGCACTGGGGGAGGCCAATGCAGGAGGATTGCTTGAGCCTAGGAATTCAAGGCCAGCTTGGGCAACACAGTGAGAACCCATCTCTATACCACACAAAAAAAAGCAAAGCCACAAGGTTTGATTCTAGAACCCAGGCTCTTAACCGCTTAAAACTATAGAGCTGAGGTTCCGATCGACCAGTTACCTTACTTAGTAACATGGTCCTAGACTATACATCTAAATCTGCCAATCTGATGAAAGAGTTCTGTCTAGTATTCTCTATCATTTATAAAGCTGGAATTGTATTATCTGTATTGAACACCATCTCATAAATGCCAGAAAATTATAAATATCTAAAATTTTTATAGGAAACATGACCTCATATCCTTAAGGAGCTTGCAATCTAGATTTGGAGATAATAATAGCTATAATTTATTGAGTATTTGTTATGCAGTAGACACTATATTATGTGCAATCCTTACAACAACCTATAAGATAAGGAAAATGAGATTCTGAGAATTTAAGTGACTTGTTCAGGCTATAACAACTAGTACTAGCTGAAGTAGGATATGAATGGCCCCAAGGGGTCACTCACACATAAACATAGTTATGCTTCATTACTCTGGTACAGAAACCCGGTTCATTAGCCATTCAGAATGATTGTGATATCCAAAATGAATCAGAAATCCTCCAAGTATGAACATCAGAAATTACAACGATAACAAATAAATGAAGAGAAATGTGAAGACTACAAAATCACCCCAGTCTTTGATTCCATTGACATAGGCAGACCTCCAAAAAGTAGAATGTTCATATCAGACACAAAGATTAATAGATAAAGATACTCCAGGAGTTGCATAGGATACATTTCCACTGCCAAAGTAAGGTGGAAAAAGAGTCCCCTCCTCTGTGCTGATGCCATGGTTTTACTGCCAAGAAGCCTAAGCAAACATCAGAAACAGCTGTGGTTCTCAACCATAGCTGCAGATCAGAATCTCCTGGAGAAGTTTTTAAACTCTCAAAGCCCAGACAATACCCCAGACCAATTAATTCAGAATTCCAGGGGTGAGACTCAGACATCAGTAGATTTTAAAGTTCCCCAGGTGATTCAAAGTGTAGTCAAGGTTGGGATCAACTGTTCTCTAGACACCTTATAAATGGGTTTTTCTTTGGTACTGATTGGTTGAACCTACTTTCAATATTTTTTCAAGATAAAATGGTCTTTATAGTTTATGTGGCAAAGCAGTGACATTTAAACAAGTTCCTTAAGAGTCAGAATGATTCAGTACTTTTGTAGGGGGAAAAATATGATCTCACCAACTCTGTGGCCCACATCTGTGAGGAAGTAGAATGATCCCTGGCTTGGCCCTACTTCTAGGGAAGTAGAAGGAAAAAGCAAGGCTCCTAAGTTTTCCCAATAATGTGTCGACTCTGCTATTGTACATCTGTGACCTACGGTGCTTCCTGTGAGCCACACTAAATATTGCTATATCAGGCACCAGGCAGAGAATTTGGCCAGGAATTAACCACAACCCAGCCCTTAACATTGGTTTCCTGGACACACCTGATAGTTGAGACACAGCCTAAGGGACATACCATTTCTCTATATTCCTTCTCTGTATTAAGTGAAATCATGAGAAAATAATTTACTTGGATTGTGTTATTTTACCACTCCCAAAAATTCCTTGACTGAGTCAGGATTTAATTTTATAGTTTCAACTTTTTCTTTTAGGAGATGGGGTCTCGCTATGTCGTCCAGGCTGTTCTGAACTCCTGGGCTCAAGTAGATCTCCTACCTCAGCCTCCTGAGTAGTGCTTTCAACTTTTATAGACGGTCTTTATGAGAAAAATCAACTTGATATACATTTCAGTACATTCTTGTAAAGCTATACTCAAAGACATTGTCTACTATTTCAATAAATTTTCTCATATAAGGTTTGCAAGAAAAATGCCTCCTAAAATATGGGACCAGGACTAAGTGGATTTGCAGTCAGACTGGGTGCTGCTTTAATTAGACTTTGAGTCACTGTATAAAGCCATGTAGGTCACTTGGTGCCAGCCACAAAACCTGAGTTTAATCCAGCACGGATTTCATTTTAGAAAAGTATTTTGATATTAGTTCTTCAACTTTATTGTGCTGAACACCAAATGCATCAGCCTTCCCACAAACCCAGTCTTCCTCCCGCCTTCCAGTGCAGCCCAGTGTACCACTATTTCCCCTGACAGCCAAGCTAGAATTAGCCATTTGACTTCCCACTTTCCATCTCGTTGACATCCAGTTACTTGACATCCACAAATCATACATTCACAGAGATCAAGATTTTGTCTATTTTACTCCCCAATATATGTCCAGCCCCTAGCACAATACCTGACTCCCGGTAAATGTTCAATAAACATTTGCGGAAGAAATGAAGTTCATAGATTTACTTCCTGCAGAGTGTCTTGCCTGCTTCTCACTCTCACTGCCAAAATACAAGCAGGTCTCACCACCCTTGCTCTCATGATATGACACTCACTGGTCCACTGCATTCCAACCCATCCCTGCTTCAGTCCACACACTCCAGACTCTCCGAGGTCAGCTGCTGCTCATTAAGCCTTCTAAAATTCCTGAATATGCCCCTTCCTTGCTTAAAGGCACCCTTTGACCTAGAATTCAAGATAAGTGTTTGATATTATTCTTATGTCTGTTTCCAATAATCACTACTTGGAAAGAAAAATGGGAGCAAAGACCAGATTATGGCAGCTATGAAGGAAGAACTGGGAGAGGGTCAGGATGGGGACAAATCCCCTCTATACCTTTCAGGTCATGGGAATGAAAGGAGGTCATGTACATGAAAGCAAGTTAAAACAGCAGAGCACGATGAATAGGGACGTTCTACTTGTTAGTAATCGATGTCCATGAAGATAACCCCCAGTCATTCAAAAAAAATGTGAAGTATTTCAGCCTGTCAGATAAACAGCTGTCTCATTATAGAAAGACTGCTGTTATAGGTTTAGGTTCATAATCTCCCTAGATTAGAACAATCTTTACATTTGTAGAGGAGTTCGTGGTTTACAATGCAGGACTCACAGGCATTATGTCATGTAACTCATTCTAACACTCTTAAGAGATAGGCATTAATATCTTTGTGGGGCAGTACCTTATATAATTTCCACGGTGGAATTTTGATTGTGAACATATTCTTTACTTCTGTGTTATCTTTACCTAAAACCTTGGACTTTGGTTGTGAAGTTAGGTGCCTTGGTCTCTCCACCACAGCTGTCTCTTCTCTTCAGCACCATCCATTGCTCTAAGTACTTCTGGAGTAATCATTCACTGTGCACTATAAGTAGTAGTATTAGTAGTAATAGTAGTAGTAGTAGTAGTGGTGGTAACATATAACATTTATCAAATGTTTCATGGCCCAGGCATGCATCCATTATTTCATTTAATCCTGCTAGCAACTCCTTGGGGAGAATAGTATTATCCCACTTTATATTTATGAGCTCAGAGAAAGAAACTGGGCTGGATCACACAGCTGCTAAGTAGTGAGACTGAGATTTGAACCTGAATAGGCTGACTCAAAACCTGAGTACTTGACATCATTATGCCATATGCTCTAGAACCTTAGGAACATCTCCACCTTTCTAAATTGTCATTTAAAGGTTTCATTTGCAAAAAATTAGCTGAGCATGTTGGTACATGACTGTAGTCCCAGCTACTTGGGAGGTGGAGAAGGGAGGATCGCTTGAGCCCAGGAGTTTTAGGCTACAGTGAGCTTTGATTGCACCACTGCATTCCAGCCTGGGCCACAGAGTGAGAGCTTGTCTCAACAAAAGAAAAAAAACAAGTGTTATTTGTCTCCCCTTGCCATTTCTTTAATTTTTATTCAGTATATTGAATAAACAGGTACCTTTATCAGTTGACTCGGAAAGAATCCTGAGCATTAGGTATCCTTGGGCATCATTATGGATTTGGCCTAAATGTGTTTCTTACATTTTCTCCCTTATTTCACAGACTCATAGCTTTTTAGTACTGGAAGGAGCCTGAGAAATCCTGTAATCTAATCTCCACATTTTTGTGTGACAAAACTCTGACTCAGTAAGATTCAGTCACTCGTTCAAGCGTCACAGCACCAATAGGAAGAAAACCAGATATCTGGTGTCACAGGCTAGTGGTCAGTGAGCCAGAGTTCCAGCCCTTTCTGTTGCACTTTAAGCCAGGAATGAACAGAGGAGAGGAGAGAAGAACACCTACTGTCAGATCAGCACAAAGCACTTGTGATGCATTCTTTCTGAGCTCTCTGGCTATTATCTTTTCAAACATAAAGTATATAGGAAGGGCTTAATAGATCCTTGTTCAGTTGACTTAGATGTGGGAGCATTAACTTAAGAGCTGGGATTGAAAAGACCTTTTAGCTCCTACTTGAAGCATCTGGTGGCCACAGTAAACAGAATAACAGGTAGATTCATAAAAGCAGAAAGCCAGCTTCTCACTGTTCTTTTCTGGCAGGAGGGAAAAGTTGGTCTATTACTAGAAGAGGAATAAAACAATACAAAGGCACTTGGGGGAGCGCCCTCCCATCAGCTTAGACTCTCAGGGTGCTGTTCTGTGGAGTGGTCACTTCATTAAAAACATCTGGTGTACCACAGCCATTACTTACAGTGCGATTTTAAAGACTTATTTACACAGGACAGTCTAATTCAGCCTCTCCTATTTACAAACCCAAATTTGTCAGACCTGAATCATTAATAAGCCACACAAATAGAGTCAGTCTCTTTTTTAGGCTCAGCTGGAAAATGGACTTGACAAAGCTCAGCTCAGCTTTCCAGCCCTGGGCTCAGGAGATTCTGTTGTGTTGTTATTTTTGTGTGTGTGTGTGTGTGTTTTCTATCTCCTCCTCTTTCTTTTCCTCTTTTGTTTTGTTTTGTTTTTACTGCTGCAAGGTAAAATATAATTGGGAACAGGGTGGCTATTTTGCCAAATCCGATGCTAACTGCTAAAGAGGTGATTCTCATGCTGTCCATGAGCGTTGCAGTTTACCTTGTGGAGCTTAAGCATTAGGGTCCCCAAACTGGAAGAGGAGAGAGACCCTGGTTCTGCCCTTCAAGTGCCTTTTTAATTCACAGTTTCGATAGAAGGAAGAGGAGCTTGAGGAATTTAAGAGAAACATGATGAATCCATCCTTCGGGTAGGGAAAGGGAGCCCTCACCTGTGAAGGGGGTGCTGTCTGGTGTTCAAGCCTTGATGGACACCATCCACAACCCCCTGTCATGCATGGTGAGTAACTGAGCGTGACCTCCACTACACACTTTGCATTTATATAGAGAGCTTCCAAGCTATGGTTCCAAACTCCCAATCTTTCCTCACATAGCAAGAATATCAGAGTTAATTTACACTTGGCAACCACCCCTGTCAATTTAAAAGTAGTTTCTCCCAACTCTATCCAGAAACTGTACAGGATGAATCAAGACTTGTGGAGACATTTTTTAAAAATAAAACATTAATTAAATTTTTCTTCCAATGGCATATTTTTAAATTTTGTTTTTAGATTTATATATATTAAAATTCAATTTTTTGGTGTACAATTCTATGAGTCTTTACAAATACTTAGAGATGCATAATGAACCCCACAATCAAGATACACAATGGCTCTGTGACCCTAAAATGTTCACCAGTACTTCTGCTTTCCTCACTCCACCCTAATCCCTGGCTGCCACTAATCTATGTGGTCTCCAACCCTATAGTGGTGATTTTTCAGAGTGTCAAATACATAGAATCAAATAGCTTTTTGAATTCCTTTTTTTGTTCTTCACTCTGACACCCACGCTGGAGTGCAGTGGAGTGATCATGAGCTCAAGCGATCCTCCTGCCTCAGCCTCCCATATAACTGGGACCACAGGCGTGTGCCACCACACCGAGCTAATTTTTATATTTTTTGTAGAGACAGGGCCTCCCTATGTTGCCCAGGTTGGTCTCGAACTCCCGGGCTCAAGCTATTCTCCCACCTCAGCCTCCCCAAGTGTTGGGATTACAGGAGTGAGCCATGGTGCCTGGACATTTGTTCCTTTTTAGTGTTGAGCAGTATTCCATTTTATGGGTGTACCACAGTTTGTTTATCCATTCACTGGTTGAAGGACATTGAACTGTTTTCCAGATGTTAGTGCTTATGAATAAATCAGCTACAAACATTCATGTACAGATTTTCATGTGAAGATAAGTTTTTCTTTCACTTTTTCTAGGATTGGGATTGCTGGGTCATAGGCTAAGTGTATGTTTAACTGTTAAAGACACTGCCAAGCTGTTTTCCAGAGTGGCTGTGCAATTTTACATTCCCATCAGCAATGTGTAAATGGTCTGGTTTCTCCACATCCTCTCCAGCATTTGGTTGTCACTATGTTTTACTTTTAGACATAATGATCCATGTGTAGTGGTATCTCATTGTGGTTTTAATTTGCATTTCTCTAATTATTAATGATTTTTGTGCATCTTTTCATATGATTATTTGCTGTCTGTGTATTCAAAGTGTTTAAGTAGTCTTTATTTCAAACATGATATATGCTTATTAAAAATTGAAATACTACAGAAATATGTTATATAGAACACAAAAGTTTCCTATATTAGTTTCTAGATATAGCCACTGTTAACAACTACTTCATGTATATTCCTCCATATTTTTCCATGCATATGCTAATATTTATTATTTATAAAAGTATTTGTTTTTGCAAAAATGGTGGTATTTTATATGTACTGCATGGGAACTTACTTTTATCACTTAACAATAATCTTGTATAGCTTTCCATATCTGTATATTTAGATTAACACCCATTTTTTCTGATGACTTTATAGTATAAGCTATCTTGGAGATATTGTGCGTTTGGTTCCAGACCACTGCAATAAAATGAACACTGCAATAAAGCAAGTTACACAATTTTTTTTGGTTTCCTAGTACATATAAAAGTTATGTTTACACTATAATGCAGTGTATTAAGTGTGCAATAGCATTATGTCTGAAAAACAATGTACATACCTTAACTTAAAAATACTTTATTGCTAAAAAATACTAATAGCCATCAGAGACTTCAGTGAGTTGTATCTTTTTGCTGGGGGGAGGGTCTTACCTCCATGGGCTGCTGACTAATCAAGGTGATGGCTCCTGAAGGTTAGAGTTGGTGTGGCAATTTCTTAAAATATGACAACAATGAAGCTTGCCACATTGATTCACTCTTCCTTCCACAAAAGGAAGCTTGAGATGCTGTTTGATAGCATTTTACCCACAGTAGAATGTCTTTCAAAATTGCAGTCAGTCCTCTCAAACCCTGCTGCTGATTTATCAATTAAGTTAATGGACTATTCTAACTCCTTTTTCAATGATATTCACAGCACCTTTACCAGGATCAGATTCCATCTCAAGAAACTACTTTCTTTGCTCATCCATAAGAAGTAACTTCTCATTCACTGAAGTTTTATCATGAGGTTGCAGCAATTCAGTCACATCTTCGGGCTCCCCTTCTAATTCTAGTTCTCTTACTGTTTCTACCACATCTGCAGCTCCTTCCTCCACTGAAGTCTTGAGCTCTTTAAAGTCATCCATGAGGGTTGGAATCAACTTCTTCCAAACTCCTGTTAATGTTGATATTTTGACCTTCTTCCATGAATCATGAACATTCTTAATGGCATCTAAAATGGTAAATACTTTCCAGAAGGTTTTAAGTTTACTTTCCCAGATCCATCAGAGGAATCACTATATATAGCAGCTATAGCCTTAGGAAATGTATTTCTTAAATAATAAGACTTCAAAGTCAAAATTTCTCCTTGATCTATGGGCTGTAGAATGGCTATTGTGTTGGCAAGCATGAAAACAACATTCATTTCCTTGTACATCTTCATCAGAGCTCTTGGGTGACTAGGTTCCTTGTCAATGAGCAGTAATATTTTGAAACAAATCTTTTTTCTGAGCAGTAGGTCTCAACAGTAGGCTTAAAATATTCAGTAAACCATGTTGTAAACAGATGTGCTGTCACCTAGGCTTTGTTGTTCCACTTACAGAGTACAGGCAGAGTAAATTTAGTATAGCTCTTAAGAGCTCTAGGATTTGGAGAATGCTAAAGGAGCATTGGCTTCAACATAAAGTCACCAGCTGCACTGGCCCCTAACAAGAGAATCAGCCTGCCCTTTGAAGCTTTGAAGTCAGGCATTGACTTCTCCTCACTAGCTAGGAAAGTCCTAGATGACATCTTCTTTCAATAGAAGGTTCTTTTGTCTACACTTAAAATCTATTGTTTAGTGTAGCCACCATCATCAATGATCTTAGCTAAATCTTTTGGATAACTTGCTGCAGCTTCCACATCAGCATTTGCTGCTTCACCTTGCACTTTTATGTTATAGAAACATTTTCTTTCTTTAAACCTCATAAACTAATCTCTGCCAGCTTCCACCTTTTCTTTTGCAGCTTCCTCACCTCTCTCAGACTTCACAGAATTGAAGAGAGTTAGGATCTTTCTCTGGATTAGGTTTTGGCATAGGGGAATGTTGTAGCTGGTTTGACCTTATATTCAGATCACTATAACTTTCTCCATATGGACAATAAAGTTGTTTTGCATCCTTATCATTCATATGTTCACTGGGGTAGCATTTTCAATTTCTTTCAAGAACAATTCTTTGCATTCACAACGTGGCTGTTTGGCACAAAACATCTAGCTTTCAGCCTATCTTGGCTTTTGACATGCCTTCCTCTCTACACCATTTCTATCTTTTGATTTAAAGGGAGAGACACTTCCTTTCACCTGAACAATTAGAGGCCATTGTAGGGTTATTAATTGGCCTAATTACAATATACCTGTGCCCCAGGGAATAGGGAGGCCGGAGGAAAGGGAGAGAAACAGAAATGGCCTGTTGGTGGAGCAGTCAGAACATACACACATTTATCAATTAATTTCGCTGTCTTATATGTATGCAGTTTGTGGAACCCCAAAACAATTACAGTAGTAACATCAAATCTCACTGATCATAGACCACTATAACAGATATAACAAAAATGAAAAGGTTTGAAATATTGGTTGTTACCAAAATGTGACACAGAGATGCAAAATGAACATACGCTGTTGGAAAAAATGGCACCAATAGACTTGCCCGATGCAGGGTTGCCACAAACCTTCAATTTGTAAAAAACATAATATCTGCAGAGCTCAATAAAGTGAAATGTAATAGAATGAGGTATGCCTGTATTCAGTTGTATGCTTTATTCAACTGTCTATTGTATTGTATTTTCCAGTAGAACATAAATTTGCTGTTTTTTAGGTCAAACGTCACATTTTGACAATTCCATATGTTTCAGTGTAATAGCAGTTGTATTTCAAGTAAATTCCAGTAACATGTGAAGTGTACAAACTTGATGATGAAATTATGGATTGTACATATCCCAGGTTTGAGCTGAAAATTGTGTTGCAGCAATAAGGACTATTTTAGAAAAGTGTGATCAGTTGAATTATGTGGAATTATGTGGAATTCACTGGAAGTAAGTTCCAGTTAATTTTATGTTAATATCTTAAGAAACTTGGAATATGAGTAGCTGCTTTATCATCAGAAATAGCAAGAATACCCAAAATTTATTGTCAGAAATGTATTATTGTTCCACCAGGTTTTCCATATTAAACAAATTGATTCTGGTATATTTCATTTCAAGGCAATTTCTTTCTGCATCAATCACTCCTGTTGACTCTCATAATATTCTCATGGGGGTCAAAGTACTATCAGTGTCCTCTTTTTTATTTATTTTATGTCTTTCTAGTGACTTAACCTTAGGTCCCTATGCTTACTTAAATTTAGAGATAAAGGGAAAATACTAACAATGTTCATTCTTAAGTAGAAGATTCTTTTGGTCTTTTTAGCCATAGATAAGCATATTTAATCCTAGAAGGCTACACAGAGTTAGAAAAGAAAAAGGAAATATCAGAGACCTTAGTGGGTATTTCCTCTCTCTCTTTTCTCTTAAGAGCATTTAATCTTTTGGTTTTCTAAGCAAATCTTTTGCAGCTGCTTAGTTCTCTGTTCGTGTCAAGGACCCTTTGTTTATACTAACTGCACCCAAAGAATTCTTCTCACACAAGTTGTACCACTTAAGCGCTTTTGCGAGTCTCAGACTTTATCACATCTATGCAGAAACAGAACCATATTTTTCTTTCTCAACATTCCTTCTGGTCAAAGGCGAATGTAGAATATTTAATTCCTTAAATGTCAAGTCTTAACCCAATAGTGCCTGTGATTTGCATGTGTCGACGTATGAGAAAAGTTTCATAAGTCTGCAGCGAGATGCGCTTACCATTTCCATGCAGAGTAAATTTTAGATGACAGTGCTAAGAAGGGACTTGGGGAAATACTTTAGTTCATCTGTATTATTCAGGTAGTTGTCCATCTTAACCTTAAGATCAGCAAGAACCAAAAAAAATCTAAAAAACAATAAAACCACTGGAGCAAGTTCTCCTGGAGAAGACTGACTCCAGATACTTATCCAAAAGTTCACAATTTCTCAGTTCCATGAAAAACAATTATTTGGGACACATTTGAAAAGCCCTTGAAAATTTCAAAAATCAGGTATAATTTTTAAAATCATAAACCCCCATAGTACACAGTAAATTGAGCTAATTCTGAACTCTTAACATTTTTTCTAAAGCTCAATGGCTGTGAAGGAAAGAAGTTCCTTTCATTCAGCTGTGTCTGTTCAACCCCAAAACCTAATATTACAAACACATGGATCATAAACTCATTGTCTCAGTTGGCAGTTGTTCAACCAATTTTTTTTTTTTTTTTTTTTTTTTCGGAAACAGAGTCTCACTCTATTACCCAGGCTAGAGTGCAGTGGTGTGATCACGGCTCACTGCAACCTCGAACTCCTGGACTCAAGCAATCACCCCTTTGGCCTTCCAAGTAGCTAGGACTACAAGTGTGCATCACCAGGCCCAGCTAATTTTTTATTTTAGTAGAGATGGGACTCACTATGTTGACTAGGCTGGTCTCAAACTCTGAGCTCAGGCAATCCTCCTTCCCCAGACTCCCAAAGTGTTGGGATTACAGGTGTGAGCCACCGTGCCCAGCCGGTTCAACCATTTTAGAGATGAGATAGTCAAAGCCAGGAGGGGTCAAGTGACACATCCAAGTGGCTGAGGACGCATATGTAGTAACTGAGGATGGGCTCAAATCCAGACCTTTGGATCCCTCCATATTCTTTCTACTGTACTATGATTGCTTTACCCAGAATATCCAGGTTAAAAAGTAAAACACAGCTAATCCTCTGACATTTGCTACCACCCAGCTACAGGCGACTGATGTATTATTTTTTGGCATTATGTAGATAAAATTTCATTTCTGTCCAATCTTTCCAATCTTACTTGACTAACATTACTTCTCTCCAACTCCTATGCATTTCTCAGTCCCTCCGGAAAATTTCATCATCTACAGGGTTCATAGACTCAGGTCTAGCCTTAGTCTAGCCAGACCTTCCTCACTTGTGTGCTGTGTGACCTTCATCAAATCACTTATCCTCTCTGAGCCTGCGTTTCCTCATTTTTTGAAATCAGAAAAATATGAGCTGTCTCCTCAAAATGACTGTAGGGAAAATCAAGTGAGGAAATGCCCGGGAAGCCTTTGAGGCTTTGCCCGACTGGATTAAGTGCTCAGCAGCAGTGTTCCAAAAAATACCCTGCAAGAACAAGTGTATGAAGACACAAATAGTAGAGGGACTGTGGGCTTTCCACCAAACAGTAGGTGACACCAGTTGTTCCAGGCTCCAAAGTGTATTTGATGACAATATGGAAGGTACAATGTGGCTTGCTAGAAGCATCTGATACCAGCCAGAGTCAGTTTTGTGCATTTCTTTCCGATTCAGTGTTCAGTGAAGTCAAGTTGGTAGCTTGAATCAACCATGGTGGGAATATTTACACCATGGGAAACCAGCAAACACTATAAAGCAGGCCTCCCCTTCCCTACCCAGAGAGCTGATTGTTAAACATTCCCCAGAACACCACTGATAGAGATCAGGTCTAAAGTCAAACAAATCAAGGTTTGCATCTAAGCTCTGACACTTATAGTACCCCCTAGAGAAGCTCCTCCAGTCTTCTGAGTCTCTAGTTCCTCAACTGTAAGATGGGGCTCATGGTACTTAGTTTAAAGGCCTGTTGGAAAGATTAAGTGGTGTAAGGTATTTGAAACACTTAGGCCAGGACCTAGCAAATATTAATGTCAAATAGTGGATGACAGTGGTTACTATTATTGTTGTTAGACAATCTGGAGTAGTTTAAGTCTTAGGTGCATCCTATATATTTCACTTCTTTTGCATGGTACTGATGAAGACCTGAATATGATTGCACAGTGAACTTGACTGCCTGGGTTGGGAAAGAATTTGTTTTGTAGGGAAAAAAATTCTATTTGGGTTCTTTTATTGTTTCTGTTTGAGAAAATATTTAAACAAATTTGAACATCTAAACAAAGACTGTTTTAAAGCCAAAATTCAAGTGCTCTGGGAATCTCCTCTGAGCATTTTTCAACAATGTTGGGCCCAAAGCCAGAACATGCTACAAACTTTTTGAACCCACCCCACCCTGCCTCAACAGCAGTCTTCCCCCTAGGGAAAAGAATCTGATACAACGCCAACAAGAGAATCTTCCTCCTTTGAATATCTTAAAACCTTCATCCTTTTTTTAAAAAATGTAGCTAAAACTACATTTCAAAATACCTTCAAAATATCCAAGGGCACAGAACACAGATAAATAAATAATGCTCAAATATAAAAATTTGTGAATGAAGGACCTAGGCCTGAGGTCCCCCTCACTGTATGGCAGGAATAGCCCAGACAACCACAGGGCTGAATTCTTTGTCCACCCCCAAGTTGCCTCTTCAGTTCCCTTGTCATTGAGGGAGTAGCTGGTCATCTCCTGTTGATGCCCTTGGCCCCTTGCAGTAGCTCAAGGCAATCCAACTAGGCAGTTAGGGGAAGGGTCAGCCATTTATTTCTCAGTCATTGCCAGGCCATGCAAAATACGCAGCAGGAAAAAAAAAGACCAGACATGGTGGAGTCTGGAAGCCACACCCCATAGCTGATGAAGGAAAGTTGTGGGAGGGATGGCCCCTGGAAGGTCCTCCAGTGTTGGGGAAATTCTACCACTTCCTCTTTATCCCTACCATCTGTCTCCTCCTTTTGCTGGAAGGACTGCCAAGAGCACGTAATGTGTTTGATGTACCCCAGAGCAGGGTAAAATACAAGATTCTCTGTGGGCAGCTGCCCCTTCATTCATACATACAATTTCCCTGGGTACCGTACCATGAGCTGCACCACCACTGCCCCATTACTATGGAAGCAGAAAGACAGACAGGATGTTAGAATTGTGATTTGTTCCACTGATAGAACCCCAAGAGGTGAAATCCTTTTTCCGAGGTTGCATAGCCTGTGTCTGCAGCTCAGATGTTTTTTTACTTCCTCCCAAATGCAATTTTTCCCAGTCCACACAGTGACTGGAACTCTTCATTACCAAGATCTTAAACGTGGAGTCTCCATCTCCGAAATGACTTTACAATTCTACTTCTTTGGGCTAACTTGAACCAAATTCCCACACGGCAACACTGCTCCTCTTCTATTTTCCACCAACATCAACCTCATCTGGACTCACTTATCCCCATGCACAGGCTGGACCCCAGGGTCTGGCTCCAGGTCTAATTTGCCTTGCCTGGGCTTATATGTCTATTCTAAACTCTGTGTAAATTTTCTCTTTATACATGATGAACCTCAACTTCTTAAACATCTATTTTCTACAAGGATCCAGTAGATTTTAGGTCTAGCCACTCTACTGTTTCAGCAGAGAAAGCAGAGACTGAAGCTGCATTCTATCTTACTACTCTGTTGGGAAGTGTAATCTCAGGAGTGAGGGATGCAGGGAAGGAAGGAAAGTCAATGGTTGGGTTCTCTATAGAGTTTTCTGACATTGATTTCAACTGATGCCTTAATCCTGTGCCATCAGACCTTTAAAAGAGCCATTATATAAACTGTGTCTAAGATGAGGACAGAGGGTGAAGAATTTGTCTATCAGTTGCCGTCTTCCATTGGCCAAGTATACCCCATGGGGCATTACTGCCTTCTGCACTTCCAGGCTGCATATTATCTGAGGACAGAGTAGGGGTTTGTCCTGCCTCTGGGTAAGTCAGGAAGCTGTGGGTCTGGGGTCAAGAGGGTACACGATGTAGAGAGGATGAGGCCCTGTCAGCGTGTGCTTGTGCAAAACCTGTCTGAGTCCACGCCAGTGCTGGTGCCCACAGTGGGACTTGAATAAGACCTGGTGAGACCAGCTGAAGGTGTCTGATAACACCTACGACTGCCACCTCCCCTGCCCTCCATTTCCTTCTGAAGACAGGAATGACAAAAGTTGTTTACAGCTGTTATTGGCCTTTCTTTCATGTGTGATTCTATGGTCATAAGTCAGAGAGGGCTTATTTGGATGAGCTCAATACTAACCCTTTCCTCACCCCATGCAGGTAATCATATTCATACAAAACTTACATCTCAGTAGATCCTTGAAGGTCAGGGCTAATAGGACTGATCTTCTAACTGATCAGATAACCAACCATTTGAAGCACTGTAAAAGAGAGATGTTTCAGATTTCCTTCTTTTAAACCTAAATTTTAATGATTGAATTAAATGAGCCTGCCATCAAGAATGGAAATATATTCTCTGTGCAAAGGATATGGTTTGACTGTGGTATACTAGGAGTAGTCTTTATAGATTACTATAGATTATAGATTATTAGTCCTGCTAATAAATTTTTGCCGGAAGGAATGACTTAAGAATGAGTCTTAATGAAATTCATCATCTTTGGCACATGTTTTCAATATTCAATCTATAATTCTGCAAAAACATTGGGGGGAAGTTAATACTATCTTCTTTTAAAACTTTTCAATTTAAATAATCTCTTCTGTGTCATAGAACTTTGGAATCCTAGAGTCTCGATTGCTCACATACCTATGCATTAGAGTAGACCCAGAAATGTTTCCTGAGGATTATTTTTGTTCTGCCATGCAGAGATAGGGTAGCCATTCATCCAGGCAACTATTCTGGTCAGGCTCCTTAATTTCAGTCAAAGAATCATAATCTTACCCTTGACTCTATTGATTGCTAAAGCATTTGGATCTGGCTTTTATTAGCAACTCCAACTTTTTGCTAAATATTACAGCTTTCAACACTCTGTAGTCCAAGACTTAGCCAAAGCTCAGCTGCAAGAATGGAGCTTGCCAAATGGCATATAATCCTTCATTCTATTGGAGATTAGCAACTTTGTCCTTGGCTCAAGCAAGCTGTCTAGCAACCATGGCTATAAAGCTATGCCTCCTTCTCCCTCCCAAGCCATCTGTCAACCACAAAATTACATTTTGAGGTTATATTTTCAATGGAAGAATGTTAAAGAGACAGCCATATACATTCTGTATTAGAAGATAACCCTACTGAAGCACTGTTCCAGAATCTGAGTGGCATCCTAGTAAAAGAAACATAGTTCAGCAACTAAAAAGTAATTTCAAAATAATGCAGACATATAACTTGTGTTTCTTAAGCACAGCGAAGGAAATACACACTTCATAGCAATATTTCTGTTTCTCTTCTTTTCTTTTTTTTTGACAGGGTCTCACTCTGTCACCCAGGCATAATCATGGTTTGCTGCAACCTTAACCTCCTGAGCTCAAGCAGTTTTTCCACCTCAGGACCCTAGTAGCTGGGACTGCAGGCAAGCATCACCACACCCAGCTAATTTTTTTAAAAATGTTGTAGAGATGAGGGTCTCACTATATTGCCCAGGCTGGTCTTGAACTCATGGGTTCACGCCATCCTCCTACCTTGGCTTCCCAAAGTGCTGGGATTAGAGGCATGAGTCACCACGCCCAGCCGCACAGTAATAGTTCTTAAAATCTTATCTGTTGGCAACAATAAACATTGGAGACAACTAGAGAGGAAAGGGCGAGAGGGGCCAGGTTGAAAATCTTACTGGTGGGTATGATAATCCCTTGGTGAAGGGATCATTTGTACCCCCAAACCTCAGCATCATGCAGTATACCCAAGTAACAAACCTGCACTTATGCCCTCTAAATCTAAAATAAAAGTTGCAAAGGAAAAAAATCTCAACTGTAATTCATTATCTTGATTGTGGTGATAGTTTCATGAATCCCTACTATACAAACTTATCAAATAATATACTTTAAATATGTGTGATTTATTGTATATCAATTATACCTCAATAACATTGTAAAAAGTAATAAATGAAACTACCAGAAAAAAATGTCACATGTGTTCAACCATCATACACCACACTTCCTTCAGAGTCTCTCAACTCCCAAATCTCTGGGATAATTCCTGACTTGTCCTAACCCGCTCACCCATTTTCTTTCACCACCTGTATGAGCCAGGGCTCTCCAGAGAAACAGAACTAATAGAATTTCCATATTTTTAGGTAGATATAGATATAGATAATCTATTGGTTCTGTTTCTATAGAGACCAAAGAGAGAGAGAGCTAGAGAGAGAGAGAGAGAGATTTATTATCAGAATTGACTCAAGCAATTATGGAGGCTGAGAAGTCCCACATCTATTTTTTATAAGCCAGAGAACCAGAAAAGCCAGTGGTGTAATTCAGTCCAAGTCTGAAGGCCTGAGAAACAGGAGTGCTGATGTCCAATGGGAGCAGAAGATGGATGTCCCAGTTTAGACAGATAGAGCAAATTCACCCTTCCTCTGCCTTTTTCTTCTCGTCAGTCCCTCAGTGGATTGGATGATGGCTACCTACATTGGTAAGGGGATCTTCTTCATCCAGTCTGCTGATTTCAATGCCAGTCTCTTCCAGAAACACCCCCACAGACACATGCAGAAACTACTCTTTATCAGTTATGTGGGCATCCCTTAGCTGGTCACGCTGACATGTAAAATTAACCATCACACCACCCCACCTCCTTTCCTACCAATTCTTCATCATAAAACCCAGAAGAACTAGTCTGCTAACCATAGGATCCTGCTTAGAAAACAAGGGAAGAGGAAAAACTAAACAGCCAAAGCCAGAATCTTCTTTGAGGAGGAGTGAAGGCAGGAGAAGGAGAGACTAAGAGCACTTATGTTTTGCAGCCCTCACAAAGAAATGTCCTACACTTGAAAAAATATCTTAGCATTGAATGTGCTGCTGGGACAATACCAGTCAAGCAGAGTGGGGATTGGCCTGTGCCTCTTGAGAGAGTAGGCATTCATATATATTAACATGGAAACCAATTTCAAGTTAGCCATTTCTTGAGAATTCTTGTTTTGTTTTCTTTTCTTTCTCATGAAACAACCTCTGTTTAGTGAACATGCACCAGTGTATTATCCCTTAGCTTACAACTTCAAAAGGATAAAGTATTAAGTTTGACTGGCCCTTGTTCCAAAGTTTTAAGACCAACTGTGCTCTTGGCCTAACTATTAGAATAAAGCAATGCTGTCTGGTCGTATCTGCAGTGATGGTTTAAGTCTAACACACAGTTAGAGTATGGCACCATAGGTTTACTATTCAACCTGGCTATTCAGCCCCCTCATATATTCATCATGAGTTTAGGACCCACATCCTCCTGTCTTAGAGTGGTGCCTATGTCCAAGAAAAAACTCCAGCATCCAGCTAAGATTTCAAAATAATGCAATCCCTGACAAGTATTTTCAAAAACACTGTGAGAGAGACATATAGCCAATATTATAATTGTTTCTGAAAGTCATTTTATTCTCCTTGTACTTTTTTCACGCCTCCTGACTCTTCCAAGCCAACTTCTTCTCCAAAAACTCTTTAAGGGGCCCCTCTCCCAGACTTAGTTCAATCCCTTTCACTTTCTTCCCAATTAGTCACCAACAAAATCCAGAAAAAAAAAAAGCCCACAAAGGCATAATTTTCTTCAAATGGTGGAGGAGGAGAAGAAACTGAGTGAGCAAAGCCAAAATACTCTTGAGGAGTAGAGGGGTGGGAAAGGCTGGTTAATATATGAAATAACATTCATATATTAAATATTATAAATTTACTCCATCACAAATCCCTGTAGGATTTGTTAGACAAGAGAGCACGTCATCTGTTACATCATTGTGTCCTCTTTCTGTGAGCAGAGGAAAATATATAGGCTTCAGGATCACGAAGAGCTATGCTCCTGATGAACAGCAGATTCATTTTTACGAATACTGGCAGTCCTCCATGGGTTGTGCTTCTGTGTCTGCACAGGTCATTAAGAAGTCTAAAGCCAAATTTACACCATAACTCCAGTAACATGCATATAGAATCTACAGTGTGCAAAACTATGTGCTAATATCACATCTGGATTTGATATTTCCTATGTTTATCTTTCTCATCTACCAATTCCCTCATCTATTTATATTCTATGTAATTTTATAAATGGTTTCAGATTTATTATGGAATGAGGTGGTACGGTGAATGAATGAATGAGTAGAAACACACATATCTTTCCTTCTATTTCCTCCTTTATCAGGTTATATCTGACTTGCCTCCTTAATTTTCCTACTTTAGCTCTACCACACTATATCCCTATTTCTGCTCAGGGTTCCCCTCTTCCTCCCAATGACCCGGGATTTAAAAAGCCAGAAGTCATCTTTGGTTTCTCCTTTGCCTTCTCTCTCAGGAAGTCACTAAATCTGGCCAGTCCTTGCTTCATTTGCTGCTGCCAATTTGCTCCTTCCTGTCTATTCTCAATGCCAGATTCTTGTTGAGGCCCTCATCACCTCATGCCTAGACCATTGCAGTATTTTCCTAACGAACGTCCTTGGCTGTAGACTTTCCCCATTACAAATCATCATATAGATGCTGTATCATTATTCCTAAAGCACCACCAATGCATATAAACTCCTTATTTTTGTCTTTCCTAAATTTAAGCCCAAAATGTAAGTATTTTTTTAAACATTAAGATTCTTTTACATCTAAACTATCTTTGAGGCTTTCCAGATGGTCCCAGGGTAACCAGTAAGATTTATCTCCTAAACTTATGAAAGGAGAGATACGAAAATAATAAGGTATGTTTCGTGAAATTCATACTTCAGTTAGCTTTATCAACTCTGCGAATGACTGAAATAAGTATGTCAATGCCTGATTTGGGGATCCAGAAGCCAAGTCAGCATTTTTCTTTCTTAAGTGAAAACTAGGCCAACCCCTTACTTTGGCTATTTCTAACTATGCTAACCCCTTTTCACAACTTGTACATTAAAGACAATGTTAATTTTAAGGGTACTTATTAAAAACTAGAAACTTATCATGAACCCATCACCTACCTTACTGCTCCTCTTGAGCCCTCATCTAAGGCTTATCGACCATGTTTATCTGATGCAGGAATCCTAGCAATGACAAGCGCATATAAGCCAGTTGATTGTCACCTATAAAATTTTTGTGTTGTCTGCTTCCTACACACTGATTAAATGCTGCTCTGATCTAAATCCAGAGACCCTAACTTCTCTTCCTAGTTTAGATGACTCTCACAATGTCCAACATCTGCTCTAATCATGCCCTGTTCTGTTTTGACTGACCACTTCAACCCTAATGATAACCCTAATATGATACTATTTGGTGGTCACTAATACCTTAAGAATAATCAATGTATACGCTGTGCTGTTTAAACAATATATTCTAAATATTCTATTACCAATAGCTTTTTCTTTTCACGTATCTCTGACATGAGCATGCTACAATTAAGACAGGTCTAAGTTAATGTTTATGATTTTGACATATTAGTTAAAAAAAAAACAAAGGATTTTTCTAACTTCTGTGGGCACCTCAATCAAAAATTTTTAAAGGAAATTGTTTACTTATTGGAAGTAATCTACCATCTAAAGAAAATCTCAATACTTAAGACTAAAGCTTATTCTAAAAGAAAATACACCAGCCAACTACAATTGAACCTTGAATGACATGGTTTGAACTGCATGGGTCCACTTATACATAGTTTCTTCTGCATCTGCCACCCCTGAGACATCAAAACCAACCCTTCTTCTTCCTTTTCTTCATCTGCCTGCTCAACACGAAAATGATGAGGATAAAGACTTTTGTGATGATCTACTTCTGCTTAATAAATAGTAAATGTTTTTTCTTTTGATTTTCTTAATATTTTCTTTAACTTATTGTTAAGAATGTGGTATATAATACATGTACCATACAAATTATGTTTATATTATCGGTGAGTCTTCTGGTCAACAATAGACTATTAGTAGTTAAGTTTTGGGGGAGCCCAAGGTTATATGCAGACTTTCAACTGCACAGAGAGTCAGCCCCCCGCAACCCTACTGTTGTTCAAGGGTCAACTGTATTACACAAAATGTATAGTTGTTAATGGTGTTACTGCCATTAAAATATAGCTGTTCAATGTGATTTCATAATAAATAGACATACTCATATATAACTATTTATATATTTACATTATATAAATATAATGACAATTGCAAAATTTTCTCAAACCATTTGATGTCTTTCCAAGCCCTGTCTCAAGGGCTTATGTTTTATACCTACATGCCAAAAAAAGTGACAAAATCAGGGTGAAATTGGTTCAGACTTTATAAAACTATGGGTGGAAAAAAAATTAGCTGAGAGATTCAATAGGTGATCAAATCTTGCCTTATCTCTAATAATCATAAAACAGAAAAAAAATTGTATTTTTTTTTAAAAACTCACTTTACAGTTAAAATATTTCAAGAAATGTCATTGACATATTATTCCCAAAGCTCTAAAAATATAAAATGAGCTAATGGTATTTTACAATAAAAACTGTCCCCGTTTTCCATTTTAATGAGATCTGTCAAAATCTCTATAAATTCTCACTGTATAAAATTGTTACATATAGCCCCGTGAGATACACTTGACTCTCCCTCTGACAGATATCAGATATCATTTGGAACATTCTGGTATTGTCAGATATGATAAGGAGGATATGTAGTCATAAATCCAACAGATGTGAGCTGCACCTCCAACAGGTACCTTGCTGAATTCACTACATGATATAAATTTAGAAGACCAAATATATTCAAACAGACCCCAGTCATGAAATGCAATGACCTCAATAAAAATCAGCCTTAAAACTACACTGAAAAGGGCCATTTCAGGTACTCTTAACCACAAATACTACTCTGCAGTTCCAGAACACACACTGTAGACACATGCTTCCCAGTAAACATGCTTAGGATCCTCAGTTCATATCTGACAATCTGCACCATGGTACATCTGACCCAAAGGTTCACTGAAAACCCTCTAGAAGCAGACAACTTCTGGAAATCCTCAGCTTCCTTCCCAATCCTCTAGAGATGAAAAAGGTGACATTAGGTGTAGACAGTTTCCTTTCAATATCTTTAGATCAACATCTATGTTTGTGTCAAAGGACTTAGGATTGGACTTAGGTTGTATTGTTTGTCTCTTTGTTCTTTACCTCTCCTCTCGTGTTAATCCTTTTGCTCTCATTTTAACTGCTTCTTTCCTATAAAATTCTCTGAATTAAATTTGTCTTTCTCAAGGAATTTCAGTGACTAGCAATCTTGCTAAGTATTAAATTTGATATATATTCTCAAAACTCACTAAAATATATATTTTAACTTTGACACATCCATATACTTTAATGGGATCATAGGTCCCCATCAATTAACTGCTGTTACTGACATTTCTCAGAGCCCCAAAGGAATCCAAGGACATCAGAAAATAAGGGGATATAAGACTAATTACGCGAACTGTGGTCCAATTATTTTCCCATAAAGCTATGCAGGAATCACTGCATGACTTTTAAAACTCTCCCAGGGATTTTGTCATCCAAAATTAGACCTATTAAGATCAGATTGTTATTAGTACCTATCTCATTAAACTGTACTTCAGTGGAAATTACCTAAGTCTATTCCTCTTGAATAATAACAGAGTTATTGTCCTTACCATGCCAAAATGTGATCTATTCCTTGGACATGGTAATCTAGTTTTCCCAAGTATTCAAAGTCTTTTTTTTTTTCATGTGTTTACATTTTATTGAAAGCTTGACATGGTACCCTATCAAAAGTGGTTCAATATAGTGTATTTCATTGTTTTACATTAGGATTCTTGAATGTATAATGTGGAATCCACAATTTATCTCTGACAATAGAGAAATCAAAAAAGCAACTTACCTTAAAGAAAAAAAAAACCTCCACCTTGAGTTCAAGAGGCCAGTATAAATTTGGTGGCTAAAATTGTCCTAAATAATAAAATTTCCCAAAACTATTTACTGGCCAGTGAAAATGAAGTCTACAATATTTAATGCATTCTATTGTTTCTAAGTAAATACATCAAAAACAATCAATCAATAAAGGGGATAAAAGTCATTTGCTCAATTAAAACTGATCAAACCAATCCTTGAGCACATTCTTCTGATTAGGGCTAAGCTAAGTAAAATTAATTTGCATTTAATTTTCAGTTAGCCTAGGCCTAATCAGTACATCTATTATTCTAATACATCTATTATTATGTATCCATAAAAATTAAAAATAGATAAATAAAAGAGCCTAGAGAAAAAAAATTGATTCCAGTGTTCTTTTGGTATTTGTAGTTATTGTCATACATGTTTGTATTTCTCTGCCTTTTACTGATGACACTGAACAAAAAGAGACTGAGGTCCTCATGGTAAATCCTGCTTCTTTAAGATTTTTTTTTCTTTAAGATTTTTTTTTCTTTTTTGAGACAGGGTCTCGTTTGGTCACCCAGGCTGGAGTGCAATGACATGACTCAAACTCCTGGGCTCAAGCGATCTTCCCAGTTCAGTATCCCAAGTAACTGGAACTACAGGCACCATGCCCAGCTATTTTTTAAAAAAATTTTGTAGAGACAGGGTTGTGCTATGTTGCCCAGGCTGGTCTCAAGCTCCTGGGCTTAAGAAATCCTCCAACCTTGGCCTCCCAAAGGGCTGCGATTACAGGTATGAGCCACCACACCTTGCCAAGATTTTGTTTTGACAGGCTTGTGTGCTTGTTTCTTGTCTCTCTCCCCCATTAGAAATCTAAATCCCTTGAGAAGAGAAACTTTGCCTTGTTTGCCATTGAAACTTCAGTCTGCCTAGATGTATTATAATGGTGCCTGGCAGATAATCGATGTTCAATAAGAATTTGTTGAATAAATAGGTTTCCCTCACTTGCACAGATAAAGGACAACTTAGAAGTAGTCTCAGCAATTGGACAGAACAGCTCAGCTGGCCTCTTGGTGGTGGCCACATGTGTGGCTGTGGCAGTGGCCACGCAGGGCAAGCAGTACCTCACAGTCCGAGGAGACACCTCTGTAGGGTAGACAGAACCAGGATTTCAGAACCCTGGCTTTGTCACTCACTGTTGCTTCAATAACCAAGACTGGGTCTTGGACTCAAGTGTGCATCTCTGGGAATTTCAAGATCTATTTAAGGAGATCAAGATCTATTAAGGAGAGAGGCTCTGGAAGAGATTGTACATATTGCAGTCAAGACTTAGATATGTGCATTAAAGAGACCATAGTTGTATTTACCAGTTTTAGACACTGGCATTAAATTTGTATTTTCCATTTTGAATATGTAAAATCAGCCTTCCTGACTTAATTGTAAATTTCTCAATAGCAGACACTCAGTATGTTTGTGGGGGGTTATTTGGCTGATAATGGAATGAAAACAACCTTTAGAGGTCTAAATCCAGGAAAATGAAGAACAATTAAAAGCAGGTCAAGATCCTCCTATCTTATCCTATGCTGTACTCATGAGGCCCCTGAAAATAATTTTTAAACTATGTGATACGCAGCAGCACGGAGGTTGACTGAATTGATATAATTGAACATCTAATGTGATCTGATGGTGATATCTTCTTGTTTATATTTCAGAATAGCCAAAAATAAGCCACTTTTTTCCTGTTATTCAGAGTAAGTAGCTCAAAAAGAACCTGACCAAGAGTAATGGTTCAAACCTAATTTAGTTACTGACTTATTGTGTGATCCTGAATTCATTATTTAACTTATTTCCAACTGTATCCCTTTATCTGTTAAACAGGGATCATATTTGTCTGTGTCTCTCAGAGTTATTACAAGGGTTAATAAAAATTATGTAATATAGAAAGGTACTTATAATGTAAACTATTCTATATTAAAAGTGTTTGAGATCCCCATCAGACCTCACATGGATTTTAAGCAGTAGTTTGTAGGCCATTTGCTCTTACTGAAAAACCAGACAGTCCTTTATGGTGCAAAGTCAGACAGAAAACAAGGTCGTTGCTTTGCAAAAACGTGTTGAAAGCACAGTCCTCTGCATAAAGTATTCGTGAGGGAAGCCATTATTTCAGCCCAAAAATATTCAGCTACAATTTTCACAGCCTTTCTGAAAGTGGAAGGGAAATTAACATGCCGGATCATTGAAAGTTACATCTGGCTCAAAAGCCAATAGTTCACCTGTTTGCTTTTATTTCAACTCCTACTTCAGAGCAGGCAGCATTATCACTACTGATGCCTACAGATTATATCACTCAGCCTCTTGCTAATGCAGGAAGCACTTCTTACAGACTAGGCTAAAAAGCTGAATAGATTTATCAATAAACATTAGGAAAATTTTGTACATAGGATATATGCACAGAACACAAAACATTTACAAAAACTCCAAAAGGTTTTAAATATTCCCTATCTATTTTTCTTCTTACTTATCTTCACCATCCCACCGGTAATACAATGCAGTTTGATATTTGGATAAACACAAATTTAAGAAAAAGGAACTTTTATTTCCGTGTGAGTGAAGCACAGGGAAGCCATTTAGAATGCTATGTGTCTTTTAATCTAGGGATAAATGTCAGAATCAGAGAACCAGGAGTATCAGGTAGACATTTAACTGGTAGACACTGAAGGGGTTTTCCATTTTGCCTTAAAAGATTCTGCAAAAATGGACATTCTATTATCACTTTAAGTAGTCTGATGTTTGATTACCATTGAGATATATAACACTGCTGTATATTTATATATAAATGTGTAAAACCAATCCAGCACCTTTATAAGAATGAATGAAGAAAGATACCTCCTCCAGGTGGGTACATGATTTTACAAGCAGACGATGCCTTAGTATGAGAAGAAAGTGCTCCCCTTCCTGAGGAATCCAGCCTGAGCCAAAGCCGTTTTGCAAGGCCCCGTTGGCCTTCCGGGCTGCAACCCCTTGTGCAGTGCACAAACTCCACAACTGTACGGGATAATTCTTCAGTACTCCAGGTATTCATTGTCACAGCATGGCTTTCCAACAACAGTATCTCACATTTGCACGGTGCTTGAGAGTTTACAAATTATCTCATTTAATTGTTTCAAGAATCTTTTACAGAGATATTATCTGTTTCATAGATAAGGAAGCCTAGAGAGGTTAAAGTGCATGGTTGGACGGTGGCAAGGCCAGGCATTAGAAAACAAGTCTTCTTTTCACATCCAGTCCTTGTTCCACAACAGTTTTGGTGTTTAAATACACCAGCACATTTCGCCATTTTACAGACATCTGTTTCTCCCCACTTACATCTTTGTAGGACCCTCAGCTTCATGTTTCTTTAGAGCATGGAGCTTCAAAATCCAGACACCAACGTTGAGATCAACAATAAGTCAACACAAACCAAGAAGTGCAGCCCTGATGTTGAGCTTGTCCCACAGCTTGCCCGTGTTTCCTTCTCTTGAGGATGTGACATTGCTATTTAACACAATTTGACAACATTCATCAGAATATTAATGCCATACTTCTCTCCGGCTTTCCTCATTTTGTATCTATAGCATTTCATTTTAGATCCTAAATGCACACTTAAACTTAATCATTTATCATCTTCATTTTTAATTCCTTTTCTGACACTCCATTAACAACCCCCTCTTCATCCTGCTTGATTTAACAGCATCTACAAATTTAACAAACATAAGCTCAATACTTGATTTCAAGTCATATGGATGTCTTTCTCTTGTATCTTCCCGTCGTGATAGAATCCCTGGTCAGGGTGTTAAATTATATAAGACTATGACTCTAAATGTATTAGAGCAGGGGTCAGCAAATTTTTTCTGTAAAGTGCCAGAGAATAAATATTTTTGGTTTTGTGGGCTGTATGGTCTCTTTTGCAACTATTCAACTCTACCATTGTAGCACAGAAGCAGCCACAGAGAATCCATAAGCAAAAAGTCATGGCTGTGTTCCAATACAGCTTGAATTAGGGGCACTAAAATTTGAACTTCGTATCATTTTACAAGTAAAAAAAATTATTTCCTTTTGATTTTTTTCAACCTTCCAAACATCTAACAACTATTCTTAGTTCACAGACTATACAAACACAGGCTAGGACTTGGCTAGATTTGCTAACCCTGATGTAGAGCTCAATACCTATATTAACACATTGCAAGCAAGAGACAGCTATCACTTTCATCCTCCCCTCCCAGTTTACCAGGCAATAGAAACGCTAGTATCAAATCCAAAAACCCAGAGGTGGAAAGGAATAAAAATGCGTTTAATGAAAAAGATTTCATATTCTATCTAGAAACAACCATTCTCTTCAAGTTTGATTACAGATTGCTGTAGCTATGTATACTCATTTATTCATATGAGGTTTCAGTTACTCATACTTCTTTTGTCACTTCATGAAGTGCTCACAAAAAAAATGAAGAGATTTTTCACTCCACGGTGATAATAAATAGCTCCGGGCAGTGAGCGCTGGCCACTCTTTATGTTGCCCTTGGCGCCAGTCTAATGGGCCACCTGGGCTTCTGCTTCCTGTCTTGGGTGGCTTTAACCCAGGGTGGCAGTCCAGGTCTGTGGTACTCGGTTTCTAGGTTGGTTACGTGCTTCTGTGAGTTGACTAAATGATTTTCATTCAAGACATTCTGTTCTGGACAAATCGTTTTTCAAGAGGAATTTCTAGCTGATGGAATGAACTGAGGAGAAAGAGCTGATAGCGAAATAAAGAAATTGCCTGTGGCAGAAATTTTAAAGTGGCCTCCCAGACTGTGGGCCTCCTTAGGACTTAAGACCTGAAAACATTGTACATTAGAAGACGAAAAATCTGGATCCTGTGGATTTAGCTATTTTGGGTTTAGCTGTGAGGTCTGGATCCTAGACTGTGGTGTGAACCTTCCTGGTTTTCACAGGACTGACTTTTGTGGCCCTGAATTCTTTGCCTCATCCTGTCCTCAGGTGTCTCTGCTCCTAACCTCTTCCTCCAGTTCTGCCTAATGTGAGGAATTCTGGGTTTCTGCCCCAACACTTGCCTCTACCTGCATTGCTGAGGCCATCCTCTTGAATTAGTGAGTTTCCATCCTGGCTGTTCTGGTCCTTTCAAAGGGCAAAGTTGGGTTTTTGGAGAGGAAAAGACTGCAAGTTAAACCCAGAAGGTACCATATTCTGTATCAAATCAGTAACACATATATACATATAGGTTTTCATTATGTACAATTACAACTATATATGTGTTTGGGTGTGTGTGTGTGTGTGTGTGTGCGTGTGCGTGTATATATATTTAATTCTGTCAATGTGTCCTGAAACATAACTCTCACACAATGCAGGCAGGCATTCAAATCAGAACACTGGATAACCTTTTAGGATACAACTTGACAACATACATCAAAAGCCTTAAAATTGTTTGTATTCTTCAATTGCATAGCCCATTTTTTGGAATACATCCTAGGACAAGAATCTTTAATATAGAAAAAAATCCTGCAGCACAGAAATATTCATCATAGCATAATTATGATAGAAAAAGGATAATCTAGGCTGGGTGCAGTGACTCACACCTGTAATCCTAGCACTTTGGGAGGCTGAGGCAGGCAGATCACTTGAGGTCAGGAGTTCGAGACCAGCATGGCCAACATGGCGAAACCCCATCTCTACTAAAAATAAAAAATAAATAAAAAATTAGCCAGGAGTAAGTGTGTGCCTGTAATCCCAGCTACTTGGGAGGCCAAGGCAGGAGAATCGCTTGAACCCAGGAGGAGGAGGTTGCAGTGTATCCAACCATGGGAAAAAGACTTAGCTACATTGTATATATTTGATGAGTAACGTGTTTATAATACAACAAAAAGTGAAAAAAGCTGGATACAAGATTGTGTGCTGTATGATTTCCACCATTTAAAAAGATATTTGCATAGAAACAATTGGAAGAACATATTCCAATTACTTTCCTGTTTATAGTTACTTTCCTGTTTATACTTTTAAGCACTTGATATGTAATACTAGGTACACTGGTATAATCAGGGGGCAACATATGGCAAGATTAATAATATATTGCTCAGAGAAAGCATCTGAATATAAAGTTGCATATATAATATGAGTGCAAGGATTAAAAAAAAACTCTACAGGGGCATCAAACATAAATACCTACAGGAGCCAAACAATGAGACATTGGCAAATTGGCAAGCATGTTCCCCTCTGAGAGTAGCCACCTTTCCTCAACTCCAGCCATTTAGGAATGCAGGTTCAATTTTTCAAGAAAAACCCTGTATCTAAATTTAATGTGACACCTCTTAATTTTTACATGTTAAGATTTAATTTAAATTAAAAATATATTGCCTAGGCCAAATAAAACACATCAGACTTTTTTTTTCTCCCAAAGGCTGTTTGTTTATACCTTCTGCTCTATATTTGAATAAAGATATGCATGCATTAATAGTTATAAGACAGAATCAGATCAAAATGGAGACAGCCATTATGGCTGGATAATGGGATTCTGGTGTTTTCTATTTTTTTTTTTTTAATGTTTCAGTATATTCTAAGTTTTCTTTAATATGCATGGATACTTTCATAATGGAAACTTTAAAGCATTGCTTTTCACCAAAGTACAATTTCTTTTTTAAAAAATATCTTGCCCAAAACCTGGTGCTTCTTTTTCTTGTTTCTCCCTACATATGGTTGTCATTAAATTAAATATTTAATTGTTCTTTTATAAATAATTTCAACTTTTATTTGAGATTCAGGAGGTACATGTTCAGGTTTGTTACCTAGGTATATTGTGTGATGCTGAGGTTCAGGGTATGATTAATCCCCTCACCCAGGTATTGAGCATAGTACCCAAAAGTTAGTTTTTCAACCCTTTCCCTTTTCCTCCCTTCAATTATTCTTAAAAGTTGATGTTAAACAGATATTACTGACAGAGTCATAGAGATACAAGACTCGCAGACACCAGCATAAAACATGAGAACCACGTCAAGTGGACAGTAAAGCAGGGTGTTATTTATTTATTTATTTATTTTGAGACAGAGTCTCACTCTGTCACCAGGCTGGAGAGCAGTGGTGCGAACAGGGTGTTATTTTATTGTAGCTGCCTACTCACTCTCTCTGCCCCCAGCCTCTTTCCCTCTTCCTACCAAAACCCAATCAGAAGAAGGAATCATTTGAACCTACTTTATAACAAGGGCTCAGTCAAGACAGGGAGAGAAGTAGGTCGAGTTATAGAATTTATGGTAACACAGGAAAAGTTGATGTCTTGGAAAAAGCGAAAGATTTTACATTCTAACTGGAATTATTTTAATAATTCTACTTTGAAAGCTGAGCTGTTTTTCCAGACATTCAAAAGAAAAAAGCAACAAGAGAACATCTGCAATTCTACTCAAGATAGAGCTAAGAATGTTAGAGAAAAGATACAAAGGAAGTTAGATGTACTCTTCTACAAGTTCAAGTGTCACTAGGGGCATTTTAATTTCTCTTCATATTTTCTTTATAAGTTCAAAGGGATGAAGAGTTTAAGTTTCATTTTGTGCTAAGAGGTGGCATGGCCACTGCATGGCGGGAGTCATTTTTTATTCATTCATTTGCTTCTCCTTGAGAACATACCCTATTTTCAGGCCTGACTCAGAGCCCCTGAGGAGCTTCCACTGGGGCATAAAAAGCAGGGTTTGGGGAGGTGGGCTTGCTGGGAGTCCTAGGGCACTGTGGTGGGCAGGAGGTAGTGGGGAGAAGCCACTGGGGAAGGTGTTTGTATAACTTTGAATTTCTGCCAGGATTCTGGTGGTTCCTGGATTTTTTCCTGGAAGTTTATACGGTTTGTCTCAAGTAAATGTTTAACAACCAATTCTCCGGGAAAGGAGAACACTGATTTGTAGCATTTGCTGATTTTTTTGGTGTCAGTACTCCCATGGTAGCTGATTTTAAGCTACTAGCCTGATCTCACTGAATACAGAGCCAGGAAGAGATCCAGAGCCATTCCAGCACTCCACTCGTTTATGTGTTCTGATCCGCAATGGTCAGGCTGACTTAAGGGTCTGTTGCTTTCCAGATTTACTCAGCCCTGTTAGGAAGTTCCCACTATGAAGAAGTCCAGCTCTCTTCTCTACTGCGGCTTTAACTACCTTTGTTTAGACAAACAGCACAGTCTTACTCTGTGATCTTTTAAAACTTGGATTGTTTAACCATTTTATCTCAAGTTATTTACACTGTTATAGTTATTTCCGTATATTTTAGCTTTTCCTTTTATTGGTTTTCTTTCTTTCCTTTTTTTTTTTTTTTTTTTTTTTTTTGAGACAGAGTCTTGCTCTGTCACCCAGGCTGGAATACAGTGGTGCAATCACAGTTCACTGCAACCTCTGCCTTCTGGGCTCAAGCAATCCTCCCACCTCAGCCCTCCAGAGTAGATGGGACCACAGGCACATGCTACCATGCCCAGCTAAGTTTTTCCATTTTTTGTAGAGATGAGGTTTCACCATGTTGCCCAGGCTGGTCTCAAACTCCTGAGCTCAGGTGATCAATCCTCCCACCTTAGCCTCCCCAAGTGCTGGGATTACAGGTTAGAGGCGCAGAGCCTGGCCTGATTTTATTTCTTTACTGTTGTTTATTTCAGATAGAGAACACTGGATTTGAAATGATTTCTTCTCTGAAAAAGTAGACAGCTTCATAATAAGAAGGCCTCTTTATTCATCTAAAACAGTTGTGAGGGGCAAAAATAACAATACATTTTACTGTTTACTTTTTATTACAAAAGTTAAACATGTGTGGCATTTTAGAAAATATGATTTTAAAAGAAGAAAAAAGCATAAGCAAAATGAAATAAATAAAAATTACCCATAATTCTAACAACCAGATATAACAACTGTACATAATCAACATATATCCTTCTAAATATGTATATATATATAATATACACTTTTTTATTCACAAAATGAATTTATACTGTGCATTCCTCTTGATAACCCTCTCTGTGTCAAGGAAAAACACATTTTTACTGTATCACTCTTAATGATGCAGTGTGAGTCCATTACACCTTAATTTATTTAATAAATTGCCTATAGTTGGACATCTAGATTGTTTCCTATATTTTGTATCCTTATATATGTACTGTTATATATTTGCATGAATATTCCTTCAGGCTAAATTTCTGAAAGTGTAACTTCTTGGTCAAAGAATCCTCCAGATATGTTTAGACTTTTGATAGGGTTGCCAAACTGAAGCTAAAGAGTAGAGTGCTTATTAGGTGAAGTGTAGTGGTCTGTCCTGGAAGGAGATTAACTGCAGTGACAAAAATGCGATTATAGAGAGTGGAAACCATGAACTACCTTGCATTTATAATTATGGCTGAAGGAGGGAGGGAAGGAGACAGCACCTTTTCCTAGACACAGTATTCCTTGTAAGGTGGAAGCATGCTAAAGTGGGAACCTGGGAAGGTGCTGTATTGGGAGCTGCTGTCAGACATCTTGGAAGTTTGAGCTTTGGGTCCAAGCTTAGCTGCCTCCTGGGAGGTAAGTGATATTAGCTCTGCTGTTCAGGTTAGGAATGTATAACTGTAGTAGTCAGCTCCTGCTACAATTCTACTGGGTTTAAGACAACCCCCAGGTCTTGGTGGCTCAGAATAACAAATAATTATTTCTTACTCAAGGTCTGCAGGCCAGCAGCAGTGTCTCCTCTTTATGCTGAATATTGGATTCAAGATCTAGGTCTGTCCTGCGTATCTTCTTCCAGGACTCACAATAAAGGACCACCAGCTACTGGAGCATGAGTTCCCAATAGGGTAGACAAGGGAAGACCCTGAAGAGCGCTCAAAACTGTCAACATGTCTTCTCTGTCTAGTTTCCACTGGCCAAAGTGAGATGCATGGCCAAGCCCAGTGTCAGAAGGATAAGGAAGTAGTCTCTACTATGAAGGAAAGGGGAGTAGAGAGAGGGAGTTTTTGCTGAACAATATTCAACCAACCATAGCAATGCTGCAAGATATTGCACATTTAATGAAGGTGTTGCATGAGCCAGTTTCTCCTGAAAGTGCTCTAAGCTGAGAAAGAAAATGGTTTACAACAAAGGGATGGAAAGCAATGAAATGACCAGCTTGCCATGTAATTCCCAAAGAGGAAGTCCCTCACACAGTATCTAAGTGCCTCTGACCACAAGGAAAGTGGGTTCAAACTTCCCTGAAAGCAAGGTGGATCCTGGTTTTGAGGGGCTTTTATATACTTGATTTGGGGTGCATTCTTAAAGAAAAGTAATGCAAAATTACAAATATAAGTTAGATTAAGATTAGGAAGATAGGGCCGGGCGCAGTGGCTCACGCCTGTAATCCCAGCACTTTGGGAGGCCAAGGTGGGTGGATCACAAGGTCAGGAGATTGAGACCATCCTGGCTAACACGGTAAAACCCTGTCTCTATTAAAAATACAAAAAAATTAGCTGGGCGTGGTGGCGGGTGTCTGTAGTCCCAGCTACTCAGGAGGTTGAGGCAAGGGAATGGTGTGAACCTGGGAGGTAGAGCTTGCAGTGAGCAGAGATCACGCCACTGCACTCCAGCTTGGGTGACAGAGCGAGACTCCATCTCTAAAGAATAATAACAATAAATAAATAAATAAAGGAAGATAAACCATAAGTTACACATTTTGAAAAAACTGATAATTACTAAAAATATATCGAAACTCAGAAAAACAAGATATCTTAACTATCTGACACCTCCATGTTTTCTACATTTGGGAACTGTAAATATTTTGATAATCTCTTCACTTAACAACAATTTTGCAATTTCATTTTCTATAGAGAGAAAAGATAGATTTAGTCATTCCTGCATCATGGCAGCTTCTGACTCCGGGTATTTCAAACTTGTTCTTTCTCCACAACCCTCACACTTCTAACATCAGGCATCCTGGACCTTGTTCATAGTATGATACTCCCTCTGGCCCTAGACCTTCTCATTGGGTTAGTTAACACGTTGGTCAGAGAGAATATTTCTGGAAGCAACCCAAGTGTCCATCAACTGATGAATGGAGAAATGAAATGGAATATTATTCAACCATAAAAAGGAATAAAGTATTGACTCATGGTATAACATAAATGAATCTTGCAAATGTGCTAACAGAAAGAAGCCAGACACAGAAGGTCTTGCTCTGTCACGCAGGCTGGAGTGCAACGGCACAATCTGGGTTCACTACAACATCCACCTCCTGGGTTCAAGCAATTCTCATGCTTCAGCCTCCCGAGTAGCTGGGATTACAGACGTGCACCACCCACACCTGGCTAATTTTGGCATTTTTAGTGGAGACGGGGTTTCACCATGTTGCCCAAGCTGGTCTCGAACTCCTGGCCTTGTGTGATCTGCCTGTCTCAGCCTCCCAAAGTGCTGGGATTACAGGCATGAGCCACTACACCTGGCTGGTTCTATTTATATGAAAAGTCCAGGATAGGCACATCCATAGAGACAAAAAAATAGGAGTAGATTAAAATGGAGAAGCTGGCAGTGGGGGAAGGAAGAATGGGCAGTGACTACTAATGGAATTCTTTGTAGGGGGTAATGACAATGTTCTAGAATTAGTTGTGATAGTTGCACAATCTTGTGAATATACTAAAACCACTGGACTGTATACTTTAAAGGTCAATTTTATGGTATGTGAGTTATCTCTCAATTTTTTTAAAAAGTGAGAGGCATTCTTGGAAGCATTTCCTACATTCAAATAGCTAGAAATAGCTATACCCAGAAGTGCCGGAAAACTATGTAAATATTATAAAGATGGAAAAAAAATGAAGTGTGTTTCCTACTTTCACATACCACTCAATATAATACTTCTAAAACCAGATTCCACACACCAATCAGTTCTCCAGCAGACAGCAGCGGGGTGTCCTCTCTCAGTTCCACTCTGATGCTATCTACCTAGAGAGAGTATCAGATCCCACATGCCAAGCGCTAAGTTCCACAAGGCTTCCCCTCACCTCAGATGCCAGCTGCAAGCCCCCAGTTGTTTTACCTGTGCTTCTGACCGACCAGCCGTAAATCAGGGGTTCCCAAGACCCCTTCTTCAGGTTCAACTGATTTGCTAGAGCAGCTCACAGAACTCAGGAAGCACTTACACTTACTTGTTTATTATAAAGAATGTTACAAAGCATACAGATGAAAGAAACATGGAAGAGATGTATAGGTCGAGGTATAGGAGAAGGGGCTATCTACAGGCCCCCGACCTTCAGTCATCTCATTCACTTACAAAAGACACTCTTTTCACTCCAGAGATTCCAATGGTGTTAGGAGCTGTGTGCCAGGAACCAGGAGCTGAAAGCAAATATATACAGTCATGTGCTGCATAACAACATATCAGTCTAGGAAGGACTGCATTCGCAACAGTGGTTCCATAAGATTATAATGAAGCTAGCTGGGTGCAGTGTCTCACGCCTGTAATCCCAGCACTTTGGGAGGCTGAGGCAGGCAGATCAATTGAGGTCAGGAGTTTGAGACCAGCCTGACCAACCATGGCCAACATGGTGAATCCCCATCTCTACTAAAAATACAAAAATTAGTTAGGCTTGGTGGCACATGCTTGCAATTCCAGCTACTTGGGAGGCTGAGGCAGGAGAATTGCTTGAACCCAGGAGGTGGAGTTTGCAGTGAGCCCAGATCATACCACTGCACTCCAGCTTGGGCAGCAGAGCAAGACTCTCAGAAAAAAAAAAAAAAAAAAAAAAAAAAAGATTGTAATGAAGCTGGAAAATTCCTATTGACGTCATAGCCATCATAATGTCATAGAGCAATGCATTACTCACATGGGTGTGGTGATCCTGGTGTAAACTAACCTACTGCATTGCCAGTCATGCGAAAGTATAGCACATGCCATCACGTATAGTACGTAATACTTGATAATGATAATAATTTTCATTTTTATTTTCTGTACTTGCTGTACTGTACAGATATTATTTTCTGTACTTGCTGTACTGTACTCTTTATCATAACTTTACAGTGTACTCCTTCTATTTGTTTAAAAACAAGTTAACTGTAAAACAAGCAGGTCCTTCCAAGGTATTCCAGAGAAAGTATTATTACCAGAGGAAATGACAATTTCAAGCATGTATTGACCCTAAAGATTTTCCAGTTGGACAAGATGTGGAGGCAAAAAACAGTGGTTTTGATGCTCCTGACCATTCGTAGGCCTAGGCTAACATGTGTTGATGTCTTAGTTTTTAACAAAAAAGTTTAAAAAGTTAAAAAAAAGTACAAAAAAAGCACATAGAATAAGGACATAAAGAAAGAAAATATTTTCATACAACTATACAATGTGTCTTTTAAGCTAAGTGTTATTACAAAGGCTCATAAAGTTTTAAAAATTAAAAGAATTATAATGTGGAAAAGTTACAGTAAGCAAAGGTTAATTTATTGTTGAAGAAAGAAAAGTATTATTTTATTAATTTAGTGTAGCCTATGTGTACAGTGTTTAGAAAGTCTACAGTGGTGTACAGTAATGCCCTAGGCCTTCACACTCACTCACCACTCACTCACTGACTCACCCAGAGCAACTTCTAGTCCTGCAAGCCCCATTCATGGTAAGTGCCCTATCAAGATGTATCATTTTTTATCTGTTATACCACATTTTTTACTGTACCTTTTCTGTTTGGATATGTTTACATACACAAATACTTACCATTATGTTACAGTCACCTGGAGTATTCAATATGGTAACATGCTGTACAGGTTTGTAGCCTAGGAGCAATAGACTATACCATCTAGGTTTGTAAAGTACACCACTGTATAATGTTCATACAATGAAGAAATTGCCTACTGATGCATTTCTGAGAACATCATATCCTCATTAATCAATTCATGACTGTATTTTTTATTATATCATAAATATACTAAACCCAAACTGAATATATCCTTAATTTAAAATCCCTTTAGCCACATCCCAAAATTCCCTGGGCCACTAAATGCCACATGATATGGATGGATGCTGATGGAGGGGAAGTCAGTATAGAAAGGGATCCTGGTTTTACTTTTACAAATTTTACAAAAACATATGACAAGGTGAATACATTGTTTAAGCACCATAATTAATCTCTTCATGCCCAATTACCCACACTTGTGTAGACCATACACATTTAAAAATGACTAAGTGGTCCTGAATCTTTTTATACAGCTTCTTGAAGGGAAACAAAGCAATGATTTCTTAAATCATTAATCCCTATTTACAATGAACCTGAATAGATTGACAAATTTATCCAAAAGAAAAAGAAAGAAAAGAAAAGAAAGAAAGAAAGAAAGAAAGAAAGAAAGAAAGAAAGAAAGAAAGAAAGAGCTGCGCGTGGTGGCTCACGCCTGTAATCCCAGTACTTTGGGAGGCTGAGGCGGGAGGATCACCTGAGGTCAGTTCGAGACCAGCCTGACCAACATGGAGAAACCCCATCTCTACTAAAAATACAAAATTAGCCAGGCGTGGTGGCACACGCCTATAGTCCCAGCTACTCAGGAGGCTGGGGCAGGAGAATTGCTTGAACCTGGAGTGGGTAGAGGTTGTGGTGAGCCAAGATCGTGCCATTGCACTCCAGCCTGGGCAACAAGAGTAAAACTCCATCAAAAAAAAAAAAGAAGAAAGAAAGGAAGGAAGAAAGAAAAAGAGAGAGAGAGAAAGGAAGAAAGGAAGAAGGAAGGAAGGAAGGAAGGAAGGAGAAAGAAAGGAAAGAAAGAGAGAAAGGAAAGAAAGAAAGAAAGAGAAAGAAAGAAGAAAAGAAGAGAAAGAAGGAAAGAAAAGAAAAGAGGGGAAAAAAAGAGTTTTTAATTGTACAGGACTAACCCTTTTTTCCCCTCTCTAGAGATTCTCTCATTGGAATCTCTCTCAACAGAGCCTGCCCCTCCCCAAAGGATCAAAGCCCACATTCCATTTCACCACCAAGGCCCAAGGAGAATCCCGGAGCCCTCCAAATTCTCTCTGCACTGATGACAGCCCCTCAGGCTGGGGCTTGCCCTGGAGGACTGCCCTCTGCCCAGCTGTGGCCTTAATCGTGCCATGTACCTGGCTACCTCCTTCTCAAGCGTTTCTCCTCCTCACTTGGATTGAGCTCAGGTGCCCTTCAATCCTCTAGCTGCCTGGAACCAAACTGCTTCGCAGCCTAGAGGAGCAGCCCTGCCAAACCCAGGAGCCTGAAATGTAGTCATTTGTGGGATTATATAATTCCAAATTCCAAAATGCAACTAGAGATACTTTTTTGACATTGAGTGTGTTTTATTGACCCATTTCCCAATGACCAAAACTATACTCATTTGGATGTAAACTTCTTACTTCCCACTCAGGCATTAACAAGAAATCAGCTTTAAGAAAATAAATTGTCCTTCCTTCCAAACTTTGCACACCCTCTTTTTATGTTGCTTACAGCAAAGATGGTGAATAAACACTAATCCCAATGGCCATCAGAGGGTTGGTTTCTGAGATATCTGGCTGGTCTAGCCAGAACTGAGACTTTTGTTTCAAAATGGTAGACCATGTACAAGCTGTAGTTTCCTCCAAATTTCTAGAAATAGTTGTGCTTAAAAACTAGATTAAGAATTTGGCTACCAATAATTTAAGGAATAAAAGTTAAAGAGGTTGCTTTTGTTTGTTTTGTTGTTGTTGTTTGTTGTTGTTTGAGACAGAGTCTCACTCTGTCGCCCAGGCTGGAGTGCAGTGGTATGATCTCAGTTCACTGCAACCTCCACCTCCCAGGTTCAAGTGATTCTCCTGCCTCAGCCTCCCAGGTAGCTGGGACTACAGGCATGTGTCACCATGCCCAGGTAATTTTTGTATTTTCAGTAGAGACGGGGTTTCACCATGTTGGCCAGGCTGGTCTTGGACTCCTGACCTCAACTGATCTGCCCGGATTACAGGCTTAAGCCACAGCGCCCAGCCTTTTTTTTTCTTTCTTTCTCTTTCCTTCCTTCCTTCCTTCCTTCCTTCCTTCCTTCCTTCCTTTCTTTCTCTCTCTCTCTTTTTCTTTTTTTTTTTTTGACAGAGTCTTGGTCTGTCACCCAGGCTGGAGTGCAGTAGTGCTGTTACAGCTCACTGCAGCCTCAACCTCCCTGGGCTCAGATGATCCTCCCACCTCAGCCTCCCAAGTAGCTGGGACCACAAGCGAGTGCTACCAATGCCCAGCTAATTTTTTGTAGCGATGGGGTTTTACCATGTTGCCCAGGCTGGTCTCAAACTCCTGGCTCAAGTGACAGCCTGCCTTAGCCTCCCAAAGTGTTGGGATTACAGGCGTAAGCCACTGCACCCAAGAAGGTTGGCCTGGAAAGGAAATCTATAGTCCAAACTTATAGAAGATCAATAAGAAAGGTAGGCTATGCCTGGAGGCTGTATACACTTGGAGCAGAAAGGGGTCTGAGGCAACAGACAGGGTGTAGATGTGAAAGCAGCAGCCACCAGGCAGCAATGATGGGGAGTCTGCCTCCAGGCCACACTAGATCAGAGACAGGGTAACAGGTGGCCAGTGACCTTAGGAAGGAGTGGGGAGTACCAACACCCAACAGAGCAACCACTAAATGGCCTTGCCAGGTGACACATCCTGTCCTTCCTCTTCCTGAAAGCAAGTCAGAATGCAAATCACAAGGGCAATTCTTGTCTCTCCCAAAAAGACCATGCAAACAGATGGGAAGAGTCTAACAGGAAATCTCAACCACAAAGATGAGCCCATAATCAAGAAACATGAAGTATTAGAGAAAATCAACCTCCATGAATGGAGACAATGAACTAAAGCCATGGAAGAACTCATGGATAATAATACAAAGTTAGTGGAGCAATCAGAACAGCACTTCAAGGCTGAATCCTGGTTTCCTCATTCTCAGGCCGCCATTCTTTTCCCTTTTCCACACTGCATCCTTCCCTAAGTCGGGCACTCCCTATATAGTAGAAGGACTTTAAAGACATTTCTTTATTTTCCCAAATAAAATCTATTTGGGAAAAAGAACTTAACTTAGAGTAAGACCCATACAAATAGATATCTATTTCATTTCTTCATTTCCTGATTTGAAAAAGGACCTTATTATCCATCCTAAAATTTCTGTATCCCATTCTATTCACAGGTCAATTTCCCCTCATCTCTCTAGAACCACTGCAACTGCTTTCTAACTCTTCTTGCTGTCTCCAGGCTCCGCTCCTCTCACCCACCCATCTATTCTTCACCCTTTAGCCAGAGAGATCTTTCTAAAATGCAAAGATCACTCCAGCTGCTCCAAAACTTTAAACATCCTCCTGCAGCTCTGTGAATAGAGTCACATTCCTTAAAATGACCTACAAGACCCTGTAGCATCTGGCTCCTGCCTTTTTGTCTAGTCTTATCTCTTGATGCTTCAACAACCACCCCACCCCCTCCCCTTTGTTCAATAACCCACCCATAGCAAACTCTTCCATTTGTTCCTCTCCAAGCTGTTTTCTCTGCTTTGAATGGATCTCCCCCCACTTTTCACGAAGCCAACAGGTTTCAGCTGTGCTTCCAGAGTTGGGGAAGCCTCTTCTGTACTCCCATGGCACTAAGTATCTCACCCTGCATTTATCTCTCAGACAATAGGATTTAACAATGGGTTTTCTTGTCTGCATCTCCACCAGTGTATAGGCCCCAGAAGGCAGAGACTTCTTTGTTCTCTGCCTTATCCACCCGTAAAGCAAGGGATGCACACCATGATGACCTTTGGAATTGATGAGCTATCTGATGCCTTTATCGATACTTTTGTGGCACATTGAGCAAATTTAGAGCCCAGTAGAAACATGGTCATTTCCCTCTTCTCCCACAGAATGGATTTGCAGGCTATTCTCAGACCTACCTCGATTTGTAGATTCATCTATTCACTCAATAAATTCACTCAATAAATACTATGGAGGGCCAGGAATACTCCATATTCTGGGTGCAGCAATAAACAGAATGGAGGCAAATCCTCACCCTTGTGGAGTTCATTTTATAGGAAATTACTTGGCCAGCAGCCTCCTCTTTCCCACCCATCCTAAGACCAACTTGCCATTCTGCTGGGATCCTCCCCAGCTCTGATGAGTCCTGCTGGTATAGAGCATCAGGTTTCATAGCCACACTCATAGCTTCTTTTCTTTCATTAAAAATAACTTTTTATTATGGAAGAGTTCAAGCAAATACCAAAGTAGAGATAATAGGATAATGAGCCCCCATATATCTAACACATCAACACATCGCTGAGGTTGTCTCATTTATAGCTCTCACACTCTTTTCCATTGCCCACCAGATTACTTTAAAGCAAAACCAGACATCTAAGTCGTTTCATCCATAAATCCCTTCTGGAGGAAGAGGGCTTTCATATGGACTTGGAGAATGGAAAGGTCATAGATAGGGTGGGAAGAAGGCAGAGTGGCATCCTAACAGGGAATGAAAGCACAAGAAGTTTGGACAGGAAATGAAAATTATATATACAGAGTCAGGAAGAAACCCTCCTGAATGGAGAGAAATTTGGACAGATCAGTTGGAAGTGATTAAGAAAAGTTTCAACCCGCCAGCTCCGGAGCAGCCCGCGAGCTCACGCCAGGCCTCTCTCTAGCCTCAGCCTGCGATCTTACTAGGCACAGCTCTCTGGCCCTCGAGGCCTTCTGCACCCAGCTGTGACCCCCGCCCGGCCGTGGCTATCCAGTCAGTTCGCTGCTATTCCCATGGGTCACATGAGACAGATGAGGAATTTGATGCTCTCCGGGTAACATACTTCTACAAGCCAGATATAGATGCTTGGGAATTGTGTAAAGGGGTGAACACACTTGTTGGCTATGATCTGGTTCCAGAGCCCAAATCACTGATGCTGCTTTGTGGGCATTCAGACAGTTATATGATTTTGCTAGTGCAGTTGGCATCCTAGAGGCTGTTAAGGACAAAGCAGGACCTCATAGGGAAATCTGCCCCTATGTCATCCAGGAACTCAGACCAACTTTAAATGAACTGGGAATCTCCACTCCGGAGGAACTGGGCCTTGACAAAGTGTAAACCCCATGGATGAGCTTCCCAAGGATTTATTGATATTGCTACTTAAGTGTAAACAGTCACCTGGAAATACTGATGATAATATATTACCTTATTTGAACAAGTTTTCCTTTACTGAGTACCAAACCATGTAATGATAACTTGGACTTTAATAAAAGGGAAATGAGTTCGAACTGAAAAAACAAACAAACAAACAAACAAAAAAGAAAAGTTTCAAATGCCAGCCTGAGGATATAGGTTCCTGCAGAGGAGGTTTAGTTAGGTATTCACAGGTTTTAAGTGTATCAAGGCAAGTTAAGCAGTGTTCAAGTGAGAATCATCTAGGCTGAACATGGGCCCAGGAGACCCAAGAAGAAAAATGTATAGAGGGCAGAAGCATGAAGGGGCCCATTATTATAATTCACATGACAAGGGCCCAGACCACCGTGGTACTGGCAAAAATGGAGGGAGGAATGGGCTAGGATGTGGTTTAAAGGTTGAAGGGATAGAATTCATTGCCTAGCTCAAAAGAGCGGTTAAGGAAAGAATAAGAGATGACTACACGGCTCCAAGTCTGGAGAACGGAAGTCATCTACAAAGTCAAAGAAAAGGGAGGGGAATCTTTTCGGGAGATAAGTTTTATTAGGTTGATGCAAATTAATTAAAGAAATTGCCATTTCTTTCAATGGCAGAAACCGCAATTGCTTTTGCACCAACCTAATACTTTGGATTTAATAATGGGATATATGAGTATAAATATTTCACAGTCCATGGAAGGTATAGAATTGGCACTGGAGTAAAGTGGTATAGGTTTAAATTTATCCACTTAAAATTGATAGTTGAGGTCAGGTATCTCTATTGGTTTAATGTATGGAAAATGGAAAGGAAAAAAGAGAGGAAGGAAGATTGAGGAGAGGAAGGAAAAGGTAGAGGAGGACAGGCATGGGGAGGGGAAAGGAAAAGAGAGAAAAGGCAAGCAGAGGAGAGAGCAGGAGAGGAAGAGAAAGGGGAGGAGAGAGAAAAAGGGGCAAGTCAGGATGAAGAAGAATCATGGCTAAGACAGAAAAGGAGGTAAGAGTACCAAGATAGTCAAATAATCTCAAAAGCCAAAGAAGGGTGCCTTTCTAAAAAGAAATTTTAATCATTAGTGAGACTGGCGGTTGGAAAAGCCCACTGAATATGCATGATGTCATGTACTGTACATTCACAACACACACAAGGCCACATTCAATCTGTTGACCTTGAGGGCAGAGCACAAGGCTCAGTTGTTCCCGCCCTGCCCCAACCCCCAGCGTTTGCCTCTGAAGAGAAGGAGAAGTCTGTACTGGGAGAGTTGGAATTCTTGAATCAGGCTAGTTGTTAGCTATGTTGTGAAATGGGCTCATTTTCAGAAACTAAAAAATTCATTTCTGCTGATAGTCACTGTAGTAAGTAGATGAGGGGTCACTCTAATAAGTAATAGGCTTGAGCGAAAAATGGGTCCCTAATTTGCTGTCAGGGATGGAGTGACAAAACCAGGATCCACCAATGGAGAGGAAACAGCCCAGCTTGGAAGGAATGATTTGTACCCCAACCAACACTGTGATGCAAACACAATTTGGGTGCCTCCTTTAGTGACATCAAGAAAAAGAAACCTAATATGTAGCCATATTAAACAAACTGAAATCCACAAATCATGTTAATCATGGGGCAATTTCATAATGGCATGGATTAAGTGGTGATGACATTACAAATATAAACAGAAGGAACATCTTTAAAAAGTCCAAAAAAATTGGAATTTGTCTGTGTACTACCAGAGTCACCTGGAAGAGAGGGTTCCTGGGTTCTAGATAATTGGTAGTGACAATATAAAGATAAATCATCCTATAGAAAAGATGGTTACTTCATGAGATAATTTTTCTCTTTTCATTTGTTTTGAATATTCAGTTTCCTTTTTTGCCATACCCTATGATTACTAAGATTTATTTTTTCCATTGTTTTTAAATTATTATTATTTAGAAATAATTTAGATTTTTAATTATTCACAAGGAATTTACTATTTTCTCTATTTTTGAAAACCTTTATGATTTATTTTGAAAAACATAGACATTTTCAAACTTAGAAAGAATAGTACAAGGAACTCACATGCACCTGTTACCCCATTTCAACAATTAATCAGCAGTCTGCCACTTAAAAAAACAGCTATTCTTTCTTTTTTACCTCTCCTCTTCCTATTTTTTTTTCCTGGAGTATTTTAAAGCAAATCCTGGACATCATATCAACTCACCAGTAAATACATCAATATGTATTCATCTTTTACCAATACGAACTTTTTAAAAACTGGCAATCGTGCCATTATGACAGTAATACAACTTATAATAACTTCTTTATATAATTGAATACTAAGTCTATGTGCAAATTTCTCTATCTCAAAGATGTATTTTATAGTAGGTTTGTTTAAATCAGGATCCACACAAGGTCTAGACATCAGTTATTCCATCTCTTAAGTATCTTTTATTCTCTAAAAATTTATCCCTCTTTTTATATGCAATTATTTTTTGGAGAAACTGGATTGTTTGGTTTGTAGAATATCTCATTCAGGATTTGGTTTATTGCATCTTCATAGTCTTGTTTAAATTGTTCTATTTCTTTTGTTTTCTTTAAACTGGTAGTTAAACCTACTGACTTGATAAGATTTTTAGGCAAAAATACTTCTAAGTGGTGGTATGTTTTTTCTACTGCACAACATCATTATATGGTCCAGTTGTACTTTTAATGATACCAAGATTGGTGATTGGGTTTTGATGAGAGAAGCCTAATATTTCCATTATGAAGTTCTTTGTCAACTTTTAACCTGTATTAGCAAACGGGTTAAAAGCGACTCATAATTGTTGCCTGGATTCATTTTATAGGGATTGCAAAATGATGATTTTCTAATTCTATCATTTCTTCTGCATTTATTCATTGGAATTATCCTATAAAGAGCTTCCCCTCATCAACAATGTGGTTACCCTTAAATATAGTACATACAAGAAAGGCAGAATAAATCCTTTATATTTCCCTTTTCAATACATTTTTGAGTAATTTTAGCAGCCTCCAAAGATGACCAAGGAGGAATTTTAAGTCATTAAATACTCATGAATTTTTAGATATCTGATGTATTTTAATTCTTTCTCACACACAAATTATCCCATTTTTGGCCAGTGGGAGCCCCTTAATGGCAGTTCTTGTGTCTTTCTGATATGACCCTAAAACTGCCTTTACAAAGTTATGACAGTAAGAGAAAGCTGGCATAGCTGACTCCATCTTGCTTCTAACCTCCAAGCTGTCATTGCTGGGCATAGGTCAAGCTAACTTTGGGAGGATTTTAGTTTACAGTTTAACCTTAAAGCAAGGATGATAATAGCCACTCCCAAAATTAAACCACCTTTGTAAAAATAACGGAAGACCACAAGATTAGGATTATGAGAAGGGCCTGAATTCTGGTTAAGATACAGGCATAGTTAAACAACAACCAGCCATTGTTCCAGAGGTCACAATATGTGTAACTTCTCCAATTATTCCTGTAGATAACATCACTATCGTAGAACCTAAGACTGGCCTTTTGAGATGTTTTTAGACTTTTACATTTATGGCAACCAACTGACTCTACCCAGACCATGACTCGTGACTGAAATGGTCCTGTGGCCCCCATCCAGAGGCTGACTCAGCACATAAGGACCATTTTTCCAGGCTCCTATGACTGCATCCCCAACTAATCAACATTTCCCATTCCCTAGCCTCCTGCCCACCAAACTCTCCTTGAAAAACTCTAACCTCCAAGCCTTCAGGAGACTGACTTGAATAATTCCAGTTCTTCTACGTGGCCGGCCTCGTATTAATTAAACTCCTTCTTTACTGCAATACTGTGGTCTCAGTGAATGGGTTTTGTCTCTGCAGCAGGCAGGAAGAACCCATTGGATAACTACAGCCCCATTTGTTTTGAAAGGCTTTCTTGTTTCTTCTTTGACACAAAACAATGTCCCAGACTCACCTTTTAATTTTTGCCCTAGACTTGGAATCAAGCATTTTTCTAAAGAGCTCTAGTTCCTGTTAGTTGGGAATAGTGAGAGGTGACAGCGTGCTAGCAGTCCTCACAGGCCTCGCTCCTTCTCGGCGCCTCCTCTGCCTGGGCTTCCACTTTGGCGGCACTTGAGGAGCCCTTCAGCCCACCGCTGCACTATGGGAGCCCCTTTCTGGGCTAGCCAAGGCCGGAGCCAGCTCCCTCACCTTGTAGGGAGGTGTGGAGGGAGAGGCACGGAGCGGGAACCGGGGCTGTGCGCGGCGCTTGCGGGCCAGCTGGAGTTCCAGGTGGGCGTGGGCTTGGCGGGCCCCGCACTCCGAGCAGCTGGCCGGTCCTGCCGGCCCCGAGCAATGAGGGGCTTAGCACCCAGGCCAGCAGCTGCAGAGGGTGTACTGGGTCCCCCAGCAGTGCCAGCCCACCGGCGCTGCGCTCGATTTCTCACTGGGCCTTAGCTGTCTTCCCGCAGGACAGGGCTCCGGGACCTGCAGCCCGCCATGCCTGAGCCTCCCACCCCCTCCATGGGCTCCTGTGCGGCCGAGCCTCCCTGACAAGCGCCACCCCCTGCTCCAGGGCGCCCAGTCCCATCGACCACCCAAGGGCTGAGGAGTGCAGGCGCAGGGCACCGGGACTGGCAGGCAGCTCCACCTGCAGCCCTGGTGCGGGATCCACTGGGTGAAGCCAGCTGGGCTCCTGAGTCTGGTGGGGACGTGGAGAACCTTTATGTCTGGCTCAGGGATTGTAAATGCACCAATAGGCACTCTGTATCTAGCTCAAGGTTTGTAAACACACCAATCAGCACCCTGTGTCTAGCTCAGGGTTTGTGAATGCACCAATGGACACTCTGTATCTAGCTACTCTGGTGGGGCCTTGGAGAACCTTTGTGTCCACACTCTATGTAGCTAATCGAGAGGGGACGTGGAGAACCTTTGTGTCTAGCTCAGGGATTGTAAACGCACCAATCAGCGCCCTGTCAAAACAGACCACTCGGCTCTACCAATCAGCAGGATGTGGGTGGGGCCAGATAAGAGAATAAAAGCAGGCTGCCGGAGGCAGCAGTGGCAACCCGCTCAGGTCCTTCTCCACAATGTGGAAGCTTTGTTCTTTCGCTCTTTGCAATAAATCTTGCTACCGCTCACTCTTTGGGTCCACGCTGCTTTTACAAGCTGTAACACTCACCACAAAGGTCTGCAGCTTCATTCCTGAAGCCAGCGAGACCATGAGCCCACCGGGAGGAGCGAACAACTCCAGACGCGCTGTCTTAAGAGCTGTAACAGTCACCTCGAAGGTCTGCAGCTTCACTCCTGAGCCAGCGAGACCACGAACCCACCAGAAGTAAGAAACTCTGAACACATCCGAACATCAGAAGGAACAAACTCCAGAGGCGCCACCTTAAGAGCTGTAACACTCACCGCGAGCGTCTGCGGCTTCATTCTTGAAGTCAGTGAGACCAAGAACCCACCAATTCTGGACACAATAGGATTTAAAAACCACAATCTGGATGCTTATTGTGTTAATTACTGCTGAGTTGTCATTCCTTTTAGACTTTTTCAAGGGACAGAGCAATGAAATATGCATTTTAAAATTTATTTTAAAAGATAAAATGAGTTTATAGTGATATGTCCAATTCAAACGTTAGATTATAAAATTTTTACTTACCTTCTTTGATTTTATTTGCTTATTTGAGTAATCTTACTGTTACTAGTTATTCTGATGTTCTAGAATCATTTATATTTGAAGCAACAGCCAAGGTTTATCAATGCCTGAAAAGTGAAACAGAAATGATAAAGAAAATAAAGGAAAACATCAATGCAGAAAGGAACTATAGTAAATATCTTTAGGGATGTAAAAGAAGATATTATCTCCATGGAATTATTGCAGAGAACTCTTAACCTAGGTTCAGTAGTCTTATTGCCTATTATTTTTAAGCTATATATGTGTTGTAAGCTAAAGTTGACAAGTAATTATGTTAATATAGAGACTGAGCTTTTCAGCATAGGAACAACAAGATACAAATATAAAATCAAATAAGCAAAAACCCTGTAATCATAAAAAATTGGGAAATGTTATTGAAAGACCACCATCTGGACACAAGGGCTCCTTGGGAAAACACCACAAGAATGCAATAAGCCAAAGCTCGAAATTCTACAGAACCTATTATCTGATTTCTTCTACGAATGAATAGCATGAAAAGAAGAGAGGAACTAACGTGTATTTTGTATAGATCTTACTTGGTTTCCAACTCAAGCCAACTTCAAAAAAGACATTTTAGACAACAAGAGAAAGTGGATCACTGGGCATTACGTGAGGTGAAAAAATTACTAGTTTTGTTACATATAATAGTAGTACTGTTATTTGTTAAAACTCCTTATCTGCTAGCAATATATTTTGAAGACTTTACAGATGACATGATACTTCGAATGTGTTTTTACATATCTAGAAAAAAACTGGAAGGGACATAAGTGAAACAAACTTGGTCAGATATCGAAGTTAGGTGGTGTGGGTTCATCATACTATCCTCTAATTTTTGTATGTTTGAAAATATCCTTAATTTTTAAAGGTTAAAAAAAGACTTTATTTAGAAACACTAAAGAAGACAAAAATAAATGGAGAGATATAAGGATGCTTTAAAAAGGTAATTAATTAATTACATTATTTAAAAAGCACAAGAAGACAAGAAAGAATCCAGCTCAAATCCTATGTCCCAGGGTCCAGCAACTAGCAGGGTGTGTCTAAAATTCCCCCAAAGCCGCAGCTGAGGACCTGAACTGGAGGGCAGATGTCCCTCCACCCTCCTTCCTAGGGCAGCAATTAGCACTCCAGTCTTCTGGTTGGAGGCTCTTTGTAGCCTCATAGTTCACAGAGCCCTTTTGGACATGGAGTGAATAGTTGGTTACATTCTCCACATTATTATGCAGATGACATTGCTCATGGTGGATACTAGAGCTGGGGCAGCTGATGAGGAAATCACCAGGGGTGGCTCAGAAAAAAAAAAAATGACCTCCCTAAGGGACACTACAGGAAACCAGCCCCGAAGTGATTTCTTTTGAAATTCGGGGCAGCAGCAAGCTCATATTTCTTTTGGTTAGTTCCTTCACCATGGTTGCCAGTCTCAGTAAAGCTGAGTGTTCCTATCTCCGCCTCTGTCTCCCTCATCAGCTATTGTTTTACCTCACCCACCCAAGGTATGGGAGGCCTCCATTCCATTTAGAGAGCTCCTGGTGCTTCCTGGTGGCTGGTGATGATTCATTTTTATTCCCTTGAATCTTCCCCACGGCCAGATCATTGTTGTCCATATCCTTCCCTCCAGGAAACAACAAAAGGCAATATTTGGTCTTTTGGCTGGAGTCTATGCCGGACCAACACATCCCACAAATGGCTTGAGCTGAGGGTTCCTCCAGCCCCCTGAGATTTCCCAAAGCATTTCGAGATAAACTCTAATAGTAGGATACATTTGCTTTCCAGTTGAAGTGATGGGTTATATGATTCATCTGTTTCCTAAGATTTCCAGTTATAGTCATGAAATCTGGCCTCTGCCCCTGATGTAAAATCCTTGTGTTTACAAGAAGTAACCTAAGTAACCTACCACATGTTCAGAGTTGGAAACCTACTTCCTGTCCCCCGAGTTTGTAAACCCAGCAAGATATATTTTCTCTTTTCAGCCATGCTTGAAAAGTTGGTATAACTGAAATAAGTTTTAAATAAGGCAAATTGGAATAAACTCCAACTCAATGATTTCATCTTCCCAATCCTGCCCCAAATCATGGCCATATCAGTGGGATTTCCAATTGCAAACAGCACCAAACAACACCAAATTCATGTTAGCAAATTTTAAGGATGAGAAGTGACCTCAGCCATCCAGAATTGGATTTGTAGCAGATGACAAATAAGATGCTTAGAATCACAGACCATCAGAGATGGCCGACTTGAGCCAGCATCGACCCTCTCCTTTCACAGGTGAGAAAACTAAAGTCCAAAGACAGTCTTATTTTAAAGCCTAAATTGCAGGGGTAGCGAGTGAAACCAGTTTCAAAATGAGGTTTACCACAGAGGAGCCCAAACCCACTCTCTCACTCATGTCACATTCTGAAGTGTCCTTCTTACTGGTTTCCAACTCTTCACCTCTCTCTTCTTATCTCTTCCCCCTGCCCTCCACACTGCTCCCTGCTGCAGCCACTTTCTCTGCAGCACAGCCCTGATCATATCTCCCCTGGCTCAAAACTATTCCATAGTTCTCGGCCTTGGCTGTTCCCAATGACATTCCAGTTGAACTTCATACTTCACTCGCGTGCCCTGCCCAGTCCATATGGAAAAGTAGCTGCTCCCAAGAGATCTTTGTGCCTATCTCTTTTCCCATGTGATTTTCTCTGCCCAGAAGATTCTTTCTCTTTAACAGGCAAGATCCACCTACCCTTTAGGGGCTCGGTTCAGATACCATTTCCTCCACAAATGCTTCATTCACTCTCCTAAGTGAAAGCCAGTTCTCACCTTTTTGTCTCTTTGCACTGTAGATCTCTATTTTGGCAGGTAACACATTCTATTTCATGTAATACTGTAGTTAATTACGAACATTCTGCATCTTCCCACTTGACACTAAATTCCTGTAAGTGAGAAACTAGATCTTACTTACAACCCCAGCACAGTTATTTGTTTAGCGTGAACATCATTTTTTAAAATTAAATTGGGTTGAAATCCACTATCTTTGGAAACCCAACAGCATTTAGGCATATAATTCTAAAGAGCTGAAATTTAATGTTTTATGTACTTCTATCCTTGATAATCTCAGGTACGCTGAAGGACATTTTTATCTCCTATAATGTGTCATGGATAAAAATAGGGAGCATTCTTTTTTCATTGCTATTAGGTCATGCTCATGTTCAACTTATTTTCTAGAGATGGGGTCTCACTATGTTGCTCAGGTTAGTCTCAAACTCGGCTCAAGCAATCCTCCTGCCTCAGTCTCCCAAAGTGCTGGGATTACAGGTGTGAGCCACTGTGCTCAGCCAACATGTATTTATTTAATACACCTAGAAGGCAGGAAACACTGTGTAGGTTGCTGCCGGGGTAGAGAGGTGAATAAAATCTGGGACCCAGACCATAAAATAGTTGTGATGGGGGGCCAGGTGCGATGGCTCACGCCTGTAATCCCAGCACTTTGGGAGGCCAAGGCGGACAGGTCACGAGGTCAGGAGATCAAGACCAGCCTGGCCAACATGGTGAAACCCCATCTCTACTAAAAGTAAAAAAAATTAGCCGGGTGTAGTGATGTGCGCCTATAGTCCCAGCTACTTGGGAGGCTGAGGGGGGAGAATTGCTTGAACTCAGGAGACGGAGGTTGCAGTGAGCCGAGATCAGGCCACTGCACTATAGCCCAGGCAACAAAGTGAGACTCCATCTCAAACAAACAAACAAACAAACAAAAATAGTTGTAATGGGTTTACTTTCACAGCTGTGAACTCAAGGGCCATCCCAGGCATCAACTCTTAGACATTTCACAAATAGCAACTGCTAATCACCCCTGTCTGCTATTAAAGAAAGTTGTGAAAGACTAACAGCCTTAGGAACTACCCTTGGTAAGGAATCAGAAGATCATGGGTCTACTTCAGACGGACTCTACCAAATTTCTCTCAGCATGGCCTTGGACAAGTTGCTTATTTCTATTCATCTTCCTCATCAGCAAAACAGACTCTTCATGAAAGGGCTCTTCATGGGTTCCTTCAAGGACATAGGTGTGTTAAAGCAAAATAAATATAGCCTGAGAAGGACTCCATTCTTCTATATTTGAGTCCTTGGGGATGAACTGTAACCTAGCTTAATAAACAAGATTGAAAACCTAACTTAGGAGTATGCATCTGTAACAATAGCTGAGTCTTGGCCAATCCCAGCAGCCATACTTCAACTACTCACACACTGATGAGTGTTCAGACTGTGTTCAAAAAAGGCAAATGCCGGCCGGGCGCGGTGGCTCACGCCTGTAGTCCCAGCACTTTGGGAGGCCGAGGCGGGCGGATCACGAGGTCAGGAGATCGAGACCATCCCGGCTAAAACGGTGAAACCCCGTCTCTACTAAAAATACAAAAAATTAGCCGGGCGTAGTGGCGGGCGCCTGTAGTCCCAGCTACTTGGGAGGCTGAAGCAGGAGAATGGCGTGAACCCGGGAGGCGGAGCTTGCAGTGAGCCGAGATCCCGCCACTGCACTCCAGCCTGGGCGACAGAGCGAGACTCCGTCTCAAAAAAAAAAAAAAAAAAAAAAAAGGCAAATGCCAACCTGCAATCAATCCAGCTGTTCTGTGCGTCACTTCCGGTTTCTGTAGGTCATTTCCCTTTTTTTGTCTATAAATCTTCTTCCACCACGTGGTTGTGCTGGAGTCTCTGTGAATCTGCTGTGACTCTGGGTGCTGCCCCATTCGCAAATTGTTCATTGCTCAATTAAACTTCTTTAAATTTAATTCAGATGAACTTTTTCTTTTATCAGGTGTCACCTAACATACAAGTTTTTGGACTAATTCTGCAAACATATGGTATGAATTAAAGCAGTGGTTCTCAAAGTGTAGTTCCCAGACCGGTAGCATCTGTTGGGAACGTGATAGAAATGCACATTCCCAGGCCCCATCCTTAACGAACTGAATCAGAAACTCTGGGGCTTTTTGTCTGGGGGAACGTTGGGTTCTGGTGCTTCCTCTTTTCCAAGTGGAGGGTGGTGCTGATGCTGTGGGCAGCTGAGTTGGGGTAGGCTCTCCCCATCCTACCAGCTCATCCTCCAGACTAGGCTAGAGTCAGCTCGCCTAGCTCCTGAAATACTTCTGCTTGCCAAGGCACCAGGAGCCCATAACACCTACTCTGTGAGCTTTCCTCACAGAGGGAAGGCTCTGTCTGAGGTTTAGTGAACAATGATTGCGAAAATACTTTGAAAATTGAGAGGGGCCATGCAAATGTAAATATTGTTAAAGTTGCCAACTCTTTAGGAAAGAGATGTGTGAAACGGGAAAAGAGAATACAAGGAAAAGACACTGGTGACAGATTCTATAAACTACTCTTAACTCCTGAAGAATCGCCTTTTTCATTCTATACACAGCTTCCCTCCCTTCATTTTGTCCCGCTTGTCTACAAATGTAACAAATGTGCGAGGTTCGGTGGCTCACGCCTGTAATCCCAGCACTCTGGGAAGCGGAGGCAGGCGGGATCACCTGAGGCCAGGAATTCGAGACCAGCCTGGCCAACATGGTGGAACCCCATCTCTACTAAAAATACAAAAAAAAAAAAAAATTAATTAATTAGGCTTACTCCAGCTACTCAAGAGTCTGAGGCACGAGAATCCCTTCAACCTGGGAGGCAGAGGTTGGAGTGAGCTGAGACCGTGCCACTGCACTCCAGCCTGGGCGATCAGTTTGAGAGTCGGTCTCAAAACAAAAAAGAACCTGAATTGTTTGGCCGGGTGCAATTACTGATGCCTGTAATCCTAACACTTCAGGAGACCGAGCCAGGCGGAACGCTTAGGTCCAGGAGTTCGAGACCAACATGGGCAGCACGGTGAAACCCCATCTCTACAAAAATTGCAAAAATTTACCGGGTGTGGTGGTGTGGCGCCTGTTGTCCCAGCTACTCAGATGCTGAGGTGAGAGGATCGCTTGAGCTTGGGAGGTCGAGGATGCAGTGAATCCAGATCGTGCCACTGCACTCCAGCCTGTGTAACAGAGAGAGACTGTATCTAAAAATAAAAAATAAAAAAAAAATTAAAAAGAATCTGAATTGTAGTTCAGACCCATAACCTACCACACACAAGAATCTCATCCTCTTCACTCCTGCCTAAGAGAGACAGATTTGTTCTTTACCAAATGCAAAGTTATCTGGTCTCTTTAATTTCTTCTCTCCCTCTTCTGGCAAACTGCCTAGGCGAAGACACTTTCCAGATCAAGCGGTGTCATGGGGCAGCAAATGACCTTAAGTCATTAAAACAGAGTTTTAGTGACTCTGCTGCTGTTTACTACACAACCTTGGGCAAATCCCATCTTGACTTCAGAGTATTTGAGTGGAATGTATGCGTAGTATTTGTAAACTAAAAACATTTACAATATAAGTGATAGATCATATTGCTGTTAGCAAAGCACAGGTTGCCTAGTAAAAGTATCCTGGTCAAGATCTTTGGTTTTCAAAAGAAGAGCATTTGTAGACAAAGGAGGAAGTCATGTTTATTTGTAGTAATTAAATGACAGGGGAACAAATCAAGACACCTACTTTCCTGAATGTTTATTCAAAACATGGTAGAATTAGTGGTTAGTGGCTAGCAGAGCCTCATATCTGCTCCTGTTCTCCGTTGGCTGTAATACAGTGTTTCTTTTTTTTTCTTTTTTTTTTTTTTTTTTTTGGAGACAGAGTCTCACTCTGTCACCCAGGCTGGAGTGCAGTGGCTCGATCTCGGATCACTGCAACCTCTGCCGCCCGGGTTCAAGCAATTCTCCTGCCTCAGCCTCCCAAGTAGCTGGGATTACAGACGCCTGCCACCACGCCCAGCTAATTTTTGTATTTTTTAGTAGAGACGGGGTTTCACCATGTTGGCCAGGCTGATCTTGAACTCCTGACCTTGTAATCCACCCACCTCAGCCTCCCAAAGTGCGGGGATTACAGGTGTGAGTCACCGCGCCAGGCCCTACATGTTTCGATTGACATAAGAAAATCCAGCCTTGCGCAGATAAGTAGTTGGAAAAAGAAGGGGTATTTCAACAGCTTTTCAGATATTTTTGTGGCCAATTAAAAAAAAAACAAATTACCAAAATGTTAGTTTTTGAAAGATTAGTAGTAATATGGAATCTGAAACCATATCAATGAACTTTTTGTACTCTGTTATATTAAAATCCATTTATTGTCTTACACTTTGAATAGATCTTTTAATTTACTATGTGTAGGGTAAAATAGTCATTCAGTGAGTTATGCAAATCATCACCATTTTGACACATTTCATTATACAATACAAAAAATATCAAATTTATTAATATCACCATCAGATTGATCAGAAAAGTCTTCAGATATGAACTTGTGAAGCTCACTGTGGTAGATACAAGTTTTCTAGATTTCCAAGTTTTGCTTGAAAGCTCACATTTTGTCATTAACACACATACTGTAGTTACTTGTTTTCCTTAAAGGGATAAGCTCACTTTATTTTTGAGAAAACATCAGCCAAATACTGAAGTCTGAAAAACCATAATTTCTCTGTCAGTCACTTTTTTAGTTTTTTTTTTTTAAAGTAAAATTGATGTTCCCCAAAAAGGGAGGAATCTTGTATATGTTGCAGAAGTGTTTTTCCTCAGAATAACTATCCTACTTCAGTATGCAGCAAAACTGTTCTGTGTGTACTCCCATTCTGTCACATTGAATAGTAAAAGGAAATAAATCCAAGCAAGGGTCAAGATTTGATAAAATCAATAACTTTTACCACTTGATCAAGGCCATTCCTAGGTGAAACTGGCTTTTTTTTTTTTAACTGCGTGTGTGTGATAGTGAAGAATACAATGACTGTTAGAAGAGTTTTGTGCCAGTACCTTGATTTGTGCTAAGCTACCAGCAGATTTAACCATCAGTTTTGCACTATTGGTGCAGGTATCAACCCAGGGAAAAAAGACAATATCTTGTTATTATTCTGAAAATAATTTGACTTCCAGGACCTCCTGAAAGGGTCTCAGTGATCCCCAGGAATCTGAGGACATTTTGAGGACCAGTGCTCTACATAACCTTCCTGCCCGGAAGATCAAACTGTAATTTCCTCTAAAACCTCTGAGAGAGTTAGCCTGAACGAGATCACAGAGAGAGAATTGGAAAAGCGCCAGGGAGACCAATGATTCCCGTCGACAAGGCACCTTCTAGGGAAAACTTTTATCCTCTTCTGCCCCCCAGTGGTCGACCACCAAGACCACGGCAGGACCTACCTATGTTAGGCTGGGAGGAAAATGGTTTTTTTGTTGTTGAGGTGGCAGTAGTGTTCTTTTACAGACACACTTCTTCATTCACTTCTAGATCTAAAGTGTATTTGATCCTTTAGCAACCAAAACCCGGGAGCATAAATTGTCATCACGAGAAAGGCTGAGAACAGGGTCTCTGCTTAACTCTGGGGTGTACCCCTGCTATCCTTGCGTCTCAGTGGCCCCAGGGCTTGGCTGTCTGTAGCTGTGAAAACTTTTGCTATCTTTCCATTAAGGAACAAATGATAATCACAGAGCTTTCCTGTTACTTTTCTATCCTCAAAGCAAGCTTTCTTTTAAAAGGGTTCTAATTCATCTACGATAATTAAAGGGAGGCCGACCTGGGATTACGAGGCTCTCCTCTGCACCTCGTTCTGTTTTCACTGAAATATCATAGAGAAAGATGAAATCCACACACAGATGTCCTAGCAATGGCCCCTTTCACACTTCATCATCCCTCTACATTGCAAACCTTTGTCAGTCTGTATCCCACAAACTGTAAGTGCTGTGAGGGCAGGAACTTTGTGGCTTCCCTCTTGTATTCTGAAGTGGCAGACCTGGATATTTGAGAGAAAGCTGAAAGCCAAGGTTACCAGAGGGGTCCATCTATCACCCATGGTGAGGAAGTGGAGGTCTGAGGGGGCAGGAAGACAAGGTCTGGCGTGGGAGGCAGAGGCAGAGGACAGCCCTTGATGTTTACTCTCTCCAGTTCCCTCTCCTTCCCCTCTTGCCAAGCTACCCCACGGTGAGATAAAAACCATGCCCATGGGGCAGAGGTGAGCAGTCTTCACATCAGCTCAGAGAAGATTAAGAGAGAGAAAAGGGAAGGAATGCCATGGGAGCTGGGATTGGGGGAAGGGGGAAGGGGGAAGGAAGTCACTTGCCTGGTCATCTCCAGGAGGCCATTCCTGCAAGGTTATTCGTGCATAAGAAACATGGTGCAACGTTTACCTATGTAACAAACCTGCACATGCTGCACATGTACCCCAGAACTGAAAAAAATAAACTAAAATAAAATAACCATTTTAAAAAAGAAATATGGTGCAAAGATGAATGTATGTTGGGGACTGCGTGTAACCAATAACGTAGGAGGGACAGAAACTCAGAATGCTTTGTGAGGCTGAGCTGAGGGAGGAGGGGTTCGATGATGACCAAGAAATGGAAAAGAGTGGGAACCGGGGTCCTTTGTCACAAGCCTCTAATCTCTCTTACCAAATGGGAATTCTTCACATTTACACTAATGTCAAAGACAAGAACAAGGTTTGGGGCAATCCAACTCCTCATTGTGCTCTTCAAGGCCCATGTCCATCCTGTCCCTATGTATTCTCCCACTTCACCATCTGGCTCCAGCCTACCTTGAAATGTTCTAGCAAACAACCTGCAGCTCTCTAAACGAGTCACATCATCTCTAGTCCCCAAAATGGTCATCCACTGACATCAAGACCTCTAACGACATGTGCCCCCGTTCTTCCTGGCCCATTCCCATCCAACCATCAGATCCCATCTTCAGTGTCTCTGGCTGCCTGAGACAGGGCCACCGCACCCCATACTTTACCCTCATCCCTCTACATTGCAAACTCTTGTCGGTCTGTATCCCCCAAACTGTAAGTGCTGTGAAGGCAGGAACTTTGTGGCTTCCCTCTTGTATTCTGAGCACCTAGCCTAGCGTCTGCACATCCAGATCAACACAGAAACCTTACAGTGTTCTAGGATCCAGCATTGACTGTGAACTCTTAGATCACTTGCATATACATTCTTCTCTAAGAAATTCTTCTTATGCTTCAAGTCATAGCTCAATGCTTCGCCCTCCTTGAAGACTTCCTTCTCTGGTCTACCCATCCCCACTAATACTTGGTCCTTCCTCTGTGGCCATAGCCCATCTTTTGAACTCATGGTATCATATATCTAACTCTGGCTTGCAAAATATTTGCTCCATTGTATGTGCATCTTCAGCACTGGAGTTAAAGCAATTTGAAGGTAAATGCCACTTTCAGGCCTAATCTTTCTTTATTTACATTGCATTGAAGTCACTATAAAATACGCATTTATTTTACAGGGATTTGGGGTAGGCAGGTTAGACATGTGTGATATAATATAAGGCATCACTTCTCACCTTGAAAACCAGCACAAGACAAGGATGCCCTCTCTCACCACTCCTATTCAATATAGTATTGGAAGTACTGGTCAGGGCAATCAGGCAAGAGAAAGAAATAAAGGGCATTCAAATAGGAGGAAAGGAAGTCAAACTATCCCTGTTTGTAGATGACATGATCCTATATCTAGGAAAGCCCAGTCTTAGCCCAAAGCTCCTTAAGCTGATAAACAACTTCAGCAAAGTCTCAGGACACAAAATCAGTGTGCAAAAATCACTAACATTCCTATACACCAACAAGAGTGAAATCAGGAATGCAATCCCATTCACAATTGCCACAAAAACTATAAAATACCAAGGTATACAGCTAACCAGGGAGGTGAAAAATTTCTACAAGATCTACAAAACTCTGCTCAAAGAAATCAGAGATGACACAAAAAAATGGAAAAACATTTCATGCTTATGGATAGGAAGAATCAATATCATTAAATGGCCATACTGCCTATGCAATTTATAGATTTAATGCTATTCCTATTAAACTACCATTGACATTCTGCACAGAATTAGAAAAAACTATTTAAAAATTCATATGGAACGAAAAAGGAGTCTGAATAGCCAAGGCATTCCAAAGCAAAAAGAACAAAGCTGGAGGCGTCATGTTACCTGACCTCAAACTATATTACAAGGCTACAATAACCAAAACAGCATGGTACTGGTACAAAAACAGACAAATACACCATGGAACAGAATAGGGAACCCAGAAATAAGCTTGCACATCTACAACTATCTGATCTTCCACAAACCTGACAAAAACAACCAACAGGGAAAAGATTTCCTATTTAATAAATGATGCCGGGATAACTGCCTAGCCATATGCAGAAAATTGAAACTGGACCCCTTCCTTACCCCATATACAAAAATTAACTCAAGATAGATTCAAGACTTAAATGTAAAACCAAAAACTATAAAAACCCTGGAAGAAACCTAGGCAATACCATTCTGGACACAGGAACAGGCAAAGATTTCGTGATGAAGACACCAAAAACAATTGCAACAAGAGCAAAAATTGACAAATGGAATCTAATTAAACTAAAAAGCTTCTGCACAGCAAAGGAAGCCATCAACACGTAAACAGACAACCTACAAAATGGGAGAAAATTTTTGCAAACTATGCATATGACAAAGGTCTAATATCCATCATCTATAAGGAGCTTAAATGAATTTATATACACACACAAAAACAAACAACCCCATTAAAAATGGGCAAAGGATATGAAGAGATACTTTTCAAAAGAAGATATACATGCTGCCAAAAAGTATATTTTAAAAAGCTCAACATCACTGATCATTAGAGAAATGCAAGTCAAAACCATCTTATACTAGTCAGAATAGCTATTAATGAAAAGTCAAAAAATAACAGATGCTGGAGAGGTTGCAGAGAAAAAGGAATGCTTATACACTGCTGGTGGGAGTGTAAATTAGTTCAATCATTGTGGAAGACAGTGTGGCAATTCCTCAAGGACCTAAAAACAGAAATACTATTCGACCCAGCAATCCCATTACTGGGTTTATACTCAAAGAAATATAAATTGTTCTATTATAAAGACACATACATATATATGTTTATTTCACCATTATTCACAAAAGTAAAAACATAGAATCAACCCAAATGCGACAGACTGGATAAAGAAAATGTGGTATATATGCACCATGCAATACTATACAGCCCTAAAAAATAATGAGATAATATAATTTACAGTAACATGGATGGAGCTGGAGGCCACTATTTTTAGCAGACTAACTCAGGAACAGAACACATGTTCTTACTTTATAAATGGGAGCTAAATGATGAGAACACATGGACACATAGAGGGAAACAACACACACTGGAGCCTATCAGAGGGTGAAGGGTGGGAGGACAGAGAGGATCAGGAAAAATAAATAATGGGTGAGGCTTAATACCTGGGTAATGAAATAATCTGTGCAACAAACCCCCATGACACAAGTTTACCTATATAAGAAATTGGCACATGTAACGCAAACTTAAAATAAAAGTTAAATTTTTAAAAAGATACAAAATGAGGGGGGGCAGTTCCAAGATGGCTGAATAGGAACAGCTCCAGTCTACAGCTCCCAGTGTGAGTGACGCAGAAGATGGGTGATTTCTGCATTTCCAACTGAGGTACCGGGTTCATCTCACTGGGGCTTGTCAGACAGTGGGTGCAGGACAGTGAGTGCAGCACATCGAGCATGAGCCGAAGCAGGGCGAGGCATCGCCTCACCTGGGAAGTGCAAAGCATCAGGGAATTCCCTTTCATAGCCAAGCAAAGCTGTGACAGATGGCACCTGGAAAATAGGGTCACTCCCACCCTAATACTGTGCTTTTCCAATGGTCTTAGCAAACAGCACACCAGGAGATTATATCCCGTGCCTGGCTCAGAGGGTCCCACGCCCACGGAGCCTCACTCATTGCTAGCATAGCAGTGTGAGATCAAACTGCAAGGTGGCAGTGAGGCTGGGGGAGGGGCGCCCGCCATTGCTGAGGCTTGAGTAGGTAAACAAAGTGGCCTGGGAAGCTCGAACTGGGTGGAGCCACGGCAGCTCAAGGAGGCCTAACTGCCTCTGTAGACTCCACCTCTGGGGGCAGGGCATAGCCGAACAAAAGGCAGCAGAAACTTCTGCAGACTTAAATGTCCCTGTCTGACAGCTTTGAAGAGAGTAGTGGTTCTCCCAGCACGGAGTTTGAGATCTGAGAATGGACAGACTGCCTCCTCAAGTGGGTCCCTGACCCCTGAGTAGCCTAACTGGGAGGCATCCCCCAGCAGGGGCAGACAGACACCTCACACGGCCGGGTACTCCTCTGAGACAAAACTTCCAGAGCAACGATCAGGCAGCAACATTTGCTGTTCAGCAATATTCGCTGTTACCCACAAAGGGAAGTCCATCAGACTAACAGCTGATCTCTCGGCAGAAACTCTACAAGCCAGAAGAGAGTGGGGGCCAATATTCAACATTCTTAAAGAAAAGAATTTTCAACCTAGAATTTCATACCCGGCCAAACTAAACTTCATAAGTGAAGGAGAAATAAAATCCTTTACAGACAAGCAAATGCTGAGAGATTTTGCACAACATAGGTTAAAAGTAGAGGGCTTAAGTAACACCCCTCTAAGCATTTGTTTTCAATACTTCCTAGGAGTGGTTGCATTTGGGAATGGAATTGTTAAAACTTGATGCTTAGAAGCGAATGCAGACTGTTCATTGAGTGGTTGGGGCGGGGGCGGGGGGCTGAGGAGGTATGCAGGGAGAAGGGTTCTGTGCTCCTGAGATTAGTTCAGATGGTCTAACCATTGTTCTATATGTGCATTTTAGTTAATATTGTGTATTAAAGGATAAGTCTTAATGCTCAAAGTATGTTAAAAATAGATGTAGTTTTTGTTAGTTTTTAGGAAGGCCTGTCCTCTGGGAGTGACCTTTTTTAGTCCACCTCTTGGAGCCAGATGTCCTATACTTAGTCACTGGGATGGTGGAAGAGGGAGAAGAGGAAGGGTGAAGGGAAGGGCTCTTTGCTAGTATCTCCATAGCTAGACGATGGTTTTAGATGATAACCACAGGTCTATATGAGCGTTTTTAGTAAAGTGCCTGTGTTCATTTTGGACAAAGTTATTATTTTGCAACATCTGAGCTTTATGAATGGGGTGACAACTTATGATAAAAACCAGAGCTAGTGAATTAGCCTATTTGTAAATACGTTTGTTATAATTGATGGAAAAGATGCATCTTGGACATGGAATTGTTAAGTCACCTCTGAGCAGTGTATGTCAGGACTTGTTCATTAGGTTGGCAGCAGAGGGACAGAAGGAAGTATACAGGCAGAGATGTATGCAGATGTGTCCATATATGTCCATGTTTACATTTTGATAGCCATTGATGTATGCATCTCTTTTGGCTGTACTATAAGAATACATTAAGTAATTCAATGGAAATATACTTTGCTAATATTTTAATGGTATAGATCTGCTAATGAATTCTCTTAAAAACATTATACTTAGTGTATTCTGTTGCCGTGTGTTTCATTTTAAATTGAGCATTAAGGGAATGCAGCATTTAAATCGGAACTCTGCCAATGCTTTTATCTAGAGGAGTGTTGCCATTTTTGTCGTCTATGAAATTTTTGTCTCAAGAAAGGCAGGATTACCTTTTTTTTTTAGCAGTTCGAATTGGTGTAGTGTATTCTTGGTTATCAAAATACTCATATAGCTTTGGGATTTTGAATTGGTAAATATTCATGATGTGTGAAAAAAATCGTGATACATACTGTACAATCTCAGTCCCATAAAATTGGATGCTGTGCCTACACACAGGAATTAGAAGAACATGTCAAACTATAAACTGCTTGTGATTGTGAATGGCTTTGTTCTTTGCTTCTTGTGTTTTTCTGTTTCCTATAATGCACATATTAACTTTTAAAAAATAAAGGTTATTTTAAAAGCCTGTAACAAAACAAAGAAATAAAGGGTATTCAATAAGGAAAAGAGAAAGTCAAATTGTCCCTGTTTGCAGATGACATGATTGTATATCTAGAAAACCCCCTTGTCTCAGCTCCAAATCTCTTTAAGCTGATAAGCAACTTCAGCAAAGTCTCAGGATACAAAATCAATGTGCAAAAATCACAACCATTCTTATACACCAATAACAGACAGAGAGCCAAATCATGAGTGAACTCCCATTCACAATTGCTTCGAAGAGAATAAAATACCTAGGAATCCAACTTAAAAGGGATGTGAAGGACCTCTTCAAGGAGAACTACAAACCACTGCTCAATGAAATAAAAGGGGTTACAAACAAATGGAAGAACATTCCATGCTCATGGATAGGAAGAATCAATATCGTGAAAATGGTCATACTGCCCAAGGTAATTTATAGATTCAATGCCATCCCCATCAAGCTACCAATGACTTTCTTCACAGAGTTGGAAAAAACTACTTTAAAGCTCATATGGAACCAAAAAAGAGCCCACATTGCCAAGTCAATCCTAAGCCAAAAGAACAAGGCTGGAGGCATCATGCTACCTGACTTCAAACTATACTGTAAAGCTACAGTACCCAAAACAGCATGGTACTGGTACCAAAACAGAGATATAGACCAATGGAACAGAACAGAGCCCTCAGAAATAATGCCACACATCTACAACCATCTGATCTTTGACAAACCTGACAAAAACAAGAAATGGGGAAAGGATTCCCTATTTAACAAATGGTGCTGGGAAAACTGGCTAGCCATATGTAGAAAGCTGAAACTGGATCCCTTCCTTACACCTTATACAAAAATTAATTCAAGATGGATTAAAGACTTAAATGTTAGACCTAAAACCATAAAAACCCTAGAAGAAAACCTAGGCAATACCATTCAGGCCATAGGCATGCGCAAGGACTTCATGACTAAAACGCCAAAAACAATGGCAACAAAAGCCAAAATAGACAAATGGGATCTAATTAAACTAAAGAGCTTCTGCACAGCAAAAGAAACTACCATCAGAGTGAACAGGCAACCTACAGAATGGGAGAAAATGTTTGCCATCTACTCATCTGACAAAGGGCTAATATCCGGAATCTACAAAGAACTCAAACAAATTTACAAGAAAAAAACAAACAACCCATCAACAAGTGGGCGAAGGATATGAACAGACACTTCTCAAAAGAAGATATTTATGCAGCCAACAGACACATGAAAAAATGCTCATCATCACTGGCCATCAGAGAAATGCAAATCAAAACCACAATGAGATACCATCTCACACTAGTTAGAATGGTGATCATTAAAAAGTAAGGAAACAACAGGTGCTGGAGAGGATGTGGAGAAATAGGAACACTTTTACACTGTTGGTGGGACTGTAAACTAGTTCAACCATTGTAGAAGTCAGTGTGGCGATTCCTCAGGGATCTAGAACTAGAAATATGATTTGACCCAGCCCTCCCATTACTGGGTATATACCCAAAGGATTATAAGTCATGCTGCTATAAAGACACATGAACACATATGTTTACTGCAGCACTATTCACAATAGCAAAGACTTGGAACCAACCCAAATGTCCATCAATGATAGACTGGATTAAGAAAATGTGGCACATATACACCATGGAATACTATGCAGCCATAAAAAGGATGAGTTCATATCCTTTGTAGGGACATGGATGAAGCTGGAAACCACCATTCTCAGCAAACTATCACAAGGACAAAAAAACAAACACTGCACATTCTCACTCATAGGTGGGAATTGAACAATGAGAACATTTGGACACAGGAAGGGGAATATCACACACCAGGGACTGTTGTGGGGTGGGGGGAGGGGGGAGGGATAGCATTTAGAGATATACCTAATATAAATGATGAGTTAATGGGTGCAGCACACCAACATGGCACATGTATACATGTGTAACAAACCTGCACGTTGTGCACATGTACCCTAGAACTTAAAGTATAATAATAAAAAATGAATAAAACAAAATGGGATTATAGAAATAAATTCAAATCGATGAAAAATAAATAAATAAATAAATAAATAAAATAGAGTCAGGTTCTCACTCTGTTGCCCAGGCTGGAGTGCACTTGTGCAGTCATGGCTTACTGGAACTCATACTCATGGGAATTAGCTATCCTCCCGCCTCAGCCTCCTGAGTCGCTGGGAGTACAGGCACAAGCATTTGTGCCTGCTAAAACATCACTTCTAGTGGTAATTCTCAGAAAGAATTTGACCCACAAAAGACATTTAAAGTGAATTTTGCTAAATTAATCTATTTATTCACTAACTTTCACCATAATGTCAAAGACAAATTCACATGGAAAACATTTTTGCCTCAAGTTGGAGAGGAAGCTTGATATGGTAGAAAACTCATCATTTTATAATTAGACAAACTTGAGTTTGAATCACACTTCTGCTCCTTTTACCTTGAACGAATGATTTAACCTAATGATTGTTATCAAGCTGGCAGAGAGATTAGGGATAGGAGGAATATTTTTTTGTAAACAATGAGCAGACAAAAATATCCCATGAGTAATAAAATATGAAAATGAGGTCTACCCAGAAGCTAGGGATAGAGTCAAATAACATTTACAACTATATCAGGAGGACTCTTTGAATTACAAAGATGGAAACTGAACTCAAATAGGTTAAGCAAAAAAAGAACAATTAAATCACAGTTCAGAGACCTCCAGGAGTGCTGGATGGGGGTTCCTGGCATGTCAATCCTAAGGAGTAGGAAGTCAGGACCTGCTTGAGGAAACAGATGAGACACATTGTTTTTCCTTACACCTTCCCAGAGCTGGTCAATGCAGTAAGCTGAAGGTAAGATTTAAGGGAAAAATGCCCATCACCAGGGCCACTCCTATCTCCAATGTCTTCCTCACCCCACTTGAAATGCTATCCTCTAGTGGCTTATTTGGGTTAGCAAGGAGAACTACCAGAGAAGCAAGAGTTAGCTGCATGTTGCAGTGTGTGTTGAGTCAAACACTCCCTGTGTACAAAGATTCTCAAGCTTTTTGTGCCCTGGGCCCTGCTGACAAACTGGTAAAGCCTAGGGATCCCTTCTCTGAATCATATTTTTAAATGCATTTTAAAAAACAGGTACTACAATGGAAACCGATGATATTGAAATTGTTATCAAAATAATTTTTGTTTTTTGTTTTGTTTTGTTTTGTTTTGTTTTGGAGACGGAGTCTCGCTCTGTCCCCCAGGCTGGAGTGCAGTGGTGCGTCTCGCTGTGTCCCCCAGGCTGGAGTGCAGTGGTGCGACCTCGGCTCACTGCAAGCTCCGCCTTCCGGGTTCACGCCGTTCTCCTGCCTCAGCCTCCCAAGTAGCTGGGACTACAGGCGCCCGCCAACACGCTAGCTAATTTTTTGTATTTTTAATAGAGACGGGGTTTCACCGTGTTAGCCAGGATGGTCTCGATCTCCTGACCTCGTGATCCGCCCGTCTCGGCCTCCCAAAGTGCAAAATAATTTTTAAAACGTGATACAATATAGGTGCTTCTTTATAGCTACCATGATTTTAAAGTAGCAACGAGGGTTTATGATCTTTCAAGATGTCTGCAGTGACTATAGAGAATATCTGTGCTATAGGAATATCGGTATCTCCTGTGGTGACAGCATCTCAGGGATTGCTATAACTCCTGGAGTGTGTTATCTGTGCTCATACTGGAATGTTTTATTTCATTTCGAGGTTAGTGAAAAGAAGTAATTGTTTTCTTTCCAAATTCAAGGACTTTTTGAATTCTTCTCTCCAAAGAATCCAGCTACCTACATAAAACAAAATTAATAACAAAAATAAAGAATAACAATCCCTTGTTTTAAAACCTCAAATTAAGATTTTATGACAAGAATCTAATATTAAGAAAATGGAACATGGTGTGTTTGGCACATCCATGGAAAGGGATGGAGAAAGAACTCTCAGACAGTGGTTCTCACATTTTAGAATGCCTATGAAACCTGGAAAGTTTGTTAAGGAGGAAGGCCATTCTTCCAAACATTCTAATTCAGCTGATCTGGTGATCAGGTCTGGAATTCCTCTCAAGGTCCAGTAGCTAGTTAATGGCTCTGCTAGCATCTGAACTCAGGTCAGTCTGACCCCAGAGCCTGGGATTTTAACCACTACACTTTCCTTCCAACTGGAGGTGGGAGCAGGGCCAGGAAGGATACTACAAAGAAAACCAGAGTTATGGGATGTTGAAAAATTGTGCAAGATGCAGCTAATGTCAGAGCCAGGCTTTGAATGTAGAACTCTGGACCCTAAGCCTAGTGCTGTACCACCAGAGGGGTGGATAAAGGAAGACTAAAGACTGACTGACAACTTTACAGCCTAGTGTGTAGCTAACCTGGCCCTGTCTTCTACCACCACCACTCAAAAGGTCAAACAGTTGTCTTTTGACTATCAGGCAAGTGGTCCCGCCGATCCTGGCCCCATTTGCTTTGCCTGATGAAAAAACAGGCATGAGTCACTAAGCCAAATACTACAGATGTGTTTGTACCCATTGCTGGCCCCATCAGGATATACAGCACATGTCACACATCTAGAAATATCTCTGTTTAGCAGAGCCCTCTAAATTCCATCTGCTGATCCCGTCTCTTTGATTTCAAAGCTCGAATCTCAGTAGAGTGGTTTTTCTTAGAGAGCATTCCTATTGCTTTGCTGGGCACACTGTAAGACACAATTAGTAGCCTACAACAGAAACTGAAGCATATTCCTCCTGAAATTTCCAAGGCAAGGAACACAGAGGCCACCACCAGTGGGAAGTTTGACAGGTCCCATCAGCCAACTCCAGTCTCATTTCATTTCTAAGACCTTACAAGAGCTGAGAGACCAACGCTCAACACCCCTCTCATCTCTTCCACTCCATATCTTGGGAATTCAGCTGCTGACCATCCCTTGTATGACTTATATCAGGAGTTGATGATAATCTTTCAGAAATGTCATTCTAAATTTTAATTTATTTATTCCCTTGTGGAAATAAAAAAAAAGCAGGTGCGGATTTTCTCCTAAAGGGTAGATGAGCTCAAATTAATAACAGGAGTACCCAAAGATTCTCCACTCTCTCCCAGGTCCTCTGCAGCTTGTGACGAGAGGAGGCAGTCTAGGAAATACGCCTTCTAAACCTCTGGGTTATAAAAGTAAGGATCTATCAATGGCCCGAGGAAAGGAAGGAGAACTGAGCAGGGTTCCCAGCATCCAGGATGAATGATGACGTTGTCCTCGATATATTGGTCCTTTGGCCAATCCTAAGACGTGGCTATTGCTAGTGGATCTCCACTTAAAAGAATGCATCTCCTATCCCACCTTTTGTAATTATGCCAGCATAGACTTGTTGTTTTGTTGTTAATTCTTATATATTTTTAACTTTTATTTTAGGTTCAGGGATACATGTGCATGTTTGTTATATAAGTAAATTGCATGTCACAGGGGTGTGACGTACAGATTATTTCATCACCCCGGTAATAAGGTAATTAATATCCAATAAATAGTTTTTCAATCCTCTCCCTCCTCCCCTAACAGCCTCAAGTAGGCTCCAGTGTCCATTGTTCCCTTCTTTGTGTCCACGTGTACTCAATGTTTAGCTCCCATTTATAAGAGACAACATGTGGTATTTGGTTTTCTGTTCCTGCATTAGTTTGCCTTGAATTACAGCCTCCAGCTCCATTCATGTTACTGCAAAGGACACGATTTCATTCTTTTTCATGGCTGCATAGTATTCCCTGGTGTATATGTACCACATTTTCTTTATCCAATCTACCATTGATGGACATTTAGGTTGATTCCATGTCTTTGCTGTTGTGAATAGTGCTGCAATGAACATACATATGCATGTGTCTTTATGGCAGAATAATTTATATTCCTCTGGGGATATACTCAAAAGTGGGATTGCTGAGTCTAATGATACTTCTATTTTAAGTTCTTTGAGAAATTGCCACACTGCTTTCCACAATGGCTGAAATAATTTACATTCTCACTAGCAATGTATAAACATTACCTTTTCTCTGCAACCTTGCCAGCATCTGTTATTTTTTGACTTTTTAATAATCGCCATTCTGACTGGTGGGAGATGGTATCTCATTGTGGTTTTGATTTGCATTTCTCTAATAATTAGTGATGTTGAGCATTTTTTCATATGCTTGTTGGCCACATGTATGTCTTCTTTTGAAAAGCATTTGTTCATGCCCTTTGCCCACTTTTTAATGCGGTTGTTTTATTTTCTTGTAAATTTGTTTAAGTTCCTTTTAGGTGCTGGATATTAGACCTTTGTCATATGCATAGTTTGCAAATATTTCCCCATTCTAGAGGTTGTCTGTTTACTCTGTTGATAGTTTCCTTTGATATGAAGAAGCTATTTCCTTAGGTTCCTTTTGTCAATTTTTGCTTTTGGCATCTTCGTCATGAAATCTTTGCCCATTCATATATCCAGAGTGGTATTTTCTAGGATATCTTCCAGAGTTTTTATAGCTGTAGGTTTTACATTTAAGTCTTTAAACCTCTATGGTTGATTTTTTTTTTTTTTTTTTTTGAGATGGAGTCTCTCTCGATCGCCCAGGCTGGAGTCCAGTGGCGCGATCTCAGCTCACTGCAAACTCCGCCTCCCGGGTTCAGGACATTCTCCTGCCTCAGCCTCCCAAGTAGCTGGGACTACAGGCGCCGGCCACCACGCCCAGCTAATTTTTTGTATTTTTAATAGAGACGGGGTTTCACCGTGTTAGCCAGGATGGTCTCGATCTCCTGACCTCATGATCCGCCTGCCTCGGCTTCCCAAAGTGCTGGGATTACAGGCGAGAGCCATCACGCCCAGCAGTTGATTTTTGTATATGGGGTAAGGAAGGGGTCCAGTTTCAATTCTGCATATGGCTAGCCAATTATCCCAGCACAATTTATTGAATAGAGGGTCTATTTCCTATTGCTTGTTTTTGTTGACTTTGTTGAAGATCAGTTGGTTGTAGGTGTGTAGCTTTATTTCTGGACTCTCTGATTTCTTTGAACAGTATTTTGTAATTCTCATTGTAGAGATCTTTCACCTCCCTGATTAGCTGTATTCCTAGATATTTTATTCTTTTTGTGGTTATTGTGAATGGGATTGTGTTCCTGATTTGGCTGTCAGCTTGGATGTTGTTAGTGTGTAGAAATGCTTTTCCTGTAAATTTAAGTTCCTTGTAGACTCTGGATATTAGACGTTTGTCAGATGGATAAATTGCAAAGATTTTCTCCCATTTTGTAGGCTGATGATAGTTTCTTTTGCTGTGTAGAAGCTCTTTTGTTTAATTAGATTCCATTTGTCAATTTTTGCTTTTGTTGTGATTGCTTTTGGCATTTTCATCATGAAATCTTTGGCCATGCCTATGTCCTGAATGGGATTGCCTAGATTTTCTTCTAGGGTTTTTATAGTTTGGGGTTTTATATTTGAGGCTTGAATCCATTTTGAGTTAATTTTTGTGTAAGGTATAATGAAGGGGTTCAATTTCAATTTTCTGCATGTGGCTAGCCAGTTCTCCCAGCACCATTTATTAAATAGGGAATCCTTCCCTCATTACTTGTTTTTGTCAGGTTTGTCAAAGATCAGATGGTTGTAGGTGGGTAGTCTTATTTCTGAGTTCTCTATTCAGTTCCATTGGTCTATGCATGTGCATTTATACCAGTACCATGCTGTTTGGTTACTGCAGCCTTGTAATATAGTTTGAAGTCAGGTAGCATGATGCCTCCAGCTGTGTTATTTTTGCTTAGGATTGTCTTGGCTATTCGAGCTCTTTTTTGGTTTCACATGAGTTTTAAAAGAGTTTTTTGTAATTCTGTGAAGAATGTTAATGGGAATAGCATTGAATCTATAAATTACTTTGTCTGGTATGGCCACTTTAACAATATTAATTCTTCCTATCCATGATCATGGAATGTTTTTCCATTTGTATAAGGTGTAAGGAAGGGGTCCAGTTTCAATTTTCTGCATATGACTAGCCAGTTCTCTCTGATTTGTGTCCTGTTTGATTTCTTTGAGCAGTAATTTACAGTTCTTCTTGAAGAAGTCCTTCACTTCCCTTGTTAGCTGTATTCCTAGGTAACTTATCCTTTTTTTTTTTTGCAATTGTGAATGGGAGTTCATTCACTATTTGGCTCTCTGCTTGCCTGTAGATGGCGTATAGAAATGCTAGCAATTTTTGCACATTGATTTTGTATCCTGACGCTTTGCTGAAGTTGTTTATCAGCTTAAGAAGCTTTTGGGCTGAGATGATGGGGATTTTCTAGGTATAGGATCATGTTATCTGTGAACAGGGATAGTTTGACTTCCTCTCTTCCAATTTGAATACACTTTATTTTTTCTCCTGCCTGATTACCCTGGCCAGAACTCCCAATACTATGTTGAATAGGAGTGGTGAGAGAGGGCATCCTTTTCTTGTGCCAGTTTTCAAGAAGAATGCTTCTAGCTTTTGCCCATTCAGTATGATATTGGCTGTGGCTTTGTCATAAATGACTGTTATTATTTTGAGGTATATTCCTTCAATACCTAGTTTATTGAGCATTTTTAACAAGAAGGGATGTTGAATTTTGTCGGAGGCCTTTTCTGCATCTATTGAGATAATCATGTGGTTTTTGTCTTTAGCTCTGTTTATGTGATGAATCACATTTATTGATTTGCGTACATTGACCAAGCTTGCATCCTGGGGATGAAGCCAACTCGATTGCGGTGGATAAGCTTTTTAATGTACTGCTGGATTTGGGTTGCCAGTATTTTATTGAGGATTTTGGCATTGACATTCATCAGGGATATTGACCTGAAGTTTTCTTTTTTTGTTGTGTCTCTTCCAGGACATGAACAGACACCTCTCGAAAGAAGACGTACATGTGGTCAACAAACATATGATAAAAAGCTCAACATCACTGATCATTAGAGAAATGCAAATCAAAACCACAATGAGATAGCATCTCATGCCAGTCAGAATGGTGATTATTTAAAAGTCAAGAAACCACAGATGCTGGCAAGGTTGTGGAGAAAAAGGAACACTTTTACACTGTTGATGAGAGTGTAAACTAGTTCAACCATTGTGGAAGACAGTGTAGTGATTCCTCAAAGGCCTAGAGGCAGAAGTACCATTTGACCCAACAGTCCCATTACTGGGTATATACTCAAAGGAATATAAATCATTCTATTATAAAGATTCATGCATGCATTATGTTCAGTGCAGCACTAGACACAATAGCAAAGACACGGAATCAACCCAAATGCCCATCAATGATAGACTGAATAAAGACAATGTGGTATATATACACCATGGAATACTATACAGCCATAAAAGGAAAGAGATCATGTCCTTTGCAGGGACATGGATGGAGCTGGAAGCCATTATGCTCAGCAAACTAACACAGGAACAGAAAACCACACAACATAATGTTCTCACTTATAAGTGGGAGCTGAATGATGAGAACACATGGACACATGGAGGGAAACAACACACACTGAAGCCTGTCAGGGAGTGTTGGGGGAAAGACAACATCAGGAAGAATACCTAATGGACATTGGGCTTCATATCTAGGTGATGGGATGATCTGTGCAGCAAACCACCATGTCACACATTTACTTATGTAACAAACCTGCACATCCTGCACATGTACCCCTGAACTTAAAATAAACGTTAAAAAAAGGAATGCTATTGAATTTGTACACTGATTTTTGTATCCTGAAACTTTTGTATCCTGAAACTTTTGTATCCTGAAGTTGTTTATCAGACCAAGGAGTGTTTGGGCACAGACTGTGGGGTTTTCTAGGTATAAAATTATATTGTTGTCTGCAAACAGAAATAGTTTAGGTCAGGACTAAACTCTCTCTGGCCAGGACTTTCAGGACTATGTTGAATAGGAATGGTGAGAATGGACATCCTTGTCTTGTTATAGTTCTCAAGGGGAATCCTTCCAGGTTTTGCCCATTCAGTATGATGTTGGCTGTGCATTTGTTCTAATGGCTCTTCTTATTTTGACGTATGTTCCTTCAATGCCTACTTTGTTGAGGGTTACAGAAGGTTTTTTTTCAAGACAGAGCCTTGCTCTGTCATCCAGACTGCAATGCAGTGACATGATCTCAGCTCACTGCAAAGTCTGCTTCCTGGGTTGTTGAATTTTATCAAAATCCCTTTCTGCATCTATTGAGATGATCCTGTGGTTTTTCTTTGTAGTTCTTTTTATGTGGTCAATAAATAACATTTATCGATTTGTTTATGTTGAATCAACCTTGTATCCCAGGGATAAAGCATACTTGATTATGGTGGATTTGTATTTTGATGTGTTGCTTGATTCAGTTTGCTAGTATTTTGTTGAGAATTTTTGCATGTATGCTCATCAAGGATACTGGCCTAAAGTTTTCTTTTTGTTGTTGTGTTTGTCAGGTTTTGGTTATCAGGATGATGCTGGCCTCATGGAATGAGTTAGAGGGGAGTCCCTCCTCCTCAACATTTGGGAATAGTTTCCATAGTAATGGTACCAGCTCTTCTTTATACATCTGGTAGAATTTGGCTATGATTCTGTTTGGTCCTGTGCTTTTTCCGGTTGGTAGGCTTTTTATTTTTGATTCAATTTCAGAACTTGTTATTGGTCTGCTCAGGGATTCAGTTCCTTCCTGATTCAATCTTGGGAGGTTGTATGCTTCCAGGAATTTATCCATTTCTTTTAGGTTTTCTAGCTTATGTGCCTAGAGGTGTTCATAATAGTCTCTGAGGGATTTTTGTGTTTCTGTGGGACCAATAGTAATGTCCTCTTTGTCATTATTTCTGATTGTGTTTATTTGGATCTTATCTCTTTCTTTATTAGTCTAGCTAGCAGTCTGTCAATCTTAGTTATTCTTTTAAAATACCAACCCCTGGATTCATTGGTCTTTTGTATGGCTTTTCACATCTCAGTTTCCTTCAATTCAGTTCTGATTTTGGTTATGTCTTATCTTCGGCTACCTTTGAGGTTGGTTTGCTCTTGTTTCTGTAGTCACTCTAGCTGTGACTTTAGGTTGTTAACTTGAGATCTTTCTAATCTTTTGGTGTGGATGCTTAGTACTAAAATCTTCCCTCTTAACATTGCTGTAGCTGTGTCTCAGAGATTCTGGTATGTTGTATCTTTTTCTCATTAGTTTCAAATAATTTCTTGACTTCTGTCTTAATTTCATTGTTTACTCAAAAGTCATTCGGGAGTAGGTTGTTTTTCATGTAATTGTATTCCTTAGATTTCTTGGATTAGGTTTCAACTTTCTTCTGAACGTCAATGATCTTCATTCCTATCCATATTCAGAGATCTATTTCTGACATTGCAGCCATTTTAGCCTGGTTAAGAAACATTTCTGGGGAACTAGTGCAGTCATTTGGAGATAAGAAGATACTCTGACTTTTTGAGTTGCCAGATTTCTTGCACTGGTTTTTCTCTTCCATGTGGGTTGATGTTCCTTCAGTCTTTGAAGTTTCTTCCTTTGGATGGGTTTTTTAAAATTGCTTTTATCTTCTTTGATGCCTTTGGGGGTTTGATTGTGGAATAAGTTTGGTTCAGTCTACTGGCTTCAATTCTAGTGTGCTCACGGTCTTGGAGGAGCCCAGAGCCTCCTCTGATTATTGTCTCCATACCTACTTTTTGTTATTGTTGTTGTTGGGTATTCTGTTCCATGGGGCTCCCTCAGGCAGGGGCCGCAGTTGTCAGACAGGCCATATGATTGCTGGGTTGGCCCTAATCTGCTGTCCAAGTGCTTCCTGAGGTAATACTGGGTTGCACCTGCTGGCAGAGTTCAGGCGGAAGTTGGAACACTGGGCTGGAAGCACTAGCAGGTGTGGTCCATCTGGCTATGAGAGGCCAGGGTGGGTGGAATTGCCCACTCTGTCATCTGGGTGTTTCCTAGGTCAGTGGGAGGCCTCATCTGCTGGCTGAGTTCAGACAGAAGCAGAGCCACTGGGCCAGAAGCTCTAGCACACATTGCCCATCTGGCTACCAGTGGCAGGGGTGGGTGGGGGTTGCCTGTCCTGCCATACAAGTGCTTTCTGGGACAACAAGTGGCTGTGGCTGCTGGCCAGTTTCAGGCAGAAGCAGGACCACTATGCTGGAAGCTGGCAATGAGACCCATCTGGCGAGAGGAAGTGGAAAAATCTTACTGCTCCTAGGCACTGCGACTGTGGCCTCTATTGGAGCTGTGGCACCAGTGCTGGTCTGCTCAAGGGCCCAAGGCAGGTAGAGGTCCCCTTAGACTCAAGAGTTGCCCCCGCAGAATGTCCAGGTGGCTCTCTGCCTCCGTCTAGAAGTGCAGTGGAAAGGTGTTGGGGGGGCCAGGAGGATTATCCCCTTTCCAGTCTTACAATGCTCCCTGTAGAGAGGGTGAATCCCTCAGGGGGCTTTCACTCACTCACCCTTTCCCATGTTGGAGAGGTTTTCCTGGCTCTGCCCTGAGCCCAGACAGGCTGGTCCCCAGCTTTGCTTTTCTCTTCTTTCTGTGTCCCCCTGCTGCCTTGTTGCATCCCGAAGTGGTTTCGCAGATGATCAGCCTGCAAGGTCAGCGTTCACTAGCCCTTCAGTGTTCACTAGCTCTTTTGTTTCCTTTCCAAGCGAGCAATACACATGAGCAGCTTCTAGTCCACCAACTTTGCTCCTTCCCCAGAGACTTTTTTTTTAATATTAAAAGTTTTCCCTCCAAGCTCCTTCCTTGAAGGGCTAAGCTCTTGTAGCTCTTGCATCATATAAATTTCAAACATCATATATTGAACTGTTAACAGTAAACACCAAGATTATCTCTTCACCCTTCTCCGCTGTCCCTCTACTTCCTTTCAACACCAGATTTTGAAAGTAGTCCATACTTGCTGCCTCTCACCATTTCCTCACTTATTTCCTCAAAATCTGGCTCTGTAACCATCACACACAAAAAATTGCTTCCCTGAAGGAACAACCGTTTCCAGTCTTCCGCAGCCCTTGCCTCTGATTTCTGCCACATTTGTCATGTTGGACTCTTTCCCACTCAGCCCTACTGGTTTAAATCCTACCTCTCTAACTGTCACTTCACCTCCTCTGCAGGCTCCTCCTCCCTCTGTTGCCTGATGGAGAAAATGCTGCATTTTGGTCCTGTCTCCTTTGTTTCTCTTTTGATGATCTCTGTCTCTGAGACCATCACTTCTGGTTGTGAGGGCTTGGCAAGAACAATAGTGATTAGAAGGAAGCCCTAAATCTAAGCTCATAGACCCTAAAGAGGTGGCTTCTCCTTCAGAATAATCCCCCTTGCCCGGAAGTTATGCCTGGCTTTAGGAAACTGACAGTGGCCTGAATTGGTCAGAAAAGGCTCTGGCCCAAGGGATAGTCTGTGGACACTTTATCAGGCTCCTGGTGGTGCCTCTATTGTCTCTACAGCAGGATTCTGCTCAGCAACCCTTAAATCAGTGAAGGGTCCTCTTGGATGTGCCCCCTTTCTCACTCAGAACTATACTATTTTGCAACCTTCAGGTATGGCTTCTGCCTCCCTAACTCTCCTCCTGTACATTTATTTTATGGAGTAGAAAGAATAATAGAATTAGGGCCAGGAATCCTGGGTTCTAGCTCTGGGTCTACCACCAACTAACTACTTCTGTAGGCTTCAGTTTCTCATCAGTTAAATAAAAGGTGAGAATATGTGATTTCTAAGGCCTCTTAAACTCATGGTATGGGGGGTGTCATTAGTTTATCCACCTTAGGAAGGGTGAGATATCAGAGCAGACCTCTAGCAATCTTTGGCCGAAAGATGATAGAATTTTGAGGTGAATATCCTCAATGGAGGAGACTATAAAACTAGAAAAGCTCTTCCATCTGCGGGCATAAAACCTCCACAAACCCAACTGTTCTTTCTATTCTTGAGAAAGAACAGAACTAGAAGCCTCACACTATCTGTTCTCAAAATATACTGCAAAGCTACAATCATAAAAATTGTGTGGAACTGACATAAAGATCAATGGAACAAAATAGAGAGCCGAAATGACCTCATGCATATATAGTCAGATGATCTTTGACGAGGGTGCCAATACTACACAGTGGAGTCTCTTCAACAAAAGATGTTGGAAAAAATAGATGTCCATGTTTTTAAAGAAAATAAAATTGGGCTCTCATCTTACACCATACACAAAAATCAACTCAAAATGAATTTAAAATTTAAACATAAGACCCAAAACTATAAAACTCTCAGAAGAAAACGAAGGGAAAAATCTTCACAACGTTAGTCCTGGCAGTGATTTCTTGCATCTAACACCAAAAGTACAGGGAAGAAAAGCAAAAATGGACAAACAGAACTACATTACACTAAAAAGCTTCTACAATACCAAAAAAAAAAAAAATTCAACAAACTGAAAAGGCAACCCATGGATTGGAGAAAATATTTGGGAATCATGTATCTGATAAGGAGTTAATACCTGAAATATATAAGGAACTCCTACAACTCAATACCAAAAAAATAAAAAATAATAACCTGATAAAAAATGGACAAAGAACTTGAATAGACATTTCTCCAAAGAAGACATATAGATGGCCAATAGGTATATGAAAAAATGTTCAACACCACTAATCATCGGGAAAATGCAAATCAAAACCATAATGAGATATGACCTCAAACCTGTGAGGATGGTACATATATATATATATATGAAATATAAAACAGAAAATAACAAGTTTGACTATAACACAGAGAAATCAGAACTCCTGTGCACTGTTGGTGGGAAAGTAAAATGGTACAGCCATTATGGAAGACACTATGATGCTTCCTCAAAAATTAAAAATAGAGCTACAATATGATCCAGCAATCCTACCTCTGGGAATATATCTGAAGTAATTGAAATTAGGATCTCAAAGAAATATTTGCACTCCCATGTTCATAGCAGCATTATTCATAATCAACAAGAGGTGGAAACAACCTCAATGTCTACTGAGTGATGAATGGATAAAGGGGATGTGTTATATGCATGTAAAGGAATATTATTCAGTCATAAAAAAAGAAAGAATTCCTGTCATATGCTACAACATGGATGCATCATTGAGGACATTAAGTGAAATAAGCCCATCACAGAAGGACAAATACTGCATGATTTCACTTTTATTTTATTTTATTTTTTAAGAGACAGGGTCTTGCTATGTTGCCCAGACTTGTGTCCAACTGCTGGGCTCAAGTGATCCTCCCACCTCAGCCTCCCAAGTAGCTGGGATTACAGACAGGAGCCATCGTCACTTGGCAATTCCACTTTTATGAGTTATTGATAAAGTAGTCAAACTTATAGAGGCAGAAAGTAGAATGGCATTTCCCAGGGCTGGCAGGGATTGGGAGATGGAAAAATTACTGCTCAACGGATATACAGTTTTAGCAATAGGAGATAGAAAAGTTTTAGAGATCTGCTCTATAAAATGGCATTTATAGGTAGTAATATTGTACTGTACCTACACTTAAAATGTGTTAAGAGGGCAAATCTAATGTTTTATGTTTTTTTAACCACAATTTTTTTTTTTAAAAAAGCTCTGTAAGCTCTTCTTAGAAATGAAGAAAGTCTAAGGTTAACCAAAAAAGCTATGGGGCCTCAGAAAAGGTTACTTTTTTTTGCACAGCTTTGCCAGCAGTGGTGCACTGGTGCAAGCAGTGGAAACAGCTGAGCAAACATAATTACAATAACTTCTAACGTTTGTAAGATAATCATTTATAAAAAGGAAACAGCCCATACCCATGGGGGTCTCTGTAGGTAGAGTCTGTGCCTAAGAATTTGATCCTGGATTATATTAAAGAACAACTGCTGTCTCAAAGCTTCTGCCAGTTTTTTGTCTTTTTTTTTTTTCACAATAAAGTCATAGATCAAATAATTCCTTGTTTAGCTGAGCCAAAAATGAATTTTTATATGTGCAAAGGATCAAAGCCTTATTTCAAAGGGAGGGAGGGAGCTAAAATACTTCATGTGAATTTGGAAGTAGTCCTCAGATAACTGGGTAAGAAGAAGGAGGGAGCAGCTCGAAGGACACAGTGGAAGAGAGTAGGTAGGGCCCAAGAGAAATGTTCTGGGGCAGGGGATGGAATATCCTTTTTTTTTAAATCTTGCAATAGTAATGTCTGAGGTTCAATTGTTGCTTCCTTCCTTGAGTAGCAATTAACATATAATACTCCAATCTTTCTGAAAATGTCTGTAGCAGGCCCCAATCTGTTGTCAGTGGAACTTTGGAGAAATGAAGAAAGAAGGATGATGTCCAGGGTGGAGCAGAGTGAGGCTGCAGGAAAAGGCAGCAGCTGGAGGAGGGATGGTAGTGAACATGGAGCAGCAGAGACTTGGGAGGCAAAAAAGGGTGAGGCTGAAGATACAAGAAGAGGAAAAATTCGTGCTTTAAGAAGGTCCCTGAAGAGATGTGGGGATTAGAACCCATAGTATCAAAGGAGGTATTCACTTTGACCAGGTGGAAGGACCCTCTCTTCCTGTAATCTCTCATCTCAGTAATAGGCCCCAACATCTTACTTCATCTACCCTCTCAAGGAAACTGGGCCTTTATTTCTTTTTCGTAGAAGCTGAAAAAGATAGACTACAGAAGAGGGAATTCCAGATTTGCTATGCCTCACATGAGACAGCTACTTACAGTAGCTACCAGACCACAGCCCCTTCTACAGAAACTGATATGGAGGATCTTCTAGATCTTGTAACCTCACCTCCTCCCACTCTGGCCACTTCCTCTAGCAGCCTCCTGACAAAGTGTGCATGAGAGTTGATATTTTCGAGTTTTTGCATATCCAAAAAAATCTTGATTTTACTCTTACTTTCGACTTATGGATAGATAGTTATACCTAATTTTTCACCTGGAAATTTGGAAACACTGCTGATTATTTGCTGTGCCTCACTTGAGGTCAACCACATAAAAAACAAAGCAGCCTGGGACATACTGTCTAAAATGGTAGTCACTCGCTATCTGTGGCTATGATTGAGCACTTGAAATGTGGCTGAATTGAGATGTACTGTTAAGTGTGAAATACACACCAAATTGTTAAGACTTGGTGTGGAAAAAATGTAAAATATCTTATTAGTAATTTTTATGTTGATTAATGTTGAAATGTTATTATTTTGGGTACATTGGTTTAAATATAGTATTAAAATTAATTTCACCTATTTCTTTTTGCTTTACTAAATGTGGCTACTAGAAGATTGAAATTATGTATGTAATTATTTATGTAAACCCTGGCCTACACTCTGGAGGCTGACAGGGACCGCCGCCCACCCCGGCTCGGCTTTGCCGGCAGTGAGTCAGCTGTCTTCCACGGCTTCTTCTCCATGCCCGAGATATGCTGCCCTAGCTGGAGTTGCTCCAGATGGACAACCTCCGTGACAAACTCCATCCCATCATCATCTCCATGAACTACTCTTTACCTATACGGATGCCGGATCGCCTGCAGCCGGGGCTCTGGTCCCTGGACGCCCACCAGGCACGGGCTTTGGAGAACCATACTGAGGTCCAGTTCCAGAAGGAGTGCGGGCCTGACAATAAGTGCGAGAGCAACTTGCAGATACGGGCAGCCTTCATGTCGGAGCAGCAGCAGAAGCCGGGCAGGCTCCAGTACAGCAGAGACGTCTGGAAACTGCTCCTGAGCATCAACGTGACGAACACCCGGACCAACACATTAGTCCAGACCATTGCTGTCCGGTAGAAATGTAATGCGAGCAACGTATACAATTTCAATCTTCTGATAGCTACTGCAAGTAGTAGGTCTAGTCCACAACCCATTAGTCCAGACCATTACTGCCCAGTAGAAATGTAATATGAGCAACATATATAATTTCATATATGAAGATTTCAATCTTCTAGTAGCTACATTTAATAAAGTAAAAGGAAAGAGATGAAATTAATTTTAATATTGTACTTTCTTTAAATAAATATATCCAGAAATTATCATTTCAACATTAATCAACATGAAATTACTAATGAGATATTTTACATTTTTTCCACACTAAGTCTTAACAATTTGGTGTGTATTTTACACTTAACAGTACATCTCAATTCAGACCAGCCATATTTCAAGTGCCCAATCATGGCCACATGGAGTGAGTGGCTACAGCATGTCCTAGGCAGCTTTGTTTTTTATCTCATTGACATCATGTGAGGCGCAGCAAATAAAAATCACTGGAAGAGTAGGACACAAGACAGGCACATTTTAATTAAGGGGAGAAGTAAATAAGAGTAGAAAAGTTTGAAAAAGAGTGTGCCCAGATAGGGTAGCCTATGGAAAGGCCTGGAAATAGGGATGGGGTCAGTCACTCCAGGTAGAGCGGTGGCAGGTGGGGTTTGGGGGAGGGGTCTTATTGATCAATATGTAGGATTTGACTTCATTTCCTTTTTAAAAAATGCTTTTTCTCTCCTCCACTTTACTATATCTGTAATTCTCTATTCTGTAGTCTTTCTTTTTCAGCTTCTCCAAAAAGGAAATAAAGGCCTAATTTCCTCGAGAGGGTAGGTGGAGTAAGATGTGGGCATGAGGAATATGTGTCTCTCTACAGGGGACTTTGCCCATAACACATAAACACACCTTGTCCTCCCTCCCTGCTGTCAGCCTCCCATCTCATCACCATCTCTGCAGTTCTGCAAGTGTCTCCAAGTTCTGATTCTCTACAGGACACCATGGGGCTACTTGACTTGTTTCTCCTCTTGTGTCCTCTGCAGTCACTTAGGTAGTAAATTCCTCTACATTGCTATGGCAGTCCCCTCTCCGTAACCCATTTCTATTTTTTTTTTTTTTTTTTTTTGAGATGGAGTCTCACTCTGTCACCCAGGCTGGGGTGCAGTGGCATGATCTCAGCTCACTGCAACCTCTCCCTCCCAAGTTCAAGCAATTCTCCTGCCTCAGCCTCCTGAGTAACTGGGACTATAGGCGCATGCCACCATGCCCTGCTAATTTTTATGTTTTTTAGTAGAGACGGGGTTTCACCATACTGGCCAGGCTGGTTTCAAACTCCTGACCTCGTGATTCACCCACCTCTGCCTGACTCTGCCTCCCAAAGTGCTGGGATTACAGGCATGAGCCACCACACCCAGCCTCATTTTTATTTCCTATCCAGCATTTTCTATTCAGCAAACCTCTTTAGTGACATGCTGAAGTTTTCCTTCAGCTTTACTATTTATCAAAATCTACTGTTTGATGTTGGCTTTAGCCCTGGCTTTTGAAAAGTCAAAAAGCCAAACACCTACTTCAACATAATTTTTGTCACTACTACTGGGTTCCAAGATGGCCCAATAGGAACAGCTCTGGTCTGCAGCTCCCAGCATGATCAATGCAGAAGACGGGTGATTTCTGCATTTCCAACTGAGGTACGTGGTTCATCTCATTGGGACTGGTTGGACAGTGGATGCAGCCCACAGAGGGCAAGCTGAAGCAGGGCGAGGCATTGCCTCGTCTGGGAAGTGCAAGGGGTGGGGGGATTTCCCTTTCCTAGCCAAGCAAAGCTGTGACAGACTGTAGCTGGAAAAACGGGACACTCCAGCCCAAATACTGCACTTTGCCCACGGTCTTAGCAACCAGCAGACCATAAGATTCCCTCCTGTGCCTGGCTCGGCAGGTCCCATGCCCATGGAGTCTTGCTCACTGCTAGCACAGCAGTCTGAGGTCGACCTGCAAGGCTGTAGCTGGGCAGGGGGAGAGGCCTCCACCATTGTTGAGGCCTGAGTAGGTAAACAAAGTGGCCAGGAAGCTCAAACTGGGCAGAACCCACTGCAGCTCAGCAAGGTCTACTGCCTCTATAGACTCCACATCTGTGGGCAGGGCACAGCTGAACAAAAGGCAGCAGAAACTTCTGCAGACTTAAACGTCCTGGTCTGACAGCTCTGAAGAGAGCAGTGGTTCTCCCAGCATGGTGTTGAAGCTCTGAGAACAGACAGACTGCCTCCTCAAGAGTGTCCCTGACCCACATGTAGCCTAACTGGGAGACACCTCCCAGTAGCAGCCAACAGACACCACATACAGGCGGATGCCCCTCTGGGACGAAGCTTCCAGAGGAAGGATCAGGCAGCAATATTTGTTGTTCTGCAATGTTTGCTGTTCTGCATCTTGTGCTGGTGATAGCCAGGCAAACAGGGTCTGGGGTGGACTTCCAAAACACTCCAACAGACCTGCAGCTGAGGGACTGTTATAAGGAAAACTAACAAACAGAAAGGAATCGTGTCAACATCAAGAAAAAGGACATCCACACCAAAACCCCATCAGTAGGTCATCAACATCAAAGACCAAAGGTAGATAAAACCACAAAGACGGGGAGAAACCAGAGCAGAAAGGCTGAAAATTCTAAAAACCAGAGCACCTCTTCTCCTCCAAAGGATTGCAGCTCCTCGCCAGCAACAGAACAAAGCTGGATGGAGAATGACTTTGACGAGTTGACAGAAGTAGGCTTCAGAAGGTCGGTAATAACAAACTTCTCCAAGCTAAAGGAGCATGTTCTAACCCATCGCAAGGAAGCTGAAAACCTTGAAAAAAGGTTACAAGAATGGCTAACTAGAATAAACAGTGTAGAGAAGACCTTAAATGACCTGATGGAGATGAAAACCATGGCACAAGAACTTCGTGACATATGCACAAGCTTCAATAGCTGATTCAATCAAGTGTAAGAAAGGGTATCAGTGATTGAAGATCAGATTAATGAAATAAAGTGAGAAGACGAGTTTAGAGAAAAAAGAATAAAAAGAAATGAACAAAGCCTCCAATAAATATGGGACTATGTGAAGACACCAAATCTACATTTGATTGGTGCACCTGAAAGTGATGGGGAGAATGGAACCAAGTTGGAAAATACTTTTTAGGATATTATCCAGCAGAACTTCCCCAACCTAGCAGAGCAGGCCAACATTCAAATTCAGGAAATACAGAGAACACCACAAAGATACTCCTCAAGAAGAGCAACCCCAAGACACTTATTTGTCAGATTCACCAAGATTGAAATGAAGAAAAAAATGTTAAGGGCAGCCAGAGAGAAAGGTCAGTTACCCACAAAGGGAAGCCCATCAGACTAAGAGCAGATCTCTTGGCAGAAACCCTACAAGCCAGAAGAGAGTTGGGGCCAATATTCAACATTCTTAAAGAAAAGAATTTTCAACCCAGAATTTCATATTCAGCCAAACTAAGCTTCATAAGTGAAGGAGAAATAAAATCCTTTACAGACAAGCAAATGCTGAGAGGTTTTGTCACCACCAGGCCTGCCTTACAAGAGCTCCTGAAGGAAGCACTAAACACAGAAAGGAACAACTGGTACCAGCTATTGCAAATACATTCCAAATTGTAAAGACCACTGATGCTATGAAGAAACTGCATCAATTAATGGGCAAAATAACCAGCTAACATCATAATGAAAGGATCAAATTCACACATAACAATATTAACCTTAAATGTAAATAGGCTAAATGCCCCAATTAAAAGACAGACTGGCAAATTGGATAAAGAGTCAAGACCCATCAGAGTCCTGTATTCAGGAAACCCATCTCACATGCAGAGATACACATAGGCTCAAAATAAAGGGATGGAGGAAGATCTAAGCAAATGGAAAGCAAAAAAAAAAAAAAAAAAAAAAAAAAAAAAAAAAAAAAGCAGGGGTTACAATCCTAGCCTCTGATGAAACAGACTTTGAACCAACAAAGATCAAAAGAGACAAAGAAGGCCATTACACAATGGTAAAGGATCAATTCAACAAGATGAGCTAACTGTCCTAAATATATGTGCACCCAATACAGGAGCACCCATATTCATAAAGCAAGTCCTTAGAGACCTACAAAGAGACTTAGACTCCCACACAACAACAATGGGAGACGTTAATACCCCACTGTCAATATTAGACAGATCGAGACAGAAGGTTAAGAAGGATATCCAGGACTTGAACTCAGCTCTACACCAAGCAGACCTAATAGACATCTACAGAACTCTCCACCCCAAATCAACAGAATATACATTCTTCCCAGCACCACATCACACTTTTCTAAAATTGACCATATAATTGGAAGCAAAACACTCCTCAGCAAATGTAAAAGAACAGAAATCACAACAAACTGTCTCTCAGACCACAGTGCAATCAAATTACAACTCAGGATTAAGAAACTCACTCAAAACTGCACAGCTACATGGAAACTGAACAACCTGCTCCTGAATGAATACTGGATGACAGCAGAAATAAAGATGTTCCTTGAAACATTTTTCCACTGTGTTTGAGAACAAAGACACAACGTACCAGAATTTCTGAGACACATTTAAAGCAGTGTGTAGAAGGAAATTTATAGCACTAAACGCCCACAAGAGAAAGCAGCAAAGATCTAAAATCGACACCCTAACATCACAATTAAAAGAACTAGAGAAGCAAGAGCAAACATATTCAAAAGCTACCAGAAGGCAAGAAATAACTAAGATCAGAGCAGAACTGAAGGAGATAGAGACACAAAAAACCCTTCAAAAAATCAATGAATCCAGGAGCTGGTTTTTTGAAAAGATCAATAAAATTGATAGACCGCCAGCAAGACTAACAAAGAAGAAAAGACAGAAGAATCAAACAGACGCAATAAAAAATGATAAAGGGGATATCACCACCGATCCCACATAAATACAAACTACCATCAGAGAATACTATAAACACCTCTATGCAAATAAACTAGAAAATCCAGAAGAAATGGATAAATTCCTGGATACACACATCCTCCCAAGACTAAACCAGGAAGAAGTTGAATCTCTGAATAGATCAATAACAGGCTCTGAAATTGAGGCAATAATTAATAGCTTACCAAACAAAAAAAGTCCAGGACCAGACAGATTCACAGCCAAATTCTACCAGAGGTACAAAGAGGAGCTGGTACCATTCCTTCTGAAACTATTCCAATCAATAGAAAAAGAGGGAATCCTCCCTAACTCATTTTATGAGGCCAGCATCATCCTGATACCAAAGCCTGGCAGAGACACAACAAAAAAAAGAGAATTTTAGACCAATATCCCTGATGAACATCAATGCAAAAATATTCAATAAAATACTGGCAATAATCCATCACATAAACAGAACTAATGACAAAATCCAAGATTATCTCAATAGATGCAGAAAAGGCCTTTGATAAAATTCAATAGCCCTTCATGCTAAAATCTCTCAATAAACTAGGTATCGATGGAACGTATCTCAAAATAATAAGAACTATTTATGACAAACCCACAGCCATTATCATACTGAATGGGCAAAAATTGGAAGCAATCCCTTTGAAAATCGGCACTAGACAAGGATGCCCACTCTCACCATTCCTATTCAACATAGTGTTGGAAATTCTGGCCAGGGCAATCAGGCAAGAGAAAGAAATAAAGGGTATTCAATTAGGAAAAGAGGAAGTCAAACTGTCCCTGTTTGCAGATGACATGATTGTATATTTAGAAAACCCCATAGTCTCAGCCCAAAATCTCCTTAAGCTGATAAGCAACTTCAGCAGAGTCTCAGGATACAAAATCAATGTGCAAAAATCACAAGCATTCCTACACACCAATAACAAACAGAGAGCCAAATCATGAGTGAACTCCCATTCACAATTGCTTCAAAGAGAATAAAATACCTAGGAATCCAACTTACAAGGGATGTGAAGGACCTCTTCAAGAACTACAAGCCACTGCTCAACAAAATCAAAGAGGACACAAACAAATGGAAGAACATTCCATGCTCACGGATAGGAAGAATCAATATCATAAAAATGGCCATACTTCCAGGGTAATTTATAGACTCAATGCTATCCCCATCAAGCTATCAATGACTTTCTTCACAGAATTGGAAAAAACTATTTTAAAGTTCATATGGAACCAAAAAAGAGCCGGCATTGCCAAGACAATCCTAAGCAAAAATAACAAAGCTGGAGGCATCACACTACCTGACTTCAAACTACAAGTCTACAGTAACCAAAACAGCATGGTACTGGTACCAAAACAGAGATATAGACCAATGGAACAGAACAGAGCCCTCAGAAATAATGCCACACATCTACAACCATCTGATCTTTGACAAACCTGACAAAAACAAGAAATGGGGAAAAGATTCCCTATTTAATAAATGGTGCTGGGAAAACTAGTTAGCCATATGTAGAAAGCTGAAACTGGATCCCTTCCTTACATCTTATACAAAAATTAATTCAAGATGGATTAAAGACTTAAATATTAGACCCAAAACCATAAAAACCCTAGAAGAAAACCTAGGCAATACCATTCAGGACATAGGCATGGACAAGGACTTCATGATTAAAACACCAAAAGCAATGGCAACAAAAGCCAAAACAGACAATTGGGATCTAATTAAACTAAAGAGCTTCTGCACAGCAAAAGAAACTACCATCAGAGTGAACAGGCAACCTACAGAATGGGAGAAAATTTTTGCAATCTACCTATCTGACAAAGGGCTAATATCCAGAATCTACAAAGAACTCAAACAAATTTACAAGAAAAAAACAAACAACTCCATCAAAAAGTGGGCAAAGGATATGGACAGACTTTTCTCAAAAGAAGACATTTATGCAGCCAACAGACACATGAAAAAATGCTCATCATCACTGGTCATCAGAGAAATGCAAATCAAAACCACAATGAGATATCATCGCATGCCTGCTAGAATGGCAATCATTAAAAAATCAGGAAACAACAGATGCTGGAGAGGATGTGGAGAAATAGGAACGCTTTTACACTGTTGGTGGGAGTGTAAATTAGTTCAACCATTGTGGAAGACAGTGTGGGGATTCCTCAAGGATCTAGAACTAGAAATACCATTTGACCCAGCGATCCAATTACTTGGTATATAACCAAAGGATTATAAATCATGCTGCTATAAAGACACATGCACACGTATGTTTATTGTGGCACTTTTCACAATAGCAAAGACTTGCAACCAACTCGAATGTCCATCAATGATAGACTGGATTAAGAAAATGTGGAACATATACACCATGGAATACTATGCAGCCATAAAAAAGGATGAGTTCATGTCCTTTGCAGGGACATGGATGAAGCTGGAAACCATCATTCTCAGCAAACTATCACAAAGACAGAAAAGCAAACACCGCATGTTCTCACTCATTGGTGGGAGCTGAAAGATGAGAACACTTGGACACAGGGCAGGAAACATCACACACCGGGGCCTGTCTGGAGGTAGGGGGCTGAGGGATAACATTAGAATAAATACCTAATGTAAATAACGAGTTGATGAGTGCAGCAAACCAACATGGCACATGTATACCTAAGTAGCAAACCTGCACGTTGTGCACATGTACCCTAGAACTTAAAATATAATTTAAAAAAAAAAAGAAAGAAGGAAAGAAAGAAAGAAAAAAAAATTTTGTCACCTCTAGACCTATGCAGGATCAATGATCAGGTGGCTAAGTTATCATCATATCAAATGAGGTTACCAATCTTAGTAATATTAACAAAATTAGTTATTAAGACTGATTGTTAATATCTAATATTCACTTTAAAACATGTAGATGTAACTTGAAGTAGAAGATTTCCTTACGTACTTTGTAGAGTGAAATTCTCTCAGTTATATATTGAAATTCTCTGAGTTCTCCCAATTTCTCAAAAGGAAAATGCTGCAACAATTCATAATTATGAAAAGTTAAATAAAAAGGAAAACAGATTAATGCTAATTAAAATATTAAGAGAAGATGCATTCACCGGAGAGTTTTATGAAATAAAATATATCCTTCTAAAACAACAAATATTTATGAGACCTTAAATAATAATGCAAGGTAGAATAATAGAAATTTACTTATAATTCTCATCTTTGTAGAATTGTTTGGTACGCAGACATTGGTAACATTAGGCAAAATAACTTGTAGGAATTATATTTAATTTTTAGTTATTTCACTCCATTTAGGCTGAGTCTTTTAAGAAAATGTTTTATTTTCAAATTGCTCACATCTTGTGAAAATGAGAAGGAAGCAGAATGTCAACTTTGTCACCTAAAATGTTTACAAGAAAATAAAAACAATGAATCCTGGACTACAGCATGCATAATAAAACATCTTTTATCCAATCATAATAAAAAGTAAAAAACTTGAAGAAAACGTGTTGGGAACAGGCCCCCAAGTCTGGCCATAAACTGGCCCCCAAACTGGCCACAAACAAAATCTCTGCAGCACTGTGACATGTTCATGTTGGCCATGACACCCACGCTGAAGGTTGTGTTTACCAGAATGAGGGCAAGGAACACCTGGCCCACCTAGGCTGGAAAACCACTTAAAGGTATTCCTAAACCACAAACAATAGCATGAGGGATCTGTGCCTTAAGGACATGTTCCTGCTGCAGATAACTAGCCAGACCCATCCCTTTATTTCAGCCCATCCCTTTATTTCCCATAAGGAATACTTTTAGTTAATCTATAATCTATAGAAACAATGTTTATCACTGGCTTGCTGTCATTAAATACGTGGGTAAATCTCTGTTCAAGGCTCTCAGCTCTGAAGGCTGTGAGACCTGATTTCCCACTCCACACACGATATTTCTGTGTGTGTGTCTTTAATTCCTCTAGTGCCTCTGGGTTAAGGTCTCCACAACTGAGCTGGTCTTGGTAAGCAGCGCCCAACATGGAGGCTCGAACCCAGGTTGAAGGGTCACCAGAGTGATGGCTGGAAAACCTGGAACTAAGCTGGAGGACACCGGAGTACTCTTAAGCAATGCCCGTGTTGAGTAAAAAGGGTAGCTCAGAAGCATCAGGGTAACAATGAGACAAGTGTGGGCTCTGGTTCATTCCACCTTGGAACCTTTTCACACTAATGATGAGGAGGAAGGAAAGTATAACAAAGTAACAGACCAGGTTTGTTTGCCAGCTAAAGCTAAAGCAGCAAAGGAGGAAGAGGTTCATCCCTACCCTTCTGCACCCCCTCCTTATTTTGAAGAAAAAGAGTGGCCTGACCCTCCAGATCTTTCTTTTCTGGAGGACCCTGGGAGAAAAGTAGTTGCCCCAGTGACTGTTCAAGCAGCTCCTTGAGTGACCGCTGTCAGTTCTATTCTGGCAGGAATTCAGCAAGCTAGACGAGAGGGTGATATAGAAGCTTGGCAGTTTTCTGTTAGAATACACCCCCCCCCCCCCAGATCAACATTTGAGCCTTTTCCTTTTAAATTCAGGAAACACCATGAGGGGCCCATCCTGGGCCCCATTCCAAACCAGGGCATTTCTGGCTCAGGCCATTCCTTCACCCCTGTACAATGTCTGTCCCCCACCACAGCTGGTAGTGCCACAGTAGATTTATGCTGCACAAAAGCTGTGAGCCTTCTGCCTGGGGAACCCCTGCAAAATGTCCCAACAGGAGTCTGTGAACCCTTGCCAGTGGGGATGATAGGATTGCTTCTAGGAAGGTCTAGTTTAAATGTAAAAGGAGTACAAATACATACAGGAGTAATTGATTCAGATTACAATGGTGAAATTCAAATTGTTGTATCTACATCTGTTCCCTGGAAAGCAGAGCAGGAGAGTGTACAGCACAGCTCCTGATTGTGCCATATGTGGAAATGGGGAAAAGTGAAATTAAACAGACAAGAGGATTTTGAAGCCCAAATAAACAAGGCAAAGTGGCTTATTGGGTGAATCAAATTACTGATAAACGTCCTACCTGTGAAATAACTATTCAGGGAAAGAAATTTAAAGGTTTGGTAGATACAGGAGTGGACATTTCAATCATTTCCCTACAGCACTGACTGTCCATGTGGCCAATTCAACTCACTCAATTTAACATAGTTGGAGTTGGTAATGCCCCTGAAGTATATCAAAGTAGTTATATTTTGCATTGTGAAGGGCCCGATGGACAACCTGGAACTATTCAACCAATTATAACTTCTGTACCTATAAATGTATGGGGAAGAGATTTATTACAACAATGGGGAGCACAAGTTCTAATTCCAGAACAATTATATACCCCACAAAGTCAACATATGATGCATGAAATGGGGTATGTCCCTGGTATGGGACTAGGAAAAAATTTGCAAGGTTTGAAGGAACCGCTTCAAGCAGAAAGACAAAGTTCCCACAAAGGTTTAGGATATTGACAGGTGACAACATGCGGCCGGCCCTCGCTCCCTCTCAGTGCCTCCTTGGCCTTGGCGTCCATTCTGGCCATGCTTAAGGAGGCCTTCAGCCCGCCACTGCACTGTGGGAGCCCCTCTCTGGGCTGGCTGAGGCTGGAGCCAGCTCCCTCTGCTTGCAGGGAGGTGTGGAGGGAGAGGCGTGGGTGGGAACCGGGGCTGTGCGTGGCGCTTTTGGGCCAGCGTGAGGTCCAGGTGGGCGTGGGCTCAGTGGGCCCTGCACTCAGAGCAACCAGCCAGCGCTGCCGGCCCTGGGCAGTGAGGGGCTTAGCACCTGGGCTTAGCAGCTGCAGAGGGTGTGCCAGGTCCCTCAGCACTGCCAGCCCACCCGCGCCATGTTCGAATTCTTGCCAGGCCTCAGCCACCTCCCCACAGGGCAGGGCTCAGGACTTGCAGCCTGCCATGCCTGAGCCCCCCTGTGGTGGGCTCCCAAGTGTCCCAAGCCTCCCTGATGGGCACCGCCCCCTGCTCCACAGTGCCCGGTCCCATCGACTGCCCAAGGGCTGAGGAGTGCAGGCGTGCAGCACGGGATTGGCAGGCAGCTCCATCCGCAGCCCTGGGGTGGGATCCACTAGGAGAAGCCAGCTGGGTTCCTGAGTTGGGTGGGGACTTGGAGAACTTTTATGTCTAGCTGGAGGATTGTAAATGCACCAATCAGCACTCCGTGTCTAGCTTGGGGTTTGTAAACGTACCAATCAGTGCTGTGTCTTGCTAATCTGGTGGGGACTTGGAGAACTTTTATGTCTAGCTAGAGGATTGTAAATGCATCAATCAGCACTCTGAGTTTAGCTCAGGGATTGTAAATCAACCAATCAGCACTCTGTGTCTAGCTAAAAGTTTGTGAATGCACCAATCAGTGCTCTGTGTCTAGCTAATCTGGTGGGGACTTGGAGAGCTTTTATGTCTAGCTGGAGGATTGTAAATGCCCCAGTCAGCACTCTGTGTCTAGCTCAGGGTTCGTGGATGCACCAATCAACACTCTGTATCTAACTAATTGGGTGGGGACTTGGAGAACTTTTATGTCTAGCTGGAGGACTGCAAATGCACCAGTCAGCACTCTGTATCTAGCTCAAGATTTGTAAACACACCAATCAGCACTCTGTATCTAGCTCAAGGTTTGTAAAGGCACCAATCAGCACCCTGTGTCTAGCTCAAGGTTTGTAAATGCACCAATCAGTGCTCTGTGTCTAGCTAATCTAGTGGGGACTTGGAGAACTTTTACATCTAGCTAGAGGATTGTAAATACACCAATCAGCACTCTGTGTCTAGCTCAGGGATTGTAAATGCACCAATCACCACCCTGTCAAAATGGATCAATCAGCTCTCTGTAAAATGGACCAATCAGCTCTCTCTAAAATGGACCAATCAGCTCTCTGTAAAATGGGCCAATCAGCAGGATGTGGGTGGGGTCAGATAAGGGAATAAAAGCAGGCTGCCCGAGCCAGCAGCGGCAACCCGCTCGGGTCCCCTTCCACACTGTGGAAGCTTTGTTCTTTCACTCTTTGCAATAAATCTTGCTGCTGCCCACTCTTTGGGTCTGCACTGCCTTTATGAGCTGTAACACTCACGACGAAGGTCTGCAGCTTCACTCCTGAGGCCAGCCAGCAAGACCATGAACCCACTGGGAGGAATGAACAACTCTGGATGGGAGGAATGAACAACTCCAGACATGCTGCCTTAAGAGCTGCAACACTCACTGTGAAGGTCTGCAGCTTCACTCCTGAAGCCAGCGAGACCATTAACCCATAAGAAGGAACAAACTCCGGACACACCACCTTTAAGAACTGTAACACTCACCACGAGGGTCCACGTCTTCATTCTTGAAGTCAGTGAGACCAAGAACCCACCAATTCCGGACACAATATCATTTTTGATGGTGGCCATTGTTAAGCCTGTAGAACCTATACCTTTAAAATGGTTAACAGATAAGCCAATTTGGATAGAACAATGGCCACTAAGTAAAGAGAAACTGGAGGCTTTAGAGGACTTCGTTAATGAACAATTAGAAAAAGGACACATAGCTCCAACATTTTCCCCTTGGAATTCTCTAGTTTTCATAATTAAGAAAAAATCAGGTAAATGGAGAATGTTAACTGATTTAAGAGCCATTAATTCAGTTATACCACCTATGGGAGCATTACAGCCATAGCATCTCCTGCTATGATTCTAAAAAATTGGCCTTTAATAGTCATAGATTTAAAAGACTGTTTCTTTACTATCCCCTTAGCTGAGCAAAACTGAACGGTTTACATTTACAATTCCTGCAGTAAACAACCTGCAGCCTGCTAAGCATTTTCATTGGAAAGGTTGCCACAAGGCATGTTAAACAGTCCAACAATTTGCCAGACTTATGTAGGGCAAGCAATTGAACCTACTCATAAAAAATTTTCATGTGTTACATTATTCATTATATAGACAATATACTTTGTGCTGCCCCCACTTGAGAAATATTACTCCAATGTTATGATCACATGCAAAATTTGATTTCTCATGCTGGTTTAATTATAGCTCCTGACAAAATTCATACTACTAATCCTTACTCCTAATTGGGGACCTTAGTTAATGACATTACCATTGTGCCACAGAAAGTAGCCATATATAGGGATCAGTTGAAAGTGTTAAATGACTTTCAAAAATTACTAGGGGACATTAATTGGATACCACCTGCTCTAGGTATTCCTACCTCTGCCATGAGTAATCTATTTTCTATCCTTAAAGGAGATCCTAGTCTCACTAGCCCTCGACAATTAATAAAAGAAGCTGAAGTAGAGCTGCAGCTAATCAAAAAGCAAGTCCGTAAAGCTCAAATAAATACAATAGATCCAGAGAAGACTCTAGATTTGCTAATTTTTCCAACTCAGCATTCACCTTCTGGTGTTACTGTCCAAGAGCAGGACTTAGTAAAGTAGCTTTTTCTTCCACATACTAATTCACAGACTCTAACTCCTTGTTTGGATCAAATTGCTACTATGATAGAACATAGGAGAACTCAGATTGTTAAATTACATGAATATGATCCTGGAAAAGTTATTGTCACTCTCACAAAGGCACAAATACAGCAAGCTTTTGTAAATAGTCTTACTTGGCAAACCCGTTTAGCTCACTTTGTGGGTATTCTCGATAATCATTTTCCTAAAATGAAACTGTTTCAATTTTTGAAATTAACTAGTTGGATTCTCCCTAAAATAACTAAATTTAAACCAATTGAAGGTGCTGGGAATGTTTTTACACTTGGGTCTAGTAATGGTAAAGCTTCTTATTCCGGATGAAAAGGTAAAGTTTTCCAGACACCCTATACTTCAGCTCAAAAAGCGAAGCTTGTAGCTGTAATTGAGGTATTGACTGCTTTTAATATGCCTATTAATGTGATTTCTGATATTTCATAGATGGTTCATGCCACACAATTAATTGAAAATGCTCAGTTACGATTTCATACAGATGAACAACTGATGACTTTATTTACCCAATTGCAAACAGCAGTTAGGAGTAGAATGCACCCTTTATACATCACTCACATTAGGGCTCATACACCCCTTCCAGAACCTTTAACTGAAGGGAATCAAATGGCTGATCGCCTAGTTGCTAATGCAATATCTAATGCTAGACAAGTTCACAATTTAACCCATGTTAATGCCTCTGGTCTCAAATGCAGATACAGCATTACCTGGAAAGAAGCTAAAGCTATTATCCAGTGATGCCCAACTTGCCAAATGGTGCATTCCTCATCTTTTACTGGAGGAGTTAATCCTCAAGGACTGGAACCTAATTCTCGTTGGCAAATGGATGTCACACATGTTCCATCATTTGGGAGACTAGCTTATGTACATGTATGTGTGGACACCTTTTCTCACTTCATCTGGGCTACATGCCAATCAGGAGAGTCTTATGGCTGTGTTAAATGTTACCTTTTGCAGTGTTTTGCTGTGATGGGCATTCCAGCTTCTATTAAAACAGATAATGCCCCAGGCTATACTAGCCAAGCTTTAGCTACATTTTGCTCTATATGAAATATTAAACACATTACTGGTATCCCATATAATTCTCAAGGAGAAGCCATAGTGGAAAGAATGAATCTCTCTGAAACAGCAGTTGCAAAAGCAGAGGGGGGAAAACAGGGACTAAGGGACACCCCATATGCAATTGAATCTAGCATTATTAACTTTAAATTTTTTGAGCCTGCCTAAAGGCCAGATATTATCAGCAGCTGAACAGCATCTACAGAAACCAGCTGCAAAGACAGAAGCAGAACAACTGGTTTGGTGGAGAGATCCAATAACAAAAAGTTGGGAAATATGTAAAATAATAACTTGGGGTAGAGGTTATGCTTGTGTTTCTCCAGGACTGAATCAATAGCCGATTTGGATACCATCAAGATATCTGAAACCTTATCAGGAGCCAGATGCCAAGGAAGAGATTTTGGGAGGATCCCAAGGACCCCTCAGTTGCAGCCATGTTGAGACTGATGCAGGAGGACCCCAACTGTCACAAGCAACACCTGTCAAACACAGCCACCTACTTGGGGACAGATCAAGAAGCTGTCACAGATGGCAGAAGAAAACCTGAGGAAAGCGGGACAACCAGTCACAATGAGTAATTTAATGGTAGCTATGATACTGGTGATCACCATTGCTATGAGTATTCCTTCAACAAGGACTGACACAGAGAACAATCATACTTATTGGGCACATTTGTCAATCTTGGCTGGCAATAATGCCTGGATGTAATCACTCTATGACACAGTTACACATGCTTTCTGATATCAGCATTTATCATAATGAATCTGCTCCTACAATTAAGGCAAACTGCCCTCAAAAACCTATTTGTAAACAGGATTGGACCTGGCCAGAAAAAATGAATGTACTTGTTAAGGAAGATTGCATTGCAGAACAGGCAGAGGTGCTGCGCAATGATTCCTATGGAATCATTATTGATTGGCCCCCTAAGGGGATGTTTAGCTTGAATTGCACCTCTCAGTCGGCATGCCACAGCCACACCGTGTTCAGCTGGTCTGAACAAAATGGTCAGATGGTAGAAATGGTAAGAAGTATGGCAAGAGTTCCTATTATCTGGAAACATGGCAGTACAGTGGCACCTCAACCTCAAATGATATGGCCAGTTGTAGGAGCTAAACATAAGGCTTTGTGGAAACTATTAATAGCTCTTAACAAGATCAAAATTTGGGAAAGAATAAAAAAGCATCTATAAGGACACTCTACAAACTTGTCTTTGGATATTGCAAAATTAAAAGAACAAATATTTAAAGCATCTCAGGCACACCTGACCTTAATGTCAGGAACTGGAGTGCTTGAAGGAGCTGCAGACAGATTAGCAGCTAGTAACCCATTGAAATGGATAAAAACACTGGGAAGCTCTGTGATTTCAATGATGATTGTGCTTTTAATCTGTGTTGTTTGTCTTTGTATAGTCTGCAGATGCAGATCCACACTCCTGTGACAAAGCTGCCTTTGTTTCACTTTGCAAAACAAAGAAGGGGGACATGCTGGGAGCAGGACCCCAAAACTGGAAACAAGCAAAATCTCTGCAGCACTGTGACAGGTTCATGGTGTCCATGACAACCACATTGAAGGTTGTGGGTTTATCGGAATTAAGACAAGGAACACCTGGCCCACCCAGGCCAGAAAACCACTTAAAGGTGTTCTTAAACCACAAACAATAGCATGAGCAATCTGTGCCTTAAGGACATGTTCCTGCTGCAGATAAATAGCCACACCCATCCCTTTATTTCCCATAAGGAATACTTTCAGTTAGTCTATAATCTATGGAAACAATGTTTATCACTGGCTTGCTGTCAATAAATATGTGGGTAAATCTCTGTTCAAGGCTCTCAGCTCTGAAGGCTGTGAGGCCCCTGATTTCCCACTCCACACACAATATTTCTGTGTGTGTGTCTTTAGCTTCTCTAGTGCCACTGGGTTAGGGTCTCCATGACTGAGCTGGTCTCAGCAAAATGGAGAAATGTTTCTACTAATTAACAATTTTTCTAGTAATAAAACTTCAAATAGCAAAACTTCCAAATCTCCTTAATTAAAACACTTTATAATTTTGAGTCTCTTATAGAGGCCAAAAATTTAAATGGAAACTTGTCAAAATAATTGCCATGTACTGCCAACTATTTGCAATAATCAAACAGAAAACATTTTTTGGCAATTTGCTGAAGCTATGAATTCTAGGTACAAAAGTTCCTCACAGAAAAACTAGGCATATCAGTTGGTGAATTTTGGTCCTACTAGGCTGGCAATGTTACACAGAAAAGCAGTATTAAGACTTGTTTTTGTTCAAACAGCTTCTTTAACATTGCACAGCTTTCATTCCATCTTAAATCAACAAGTTGAATGAGTAGACAAGGCAGTTCCAAATCCCTTGTATTCAGGTAGATTGAGATGAAGATTAAGGCAAGGGGCCCACTCTCTCACTGTCTACTTCTAATACTTCTGTTACCTTACTCTGTGCTATCATCACTGTCTGAACACACAACCAAGCCTATGGCCAACACATCAGATGCTTGTGGCTCCCAAATAATCAATAGCCTCCATCATGGCTGTCATATTGTCATTGACAATTGCCTAACACTTTTCTTCACTGACTTTCCATTATGTAAATATCTCCTCAGTTAGGTTTAATGTGATTTTAACTGTGTGAGACCCAGAAGGCTCTTGGCAGCCAAGTGAAATAGAAGCAGAGGTCAACAATAATCAACATTAATTCACCAAGTGGTCACACATGACATGTCCAAATGTCAAATACAAAATACAGAATTAGGACATTGTAAACAACATGGAGAAGATTATAATTCAGGAAGTTTTTTTTCTGTCAATCTAGCAGATCAAAAATCCAACAGTTGTTTGCAGAAAAAGCAGCTTGTATCCTGGAGTATGCTATAGAGTATACCAAACTGATGTGCCTTGAGAGGCCAAGTATCTTTTATATGTGACCTGTTGTAAAGCTCCATCTATCCTTCTATTCCAGGATAGATGCTGGAATTAGAGTGCATACAATAAAAATTGAGATACAAATGGAAATTTAAAGAGAAATTTTCTAACTTTCAAAGCCAATTGCATCTATCCATTGCCACATTTCTAGATCAGGATATAAGTACAAAACTTTTGATAAAGTTTTGATAAACCATCCAATGCCTATCTGCCCACCTATCCCCCAAAAAAAGAAAAAGAAAGAAGGGCAGTGATATTAAGTCTCTTTCTAAATATATTTAAGCCTCGTTTAAAGGAAGTGGTTTGCCTCAATGAAATTGCATTATCACCATCATTTAAGTTTTAATTGCAGAAACCAAAGATGAGTTAACTCTCTGCTTTAGGCAGTTACTATTAGAGAGGGAAAAAGACTTGGTAACTTAGTGTTAACATTACAATCAGTAATTATCCCACACTGGCAGAGCTAGCCAAAATGCTTCTACTACTACTACTACTACTACTACTACTACTACTACTACTACTAAAATCTTCCACTTGGCCAGGCACGGTGGCTCACACCTGTAATCCCAGCACTTTGGGAGGCCAAGGTGGGTGGATCATGAGGTCAGGAGATCAAGACCACCCTGGCTAACATGGTGTAACCCCGTCTCTATTAAAAATACAAAAAATTAGCCAGGTGTGGTGGCGGGTGCCTGTAGTCCCAGCTACTGGAGAGGCTGAGGCAGGAGAATGGTGTGAACCCAGGAGGCGGAGCTTGCAGTGAGCCGAGATCACACCACTGCCCTCCAGCCAGGGTGACAGAGTGAGACTCTGTCTCTACAACAACAAAAAAAAATCTTCCACTCTACTCACCTCAGTTAAAACCAGCAATGCCTTTAGTATTGCCAATGTGCAATATAGTGACCCTTGGAGCATTCCACAGCTGACAGTGCTGAGAAAATTGGGTTTCTGCTCAACAATGTCAAATTTCAAATATTTGACTACTAAAATTTTTCATAATAAAATTGAAAATTGAAATATTAACTGAAACTTTACACTTATTCTCATATCTCAGAAATTTAATCAAATGATGGTGCTATTTGGTGTTAGCCTTGGTTTTGGACAAACATTGATTTTAACATTCACCCATTTAGCATTTGGCCAAAACATGTATGTGCTGCATCTCCATTTTCCTTCTGTCTTCATGGACTTTAATTTCTCAATTCCTTTACTGTTCTTTTAGTGAGATTTTTGTTTGTTTGTTTTTGAGATGGAGTCTTGCTCTGTCACCCAGGCTGGAGTGCGGTGGCATGATCTCAGCTCACTGCAACCTCTGCCTCCTGGGTTTAAGCTATTCTCCTGCCTCAGCCTCCTGAGTAGCTGGGACTACGGGTGTGCACCACTATGTGTGGCTAATTTTTGTATTTTTAGTAGAGACGGGGTTACACCATGTTGGCCAGGCTGGTCTTGAACTCCTGACCTCACGTGATCCGCCCACCTTAGAGTCCCAAAGTGCTGAGATTACAGGTATGAGCAACCATGCCCAGACTTTTTAGTGAGATTTCATAAGGGAGCAAAAGTAAATACACATGATTAATTAGTATATACTATGTTTTTAAACCTTGTTGGTTTCCTTAAGAATATGATTGTCTTAGTCAGTTTGGCTTCCTATAACAAATGTACCATAGACTGAGTGGCTTAAACCATAAACATTCATTTCTCACAGTTCTGGAGGCTTGGAAGTTCAAGCTCAAGGTACTGGCAGATGTGGTGTCTGGAGAGAGCCTGCTTCCTGATTTGCAGAAGGTCATCTTCTGGTTGTATCCTCACATGGCAGAGAAAAACAAGCTCTTCTGTCTCATCTTCTAGGGGCACAAGTCCTATTCACGAGGGCTCCATCCTTACGACCTAATTACCTCCCAGAGGTAATTACCTATGACCTAGTTACCTCTTACTACCATCACATTGAGGATTTCAATATATGAATTTGGGGGAACACAAACATTCAGTCAACAACAATAATCATCATAATAGTTGACACATACACAGTGCCTCTTATGTTCCAGAAACTCTTTTGCATGCTTTACCTATAATAACTCTTCTAACACCTCAAGTGAGGAACTTGCCCACCTTAGCTCAGCTAGTAAGTAGAGCCAGGACTCAAACAAAGCATTTTGGCTCTGGAGTCTATACTTTTAATCATTAGACTACTGCTTCCTGAACAGCTTAATTTGTCATTAAATAATTTTCTACAATACTATTTTAGGTACTCTTTAGCATTCTATTACATGGATAAATAACTTATATTAAAAATCTCTCGTAATTGAACATCTAGGTCATTTCTATTTTTCCTCTATTAAGCAATGTTGACCTGAATGAAATTATAGCCTGTCTTTGTGCCACCTGATGATTTTCTTGCATTAAGGATGTGTATTTTAACCACAGCCACTTAGAAGTGTTATAAAATGTAGTACAACCCACCCCGCTGCCTTCAGAACAGGACGCAAACAAGGCTGTAGCTCTGTCTTGCTTGGACAATTCTCTACTGGCACCTACCAAGCTGCGAAGCTTCCTTCCTGTCTTGAGGTTTCACAGCCAGTTGCTTTAAATTCCCCCCAGTGTTCCTTGCCTTGCAGTGCTCACTACTAAGCAACAAACACATACACACAGAGACCACTTGTCTTAGTTCCACAAACTTCTCATATAGCAACGAGAGATGCTGGAGGTAATAAACTAGGTAACTTACAGGTTCAAAGCCTCACATTACTAACTGATGCTGGCTTCAAGCATTCTCGCCTTTCCTGAGCACTTCCTTATTCATCTCTTTCAGATGCTTTTCCATTTCCTGTGCTTTAACTGACACTCTTTTCTATTAGGTTAAACCACAGGAAACTGCTGATACTCAGCCACTTTTAACCTACAAAAATTAAAATTACACCTGGTTCAACCTAACGAGGTTGAGATGTTTATTTACCCATTGGGGAACATGGTAACAGTTTGTGATACTGTAAAGCTGTTCAAAACCTGTGAAAACCCTTCCTATCCTTGAGGAATTATTTTAAATCTTCATCTCTATGGAGTAAATGCCAGAAACTCACCTTCCCAGGCTGCTCCAATCAGATACAAGATTTTCTACTCAGAAAAGAATGACAGGAAGAGCTATTCTGCCATTGAGGAGAGACAGGAATAGGGGTGGGAACTGGGCATGGGAGGGTTCTTGACCTGGGTGGTGGTTATATGGAAGCGTGGTCTGTGATAATTCTTTTCTATTCTGTGTTATTCTGGAACTTTAAAAAAGTTTTGGAAACTCAGTTGTGGCAAGGGTAGGGGTGAGACATTGAGCTACCAGTCTTGGTGGTGTCCGGATTCCTGTGTCAGCAGTGTGAGCTGCAGGATCTGTATCCAATGCTGCCCTCTGGCCTCCATGGAGCAGTCCTGTAGGCAATTTTGGCATAGTTCTTGGTGTACAGTCTCCATCACTGTTTCTCTGGCTCTCCTGGAGTTTCTTTAAGATACCAAATATCCTTTAGTAAACATTCTTTCTGCTCTAATTAGCTATAGAAGGTTCTTATTTTGTTGTTGTTGTTTTGTTTTGTTTTAAGAAATAGGATCTCACTGTGTCACTCAGGCTGGAGAGCAGAGGTGCAATCAGAGCTCACTATAGCCTTGAACTCCTGGGCTCAAGTGATTCTCCCACTTCAGCCTCCTAAAGTGCTGGGATTACAGGCATGAGCCACTGCACCCTGCCGGGTTCTTGTTCATGACTAGCATCTAAGAGCCCTAGCTGATAAAAGGGAATTCAGGTTCTGTTCAGGCTAGACCTTCACCTGACACTGAAAATGCTGTCCTCAAGGCCACCTGAATGCTGGCTCTGTGGAGTACTCTATGGTACTCCAGACTCTAGTGCTCCCTCTGTTCTACAATCAGAGCATGCAGGGCTGAAAGTATATACAGCATGCCCTGCTGCTTTCAGCTGACTATTATTAGCTTCTCTAAAAGTCAATTTTTTACATTAATCTCCACTACTTTCTCCTCTATAAACCCCTGTTCCCCAAGAAATACAAGCACACACACACAACCACCAGCAGCAGCAGCAGCAGCACCCCCATCACCACCACCACAACCTGGAATACCCAGGACTATGAAAAAGTCATGACACACCACGTCTCACTAGAATGTAATCTTCATGGGCAGACTTGTCTATTTTGTTCAGTTCTCTATCACAGCATGTAGAATGGTGCCAGGCAGATATTAGGTACCCAGTAAATATCTGTTAAATGAATGAATATCTTGCCCTAAAATACATCTATCCATTTGTTTATCAAACGAAGAACAAATGCTTATGGAGACATGGGCTCAGGCACTGGTGTGTGTATTAGGAAAGTCATGGCTCTGCCCATGAGCAGTTCGAAATGAGTTAACGTTACTAATGACCCCCACAATATATGTTTTGTCACTTCTGTGAGCCCAATTGGAGCTTCTTTTTAGTGAAGCTCTGGGGCAGTACAGGTAGGAGGTCTTCATAACCAAGAGGCAATGCCTTCCGGCTCTTCATCTCAGTTTTAGGCCAAAGAGAAGGGAGCCAGTGACAACATGAACTGGTAAATGAGATATCCAGGTATGTGCCCACCACTTTTGTCCAGGCTAATTCCCTGGCTAGATGGCTGGGAACCAACTTCAACCATGAATAAGGCAATATCAGGTGGCTAGACAGCAATCAGGTCCTCTCACTCCCCAGTGGCTCTTCTTCAGGCTTAGAATTAATCCCCAACTCCTCACCCTTTTACTAGCATAGCTATGAAGTTCCTAAACATGTTTAACAAAAAAATTTATAGATTAGAAAGACCAGAGAGAACTTGGCTCAAGATATTTTTCTGCATATAGTCAGAATATAAAAGCTCTGGGTGTATTCCTATTTGATTTTTAAAAAGATCAGCTTAATCAAACTGACAGTAGCTGAGAGAGAGAAAAAAAAGAGTATGAGATACTTAATAATGTGAGATATATTTAATAACTATCTGGCAGAAAAGTAAGTCTTATCAGGAAGCTTTATTTTATTTTATTTTTTTCGAGACAGGTCCTCACTCTGTTGCCCAGACCAGAGTGGAGAGACACGATTATGGCATACCACAGCCTCGATCTCCTGGGCTCAAGTGATCCTTCTACTCTAGCACCTCATGCAGCTGAGACCACAGGGATGCGCCACCATGCTGGGCTAATTTTTTAGCTTTTTTGTTGAGACAGGATTTCACTATATTGCCCAGGCTGGTTTTGAACTCCTGGGCTCAAGCAATCCTCCCACCCTGGCCTCCCAAAGTGCTGGGATTACAGGCATGAGCCACCACACCTGGCCATCAGGAAAATTTTAAGACACCATCTGGAGCATGTGATCTGTTTTCAGTCTTCCAGAGGTGTATTTACTGTGACCCTAATGAAACTAAAGCCTTAGAGCCCCTTATTTACACAAGCACCTTTCAAATCTCTGTACCTAATTTTATATTTTTTAAATATGTTTTCTCAATGAAGGACACAAAGTTATTTAAGCGTTAGGCCCTACAAAATCAGGTCTGAATGTGCATGCTCCATATGGAAAGAAGGACTAAAAATTAAATAGCCTTGACATAAATATTGGCCCTGACAAGGAACTATGTCCCTACATCACAAATCTGCTTAGCTTTCTTCGCTCACGTTTGGGGTTAGATTGGATTGGTAGTGCATTGGTCTATTCTCACACTGCTAATAAAGACATATCCGAGACTGTGTAATTTGTAAAGGTAAGAGATTTAATGGACTCACAGTTCTGTGGCAAGCCAGGTCTCATTAATGCAAGCCACCGTAACAACTGTTTCAGTACTGACTGAGTTGTTAAGTTAAATATTAAAAGCTAAAAGAGCCAGTGTCCTTATACAAAGGCTAGAATGTAACAAAAAGCCCACCAAGAGTTTTGCCTAGGCCTTTCCTCTGCCTTAAAGCATGATAAGATAACAAAGGAATTCTTAACAGGACCTGTTTAGGATTAAACAAGTTTTATTGGGGGTCTGAAGACACTTCCCAGGCCTCTGCAAACAAGTTTATTGCGGGTCTGAAGGAACTCCCCAAACCTCCATGATTTAGCAGGAGACAAGATAAGGGTAATCACCCCAGCACCTGGACCCATTTAGATTAAGTAAATTTACTGAGGCTCCAGAGGAAAGTCTTCGGGACTCAGATCTTAGTTATAGATTAAAAGAAGTTAATCACTATGTCTTCAGATGAATGCACACTTACATGTAGACATAAAGCTTAGAAGGTATATAATCTCTGGAAAACTAATTTTGAGTTGGTCTGGTGATATTTTCTGGGCCTTCTCCCTGTAACCTGTTACAGAAATAAAAACTCTGCCCTTTCCCCTTTCATCAGCATCTCATTATTGGGCCATGAGAATAAGCAGCCTGACCCTCAGTTTGGTCCGGGAACAGTTCCACATGGCTGGGGAGGCCCCACAATCATGCTGGAAGGTGAATGATATGGTTTTGCTGTGTATCCACCCAAATCTCAACTTGAATTGTATCTCCAAGAATTCCCACGTGTTGTGGGAGGGACCCGGAGCAGGTAATTGAATCATGGGGGCCAGCCTTTCCTGTGTCATTCTCATGATAGTGAATAAGTCTCACGAGATCTGATGGGTTTATTAGGGGTTTCTACTTCTACTTCTTCCTCATTTTATCTTGCTGCTGCCATGTAAGAAGTGTCTTTCATCTCCCGCCATGATTCTGAGGCCTTCCCAGCCATGTGGAACTGTAAGTCCAATTAAACCTCTTTTTCTTCCCTGTCTCAGATATGTCTTTATCAGCAGCATGAAAACAGACTACTATAGTGAATGAAGAGCAAAATTATGTCTTACATGGCAGCAGGCAAGTGGGTATGTGCAGGAGAACTCCCCTTTATAAAATCATCAAATCTCATGAGATGCATTCACTATCATGAGAACAGCATAGAAAAAGCCCACCCCCAGATTCAATTACCTCCCACCAGGTCCCTCCTATGACATATGGGGATTATTACAATTCAAGGTGAGATTGGGGTGGGGACACAGAGCTAAACCATATTAATCTGCCCCTGGCCCCTCCAAATCTCATGTCCTCACATTTCAAAACCAGTCATGCCTTCCCAACAGTCCCCCAAAGTCTTAACTCATTTCAGCATTAACTCAAAAGTCCATAGTCCAAAGTCTCATCTGAGACAAGACAAGTCCCTTCCACCTATGAGCCTCTAAAATCGAAAACATGTTAGTTACTTCCTAGATACAATGGAGTGGTACAAGCATTGGGTAAACACAGCCATTCCAAATGGGAGAAATTGGGCAAAATGAAGTGCCTTATGCAAGTCTGAAATCCAGCGGGGCACTCAAATTGTAAAGCTTCAAAATGATCTCTTTTGACTCCATGTCTCAAATCCAGGTCACGCTGATGCAAGAAGTGGGCTACCATGGCCTTGGGCAGCTCCACCTCTGTGGCTTTGCAGGGTACACCCCCCACTCCTGGCTGCTTTCCCATGTTAAGTGTCTGCAGCTCTTCCAGGTTCATGGTGCAAGTTATCAGTGGATCTACCATTCTGGGGTCTGAAGGATGGTGGCCCTCTTCTCACAGCTCCACTAGGCAGTGCCCCAGTGGGGACTCTGTGTGGGGGCTCCAACCCCACATTTCCCTTCTGCATTGCCCTAACAGAGGTTCTCCATGAGGGCTCTGCCCCCGCAGCAAACTTCTGCCTGGACATCCAGGCATTTCCATACATCCTCTGAAGTCTAGGCAGAGGTTACTAAACCTCAATTTTTGACTTCCACGCACCCACAGGTTCAATACCATGTGGAAGCTGCCAAGCTTTGGGCCTTGCACCCTCTGAAGCCATGGCCCCAGCTGTACCTTGGCCCCTTTTAGCCACAGCTGGAGTGGCTGGTACTCAGGGCGCCAAGTCCCTAGGCTGCACACAGCAGGGGGTCCTGGGCCCAGCCCACAAAATGATTTTTTCCACCTAGGCCTCCGGGCCTGTGATGGGAAGGGCTGCTGCAAAGGTCTCTGACACACCCTGGAGATATTTCCCCATTGCCTGGGTGATTAACATTCAGCTCCTTGCTACTTATGCAAATTTCTGCAGCAGGCTTGAATTTCTTCCCAGAAAGTTTTTTTCTTTACTATCACATTGTCTGGCTGCAAATTTTCCAAATTTTTATGTTCTGCTTTACCTTGAACACTTTGCCACTTAGAAATTTCTTCCACCAGATACCCTAAATAATCTCTCTCAAATTCAAAGTTCCACAGATCTCTAGGGCAGGGGCAAAATGCCACTGATCTCTTTGCATAACAAGAGTGACCTTTACTCCAGTTCCTAGCAAGTTTCTCATCTTTATCTGAGACCACCTCAGCCTGGACCTTATTGTCCATATCACAATCAGCATTTTGGTCAAAGCCATTCAACAGGTCTCTAGGAAGTTCCAATTCAACTCTAGGGAGTTACAATTCAAGGTGAGATTTGGGTGGGGACACAGAGTCAAACCATATCAGGTAGATTGGTTGGTGTCTTTATTAATCAAGCATAACACAAAAATGAGAATTTATGTAAATTTTAATTAGTCATTTGATGTGTTTTAGAAGCCATCATAAGATTATCAAAAAAAATTTCAATAATACAAAATGACAACAGTATTTTTACTTTAGATATGAATTTGAGTATGTTATCAGTCTCAATGCATACCTCAGGATTTTGAGGTTTGAATTGGCTCTCTCATGAAATAAATTCTATGCATTGTTTTATTTTTTGACTTGGCAATAAATAATAGAGAAGACCCAGAAGAAGTTATTGGGAAGAAAGTTGCCTCCAGAGGTAGAGCTGGAGACCATTATTCTTCATGACTATTGATATGGTTTGGCTCTGTGCGCCAACCCAAATCTCACCTTGAATTGTAATAATCCCCATGTGTCATAGGAGGGACTCAATGGGAGGTAATTAAATCATAGGGTTGAGTATTTCCCATGCTGTTCTTGTGATAGTGAATAAGTTTCATGAGGTCTGATAGTTTTATAAAGGCGAGTTCCACTGCACATGTCCACTTGAGTGCCGCTATGTAAGATGTAACTTTGCTCCTCATTCACTTTCCACCATGATTGTGAGGCCTCCCTAGCCATATGGAACTGTGAGTCCATTAAACCTCTTTCCTCTATAAATTACCTAGTCTCTGGTATGTCTTTATTAGCAACATGATAACAGATTAATACAATTATAAATGCAAAATTGCTTCTAAAATATGAGCAAACAAAATTTAGCAATATATAAAAAGCTGATCATAATACATAATACATAGAAAAAATAATCACCATAACCAAGTGGAGTTTCTTCCAGTGATGCAATCTGGTTCAATGTATGAAAGTCAGTCAGTGAAATCCATCATATTAACAGGCTAAGGAAGAAAAAACATCACACGTTCATATCAGTTGCTATAGTTTGGATGTGGTTTGTTTCTGCTAAAACTCATTGTGAAATTTGATCCCCAGTGTAGTGGTGTTGGAAGGTGGGGCCTAGTGGAAGGTGTTTGGGTCATTGAGGTGGGTCACTGATGAATAGATTAATGCTTTCCCACGGGAGTGAATGAATTCTCACTCTCCAGAGAGTGGGTTGTTGTCAAAGGGAGTTTGGCTTCCTAGACTCTCTCTTGCTTCCTCTCTCACCATGTGATCACTTTGCACATGCCTGCTTGATTTTCCACCTCTCTACCACATTTTGTCCCAGCAAACAGCCCCCACCAGAAGGCAGCCAATGTGGTGCAATGCTCTTGAACTTCCCAGCCTGCAGAATTGTGAGTGAAATAAATCTCTTTTTTTAATAAATTGCCCAGCCTCAGGTATTCTTTTATAGCAACATAAAATGGACCAAGGTATCAATTGATGCAGAAAAATTATTTGACAAATACATGATCTTTAGGGGGAAAAGACCTCTTAGAAAAATAGGAGTAAAGGAGAGCTTCCTTAACTTGATAAAGAATGTCTACAAAAAACCCACAACTTAACATCACTATACTTAGTAGTGAAAGGCTGAGTGCTTTTCACCTAAGTTCTTCCCTAAGAACTGGGCAAGGATGCCTACTATCACCACTTTTATTCCACACAATGCTGGAGCTTCCTATTCAGTGCATTAAGACAAAAAAGTAAAATGAAACAAAAATGTACAGATCAGAGAGGAATAAATAAAACTGTCCATGTTTGCAGATGACATACACAGAAAATCTCAAGGGCACTACCAAAAAGCTCCTAAAGCTAATAAGTGAATTCAATAAAGTTGTGGTATACAAGATAAATATACAAAATAAATTATATTTCTATATATTAGCAACAAACATATACACCAACATTTATAATCATTCAAAAAAAGAGAAAAACTTAGTTTTCAATCTAACAAAACATGTATGGGACTCGTGTACTGAAAACTACATAATACTGATGAAGAAAGTAAGGAAGATCTAAATAAATGAAGAGATATTCTGTGCTTATGTAATAGAAGACTCACTCTAGTACAGATGTCCGTTCTCCCAAATTGATATCCCAGTTTAGTGCCATTCCTATCAAAATCTCAAGTATTTTATGGATAGAGGTAAGATTATTTTTGGGTTTATAGGAAACAACAAAACACTAGAATAGCTAAAACAATTTTGAAAAGGAACAATAAAATGGGAGAAATCAGTCTACCTGATTTTGAGACTTACTATAAAGCTACAGGAATTAAGACTGTGTGGTATTAGTGGAGGGTTAGACATATGGATCTGTAGAACAAGTTAGAGAACCCAGAAATAGACCCATACAAATGTGCCCAAATTGATTTTTGACAAAGATAAAAAAAATTAACTCAATGGAGAAAAGATGGCTTTGCAAACAAATGGTGCTAAAGCAATTGTACATCTATGGGTACACAATAAACAATGCCCTAAACCTCACACCTCATGCAAAAGTGAACTCAAAATGGGTCATGTTAGTTAAACGCTAACATGAAACTATTAAACTTTTCCAAAAATAAAGGAGAAAATGTTCGAGATCTAGGGCTAGGCAAAGATCTCTTAGACTTGTCACCGAAAACAAAATCTACAGAAGCAAAAATTGGTAAATTTGAACTTCATCAAAATTAAATGCTTTTGCTTCATAAAGTCCTGGTAAGATGAAGAAAAGACAAGCCACATACTGGGAAAAATATTTACAAACCACGCATCTGACAAAGACTAGTATCTAGGGTGTATAAAGAATCCTCAAAACTCAACATTAAAAAAGCAAACAATCTACAGGCTGTGTTAGTCCATTCTGGGACTGCTATAAAGAAATACCTGAGACTGGGTAATTTATAAAGAAAAGAGGTTTAATTGGCTCACAGTTCTGCAGGCTGTACACGAAGCATAGTGGCTTCTGCTTCTAGGGAGGCTTCAGGAAGCTTCCAATTATGGCAGAAGGCAAAGGGGGAGTGAGGTACTTCACATGGCTGGAGCAGGACAAAGGGAGGAGGACAGGTTCCACACACTTTTAAACAACCAGATCTTATGAGCACTCACTATCATGATGACAGCACCAAGGCGTATAGCATTAAATCATGAGAAACTGCCCCCATGGTTCAATCACCTCACACAGGGCCGCACCTCCAACACTGGGGATTACAATCTGACATGAAATTTGGTGGGACACAGATCCAAACCGTATTAAGGCAATAGACATTTCACTAAAGAAAATATGCTTATGGCAAGTAAGTACCTGAAAAGATATTCCAGATCATTAGTCATGAGGGAGATGCAAATTAAAACCACAATGAGATACCGTTACATGTCTTTCAAAATGGCTAAAACAAAAATTAGTCACAACACCAAATGCTGGAAAGGATGTGGAGAAATTGCTTGTGTGAATGCAAAATGTGACAGCCATTCTGGGAAAAAACAATCTGGCAGTTTCCTTTAAATTTATTTTATTTTATTTTGTTTTTATTTATTTATTTATTTGTTTTTGAGACAGAGTCTCACACTGTTGCCCAGGCTGGAGTGCGGTGGTGCAATCTCACCTCACTGCAACCTCTGCCTCCCAGGTTCAAGCGACTCTCCTGCCTCAGCCTCCCAAGTAGCCAGGACCACAGGCAACCACCACCACACCCAGCTAATTTTTGTATTTTTAGTATAGACAGGGTTTTACCATGTTGACCAGGATGGTCTCAAACGCCTGACCTCAGGCAATCCTCCCATCTCGGCCTTGCAAAGTGCTGGGATCACAGGCATGAGCCACCGTGACTGGCCTGCCTTTAAAATTCAAACATGCAACAATCATACAACCCAACAGTTACACTCCTGGCCATTTATCCCAGAGAAATGAAGATTTAGTTCACACAATAACCTGTATATAAATGTTTATAGAAGCTTTATTTGTAATTGTCAAGAAAAATTGGAAACAACACAAATAAGGTGGGATTTGAGAGACTGAAGACAATGGAAAGACCAGGGAGTCTATATGAGTGGAGAGGGAATGGTGAAGAGCTTGTCCACGAATGGGGAGAGGAGTTGGACGAGTTGCATGGTCCCTCCTTCTCCACTTTCCCCTCCCTGTATGCATTTATCCCTGATGTGGAAGGGAGTCAGGTGTGCTAAGCCAAGGAAGAGTCTGAAGAAGAAATGGAAGAAAAAAGAGAAGACAGGCAGGCAACTTCCAGTTCCATCAAGGGGGCAACCATGGAGCAGGACAGCTGCTCCTAAACTCAGAGGGGCAGCAGGAAAACCCCTGCATTTTGCTTTTAATAATATTTGGATTATTTAATTTTTTAAAAGTCAAAGAAGTTTTAAAATTCTAATGAAATACTGAAAAGCTAATTTTAAAAAGTATTCCTTTGCCACAGTAAATTTACTATTATGAGATAAAAACTAATAAATTCACTTAATTAGGTATTTTTTAGGCATCTGGATGAAAAGTACATATTGCATAATTATAGACATGGCTGTAAAGAGAGCAATATTTAATATTAGCTCAACTTTATTTTATATTGACCCAGCACATTTTTTCTGAAAAGCTAAAATAACTGTCACGTTATCTCTTCTAGGTTGATGATATGTAAAGATAGAAAATTAATGTCAAGTTTTACAGATCAGTAAACCAAAAAGTATCTGAGACTGGTCTCAGTCAATTTAGAAGTTTATTTTGCCAAGGTTAAGGACATGCCCAGGAGAAAAGAACATTGAATCACAGAAACAGCCTGTGGTCTGCACCTTTCTCCAAAGACGGTTTTGAGGACTTCAGTATTTAAAGGGGGAAAGCAGGCTGAAGGGGAAAGATGGAAGGTATGGTCATCTACATGTTGCAAGATAAAAGGAGCAGGTAGGAGAACAGTCAACTATGTATTCATCTCACACTCAGTAAATCAGAACTTTGCATAAGATTATGAGCATAGAGTAGCTACCTGTGGAAATATTTAACCTTTTATCTGTAGCTATCTGCTTAAGAACAAAAGGAAAGGCAGCTTCTTGCATGGCTCAACTTTCAGTTTAATCTTTTTCCTCTTGCACAGTCAATTGGGTTTTTATTTTGCTTTCATAGATACCTAGACAGGTCAAGGTGCTTGCTTAAACTTAGTGACTCCTGAGCAGAGGTGTAATTCAAATGGCCATGGCCGTGATGCTTAAATTGTGCTTTGCATTTCACTGCTGTGCTTGTATGAGAGTACAAAAGATTCTGAGAGCCAAATTAAATTTCTAAGTGTTTTAGCTCTTAGTTTCCACAAACAAATCAAAATACCAGTATAAATCCAACTATAGGGCAAGACAGCAATATCATTACATAATGGACCAGATTAAGAATATGCAGTTGCACACATGTTTAGAAAAACCTGAGAAGTTATCAGCAAACACATGTAACATGGCTTGTGCTCAGCTATCCTCCACATCTTCTGCCTGTCTTTTGTGCTACCAGGTTCATTTGCTGCTTGGATAGTTCACTTGAGCCTAAGTGGCTCATAACCATGGGACATCTGTAAAGGATGTTAAAGATGCTCACTGGTCTATTTCTGAATTTATGTTTTCTAGCCAGGCAGAGCACAGCTATAGAAAATATTTTCCTTTGTCAAACATATATTTGATACAGTACTGTCCTTTTGATAGAGGAAGGAGGCAGCCAAATGTCTAGGCAGATAAGGGTCCCCAGTGAAACCCCACCTTCAAGCCGAAGACAGTCCTGGGTAAATCCTTGGACCACACTGAGGACCTGTCTTCTCATTTGGTGCACTTTCCTCTGATCAATCCCCACCCTTCACCTATTTTACATATACCTACACTTTCCTAATTGGTTTTCTACACTATCATGCCCACCTTTGAGTGGTGTCTTCCCTTTAACCGTTTTTGTGTACTCACAAACCAATCAGCATGCACTCCCTATTCTGAGCCCATAAGGGCCCCAGGCTCAGCCATATTAGGGAACTTTTCCTGCCTTTGTGTAGTGGGACCACTCCCACATCCCCTTCCTGCTGAAAGCTGTTTCTCACCTTGTATACTCTTCGATTGTCAGCATCCTCATTCTTCTTGGACACTAGAAGAGAACTCAGGAAGCAGTGGGCAAGCCAGACTCAACTGGGGTGGGCCAAATGAGTGGGCAGTCTCCTGCAGCAGGTAGCATGGCCAAGCGAGGCCCAGGCATGGTGTCACCGGCCGGGGGTCCCTGGCTTGCAAAGTGACAGAGAGAAAAATCCTTTTATCATTTTATTAAGCTTTTAATTTTTTCACATTTCATGATGATCATTTATTATAAGAAGTACTTGGCATTTTTATTTTAAAAAATAGCACAACTTTCTGCCTTAAGAGAAGAATTAAAATGATAAACTTTGGACATTTTCTGTGATTTACATTTGACCTTGGTATGTCCCACAATTCCTTGATAAATAAACTTTTTTTTTCAAGACAGGATCTCACTCTCTTGCCTAGGCTGAAGTGCAGTGATGCAATCATAGATCACTGTAGCCTCCAACTTCTGGGCTAGAGTGATCCTCTTGACTCAGCTTCCTGGGTAGCTGAGACCACAGGTTTGTGCCACTATGCCCACTAATATTTTAATTTTTTGTAGAGACAGAGTCTTGCTCTATTGCCTAGGCTAGAATGCAGTGGTGCAATAATAGCTCACTGCAGACTCCAACACCTGGGCTAGAACAATCCTCTCTCCTCAACCTCCTCAGTAGCTAGGACTATAGGTGTGTGTCACCATGCCTAGTTAATTTTTAAATTTTTTTGAGATAGGGTCTCTCTCTGTTGCCTAGGCTAGAGTGCAGTGATGCAATCATAGCTCACTGCAGCCTCCAACACCTAGGCTAGGGCGATCCTCCCGCCTCAGCCTCCTGAGTAGCTTGGACCAAACTTAGTTAATTTTTTAATTTTTTGTAGAGACAGGGTCTTGCTATGTTGCTCAGGCTGATCTTGAACTCCTGGCTTCAAGCAATCCGCCCCCCTCAGCCTCCCAAGGTGCCAGGATTACAGGAGTAAGCCACCACATGTGGCCATAAATTAAACATTTTAAGATAAAATTCACATTTACATTGCAAAAGGAATGTTTAGAGTTATCTCTGAAGCACCAACTCTGCTGAGGAGCCCATGTCAGCTACTCAGGAGTCTGGGAAGTGGTTTTGTTTATTAATTTATTTTTGAAAATTCACTTTATAATGCTCTGAGTGCTTTAAGTTTTTGTTAGTTCCATGAATTCCCCTTCAGTAGTTGAATTAATTCAAATCTGGATTTTGTAACCACATTAAAAATGTTATTTATCAGGAAGTTGAGGCAACTTCTAAATAAGAATAATAATTTTTTACAGAGAACTTGTGTTTTCAAAGTTGTTAACATTGATTTAATATCCAGTTTCAGTTCCTGTATCAAATGTCAGAGTAAAATAAATCTTTAATGTCATGAGTAATCTCTAGACTGATGAAATAGCAAATCGAATGTTGAGTCAATAAGCAGGAAACTTTGGCTTTGATATTACACTTTTACTCATTTGGAAGTAAAAAAGATACTTTAAAATGAAAAGTAGTCACACACATTAAGGGAAAGCATGAGATATAATGCAGACTGTCGAAGATAAGACGTGCACATGCGTATTTTTATTACATGTGTTTAGCATTTTGGTTGCAACTACCTAAAGTTGTTATTTCTTTGAGTATTAAGAAGGCTTTGCACCTCACACTGTGCATGCTCACATACCAAACATTTGTGCAAAATAAGGCTTCACTTTCCACTTGAAAACTCTAGCAGGGTCAAGATGTTAAAGAGTTCCAACCTAGATCTTGTTATCCAGGAAAAAGGGAAGAAATGCAAGCAGCTTACAAAGATAATATTTATTGGAGAATATGCCTCATTGTTAATTAATATGAGTTTCTATAAAACATAAACTCTAATAATTTAGTGAGTTAATATCATATGCTGGACACTGTGCTGTCTGTTTAGATTTTCTAGTTTCCTACTTCTTATTTTAGCAATGGCTTATTTAGTACCACTAATTAATCTATATTTTATAAGATCTCACTCCACTTATTCTGTGATATCTCCTGGTCTCTGATTTCTTTCCAAATGACTGAATGTATACAGGCATACTTTGTTTTATTGTGTTTCACAGATACTGGATTTTTTACAAATTGAAGGTTCGTGGCAATTATGCACCAAGCAAGTCTATCAGGGCCATTTTTTCCAACAGCATGTGCTCACTTTGTAAGTCTGTGTCACTTATTGGTAATTCTCACAACATTTCAAACTTTTTCATTTTTATTATCTCTGTTATGGTGATCTATGATCAGTTATCTTTGATTTACTATTGTAGATGTGTTGGGGCTCATTAACTGCACCTGAACTTAATCGATAAATGTGTGTGATCTGACTTCCCCACTGACTAACCATTCTATCTCTCTCTCTCTCCTCCAGCCTCCCTAGTCCCTGAGACACAAGAATATTGCAGTTAGGCCAATTAATAACCCAACAACGGCCTCTGAGTATTCACGTGAAAGGGAGAGTTGCACCCTGATTAGTCAGCAGCCATCAACATGGAGGCAAAACCCTCCACCAGCAAGAAGATTATGACTCACTGAAGGCTCAGGTGATTGTTAGTGTTTTTTAGCAATAAAATATTTTAAATTAAGGTATGTCCATTGGTTTAAGATATAATACTATTGCACACTTAATGGACTACAGTATAGTGTCAACATAACTTTTACATGCACTAAGAAAGCAGAAATTTCATGTGACTCATTTTATTGCAATATTTGCTTTATTGTGGTGGTCTAGAACTGAACCCATAATATCTCAGATATTCCTGTACTTTAGTGAGCACTTTATCTTTTTTGTTTAGCGTAATCAAGTATAAAGCAAACACTTTATCTTAACCATTAATTTCATCCAGCAGCATCTAAGACCAAGACACTGGCCAAATCATGTTCTTTTTTTCCATTTAAAAATGCAAAATGGGCTGGGAGCGGTGGCTCACACCTGTAATCCCAGCACTTTGGGAGGAGGGGGGAGCAGATCACAAGGTCAGGAGTTCGAGACCAGCCTGGCCAATATGGTGAAACCTTGTCTCTACTAAAAATACAAAAATCAGCTGGGCGTGGTGGCACATGCCTATAGTCTCAGCTACTTGGGAGGCTGAGGCAGGAGAATTGCTTGAACCCAGGAGGCGGAGGTTGCAGTGAGCCGAGATCGTGCCGCTGCACTCCAGCCTGGGTGGCAGAGCAGGACTCCGTCTCAAAAAAAAAAAAAGAAACAAAAGGAAAATGAAGTCATAATTTTTATCCCATCTCTGTCCACTGAAAAGGCCTAGAGGCAACAATCAACCCATTGAAATAAGAACAATTAGCACTGTCAATATCATTCCTCACTAAAAGGAGTCAGAACTCTTTGGGTAAACGTCAGATTCTGAGTCTGAGGTAGAAAGGCACAAGAAGCTGGAACATCTTATCACGTTGGAAAGAAAGAAAACAATCAAAGAATATTGAAGACAAATTGAAAAGTGTCCTACTGATTAAAAATGGCCCAATTTGAGCATCAAAAATAATTTGAGGTAGATTTGAAAAGCATCATGTTGGAATCCATAAGTCTATGATGATCTATCTATATATATGTATGTATATGTTTGTGTGTATACATATATATACACACATACACACACACATATATATACACACATAGATACATTAAAATTGATAGTAGTTGCGCATGGTGGTGCACGCCTGTAATCCCAGCTACTTGGGAGGCTGAGGCAAGAGAATCGCTTGAACCAGGGAGGCAGAGGTTGCAGTGAGCTGAGATCACACCACTGCACTCCAGCCTGGGTGACAGAGCGAGACTCCAACTCAAAAAAAAAAAAATTTGATGGTCACCTTCGGAAATTGTTAGAACACTAACTCATTAATATGAAGTGATAAATAAAAGGATAGAAGCAAGCGTTTATTCTGTCTTTCCTTTATGACTAAATTCCAGTAATACATGCAGAAAGAATTAATTAAAAATGATTAAAATATTACCCATTAATAACTCCTAATTAAAACATTACCCATTTATAATACCTAATGAAATAATGAATATTACCACTTAGTAGGTGAAAGGTTGGTTTGGAACACTATGATGAATAAATTAGCCTAACAACTCTCAGATCTACGGATCAATCTTAACATCTCAAAGACAAAGACAATGCATTATGTTCTTCCTACTGCCATGCAACAGGCACTACATGGCACCATCTATGAACCTAAATCACAAATCCAGAATTCGGATGAGTTTACAGGACAAACGACTTGCAGGGGGCACTGTTACAGATTAAAAGAAATTTTAGGAACTCTAACAACAAAATGCACTGTGTGAACCTTGTTTGGATCCTGATTCAAACCAACCAATTATAAAAAGACATTAATGAGACAATTTGGAAATTTGAATGATGATATTAAGTCTAATAGATATTGAGGAAATTAAGAATATGTTTTCATATATTTAGTTTTAGGAAAATCACATTGTGGTTATATTAAACAAAAGAGATCCTTGCCTCCACTGAGACATATACTGGCGTCTTAATGAAAGAAATGATATATCCGGGTTTTACTTAAAATAATCTAGTGGGGTGTGAGAAGTGTAAAGTCAGTTGTTGCATAATATGGGGGGTTGTTATACTGCTTTCTCTATTTTTTGTGTAAGTTTGAACGTTTCCATAAGAAAAAGTTTCAAAGGTGACAAAATATCACTCCATTCATTTGTTCTTTTGAAAAACACTAGGGTTTGCACTAGTGTGCTGGGCACCCCAACATATTACATAACTCACATTTATTTTTGGTGAAGGAAAAATATCATTAAATACTGTGATTAAAAATAGAGATAAAAAATAAAGCACCAGGACACAGACCAAGCAAATAGTTATGATTGGGGAATGGCTTACGTGGGTTGGAGAAAGTTTTGTCAGAGAGATGACATTTGCACTCCATCAGCTAACTCACTTGAGGCTGGCTTCAATGGGCAGGCGTTCTCTAAAACTACATCAGGAAAAAGCAACCTATCTCATAAGGACTTCACAAGCATTTGGTTTTCTCTTCTTGTTACAATATGTATAATTTGTTTTCTGGGAAAGGTGCACATAGATCTGCATGTGGTTAGCAAATTTAAAAAAAGTAAATGGTTAAAAGTTGCTAATCTCATTTGTTTTCCAAAAGAAAGGGGAAAATAATTCACTTCATTGTAAATATTAAGGGAATTTTGAGCCTATAAAGGGATTTTAGGTAAGGGTTTCAAAATTTAGAAGGTATTTTTTTCCAAATTAAGGGAAAAAAGATACAACTACAGTCATGCATAACTTAACAACATGGATACATTCTAAGAAATGCATCATTAGCAATTTTCTTCATTGTGCAAACATCATAGGGTATACTTACACAAGTCTGGATGGTATATCTTGCTACACCCTAGGTTATACAATATAGCCTGATGACAAAAAAAGGAAACTGAGGCAAAATTAATATTGAGAGTTTATTTGGGCCAAGGTTGAGGACTGCAGCCCCAGAAACTCTGGGAAGTGCTCATTTCAGCCCTCCTTACAAGCTGGTTTTTAAAAGGCAAAAGGGCACAAGGAGTGAGCTGATAGAAAACTGTTTGAATAGGAATTCTCACTGGTTTACAGAAATAACATCGATTAGTAACTTGCTACACATTGTTGAACTACAGAGTATGAGTTTCAGCTTCTGACATGTGGCATTTCATGGCTACATGGCATCAGATAGTCTAGCACCCACATAGCGAAGTCTTCAAGAGGTAATTATTTAGCTCAAAGGGTGAGTGAGATGAGACTGCTGTCACATTTTAATGTCTCTCTGGGCCTGATAATTTAAAAGGGGCTCATATTCCTCAGATAAAAATTTCTTTTCTCTCTCAATCTGATTGTTATTATTAGGCTACAAACTGTACAGCATGTGGCCATACTGAATACTGTAGCCAATGGTAACACAATGGTAAGTATTTGTATATATAAACATAAAGAAGGTACAGTAAAAATATGGTATTATTTTCTTACAGGATGACCACCATACATATGGTTCCTTGTTAACAGAAACATCATCAAGCAATGTGTGGCTATATTTCAAACCTAGATTGCTATCTATATTGACATTTATATATAGTAAATGCCATAAATGTCTTTGAAGGAAAAAATAGTATGCATTCCTTCTAAAATTAGTTTAGATATGGTGAGGCCTTTTCCTGAGAGTAATGGTTTTATTTTTCTTTGACTCCAGTGGTAAATGAACAGCATTGGCTATCTCTCCACAGGGCCACCAACTACAAAGGAACTGGAAGACCTCTGAAATTTGGGACTACGGCAGATTTCATAATTTGCCTTGCGCATTTGGGAACTGTTAGTAAATCTTCTTTCTCATCACTGACATCAGTATGTTTTTGCTCCAAATTTGTATTTAGTGAAGGCTGAACTCCTAATTGTCATTGCCCCATAGTAAAGCATAGTTTTGCCTGACTGACAGACTAATGAAGCTCAAGTTACTGGGAACGGAGGTTTTACGAGGTTGCCCTGAGATTGATCCCACTGAGCTGGGAGTCCAGAGGGTCCCATGAAGGCTACTCTGCTTCATGACCTCAGGAGAGTTGATGCAAAGAAGATAGAGCAGCTGAATTTGGTTCAAAGCCAACCTGGCAGTGGTAAGAGTATTAATATACAAGACAAGTGTTTACAGATGAAGATGTTGTGGAATAGGATGGGAGGAAGTAGGATTAACTAGTACAATTATTCATCAAGTCTAAATCATTATAGCATCTTTGAATCAGAAGACAATGGAGAGTTATTTAATTAGGACTCCCATTGAATCAAGAACTTCCTCTTCCAGATTCCTAAAAAGTGGTTATCTATTTGGAAGACCACCAAACAAATAGAGCACAAGAAATAAATGATGAATTCTCCTCATTTCCCTTAAGCTTTTATAAAAAATATATTTTGTAACAAACATACTGTACATATCCTGAGTGTGGCTGAAGACAGGTATGAGCCACTGCACCTGGCTCAAAAGCAGGAACTTTTACTCATTACTAATGGGAATGCCAAATTGTATAGCAACTTTGGAAGAATGTTTGGAAGTTTCTTACCAAACTAAACATACTCTTTGATATGGTTTGGCTGTGTCCCCACCCAAATCTCATCTTGAATTGTAGTTTCCATAATCCCCACATGTTGTGAGAGGGACCCAGTGAGAGGTAACTGAATCATGGTGGTGGTTACCCCCATGTTTTTCTCATGATAGTGAGCGAGTTCTCATGAGATCTGATGGTTTTATAAGCAGCTTTTCCCCTTTGCACAACACTTCTCCTTCCTGCTACCATGTGAAGAAGAACATTTTGCCTCTCCTTTCACCATGATTCTAAGTCTCCTGAGGCTTCCTAGCCCTGTGGAACTTGGAGTCAATTAAACCTCTTTCCTTTATAACTTACCTAGTCTTAGGCAGTTCTTAGGCAATTTAGTAATACACTAAATTGGTACCGAGGGAGTGAGGCACTGCTAAAAGGATAACCAAAAAATTCCAAAGTGACTTTGGAATGGGGTCACAGGCAGAGACTGAAACAATTTGGAGGGTTCAGAAGACAACAAGAAAATGTGAGAAAGTTTGGAACTTCCTAGAGACTTAGAGATCTCAGAAGACAGGAACATGTGGGAAAGTTTGGACCTTCCTAGAGACTTGTTGAATGGTTTTGACCAAAATGCTGATAGCGATATTGACAATTAAGTCCAGCCTGAGGTAGTAGCAGATGGAGATGAGGAACTTCTTGGTAACTGGAGCAAAGGTTACATTTGCTTTGCTTTAAGAAAGAGACTGGCGGCATTTTGCCCCTGTCCTAGAGATCTGTGAAATTTTGAACTTGAGAGAGATGATTTAGGGTATATAGTAGAAAAAATTTCTAAGCAGCAAAGCATTCAAGAGGAAGCAGAACATACAAGTTTGAAAATTTGCAGCCTGATGAGGTGATGAAAAAGAAAAGCCCATTTTCTGGGGAAAAATTCAAGCCCACTGTAGAAATTTGCATAAGTAACAAGGAGCCAAATGTTAATCACCAAGACAATGGGGCAAATGTCTCTGGGGCATGTCAGAGAACTTCACCCCAGCCCCTCCCGTCACAGATGTGGATCCCTAGGAGGGAAAAATGGTTTCATGGGCCCCCATGCTCTGTGCAGCCTCAGGACATGGTGCCCTGCATCCCAGCTGCTTTAGTTCCAGCTGTGGCTAAAAGGGGCCAAGGTACAGCTCAAGCCATTGCTTCAGAGGGTGCAAGCTCAAGCCTTGGCTGCTTGCATGTGGTGCTGGGCCTCTGAGTGCACAGAAGTCAAGAACTGAGGTTGGGGAACCTCTGCCTAGATTTCAGAAAATGTATGGAAACACCTGGATGTCCAGGCAGAAGTTTTCTGCAGGGGAGGAGCCCTCATGGAGAACCTCTGCTAGGGCAAAGGGAAATATGGGTTTGGCGCCCCCACACAGAGTCCCCACTGGGGCACTGCATAGTGGAGCTGTGAGAAGAGGGCCACTGTCCTTCAGACCCCAGAATGGTAGATCAACTGACAGCTTGCACTATGTACCTGGAAAAGCCACAGACACTCAACACCAGCCATGAAAGCAGCCAGGAGGAGGGCTGTACCCTGCAAAGCCACAGGGTGGAGGTATCCAAGGCCATAGGAGCCCACCTCTTGCTTCAGTGTGACCTGGATGTGAGTCATGGAGTCAAAGGAGATCATTTTGGAACTTGAAGGTTTAATGACTGCCCTATTGGGTTTTGGACTTGCAGGGGCCTGTAGCTCCTTTGCTTTGACCAATTTCTCCCATTTGGAATGGGTATATTTACCCAATTCCCATACTCCCATTTTGTCTAGGAAGTAACTAACTTGCTTTCGATTTTACAGGCTCCTCCTAGGTGAAAGAGACTTGCCTTGTCTCAGATGAGACTTTGGACTTGGACTTTTGGGTTAATGCTGGAATGAGCTAAGACTTTGGGGGATTTTGGAAAAGCATGATTGTGTTTTGAAAAGTGAGGACATGAGATTTGGGAGGGGTCAGAGTAGAATGATATGGTTTGTCTGTGTCCCCAACCAAAACTCATCTTGAATTTTACTTCCCATAACCCCTACATGTCATGGGAGGGACCCAATAGGAGGTAACTGAATCATGGGGGTGACTACCCCCATGCTGTTCTCATGATAGTGAGTTCTCATGAGATCCATGGTTTTATAAGGGGCTTTTCCCCTTTGCTTAGCACTTCTCCTTCCTGCCACCATGTGAAGAAGGATGTATTTGCTTCCCCTTCTGCCATGATTCTAAGTTTTCTGAGGCCTCCCCAGCCATGCAGAACTATGAGTCAATTAAACCTCTTTCCTTTATAAATTACCCAGTCTCAGGCAGTTCTTTATAGCAGCATGAGAACAGCCTAATATACTCCTATACTGTTAGCCAGTAATTGTGCTCCTTGGTATTTACCCAAAGGAGTTGAAAACATTTGTACACAGAAAAACCTACACATCAATGTTTATTGCATCTTTATTCACAATTGGCAAAACTTGGAAACAAACAAGATGCCCTTCAATAGGTGAAAAGATAAACTGTGGTACCTCCAAACAATGGAATATTATTTAATGATAAAAAGAAATGGGCTATCAAGGTACAAAAAAGACAAGTAGGAAGCTTAAATGCATATTGCTAAATGAAAGAAGTCGATCTGAAAAGGCTACATACTGTATGAGTCCAACTATATGACATTCTGGAAAAGGCAAAACAGTAAAAGGACCACTGATTGCCAGGTATTAAGAAGGGGGTAATGGGGAGGGATGAATAGGCAGAGCACAGGGGATTCACAGAGCAGTAAAACTATGCTGAATTATATTGAAATTGTGAATACATGTCATCATATATTTGTCAAAACCTATAGAATGTACAACACAGAGTGAATCCTAATATAAACTACCAGGTTTAGTTAAAAATAATGTGTCAACATTGTGCCAGCAATTGTAACAAATGTATCACTGTAATGCAAGATGTTAACAGTAGTGGAAACTGCTTGCATGGGAAGTGGGGTTATGTGGGAATGCTCTGTTCTTTCTATTTGATTTTTCCAGAAACCTAAAACTGCTCCAAAACATAAAGTTGATTAACAATATTTTTTTAAAAAACAAGAACTCATTGTTCTTTGGGACAATATCAAGTAGCATAGCATATGTGTATTGAGATTCCAGGACAGGGTGGGCCAAAAAAATACTTGGAAAGATAATGCCCACCTTTTTTTTAATGGAAAATATCAACACACAGGTCCAGGAAGTTTAACAAATACCAAGAAGGATAATCACAAAGAAAACTACATCAAGGCACATTGTAATTACATTGCTAAAAACTATTGATGTATACATATGTAAGTAACCTGCACATTGTGCACATGTACCCTAAAACTTAAAGTATAATAATAAAAAAAAAACAACCAGAGAGACAGATACGTTACATATGGGGGAATATAAGACAATGAAATGACATCTTTAAATCACTAGGGGATGGGAAGGACCTTCTAATCTTCATCAACCTGTAATTGCATAACCAATGAACATGTACTTCAAAAACTAAGGTGAAATAGAGACATTTTCTTATCAGCAGATCTGCACTGCAGGAAAGGTTGAAGGAAGTTCAAGATGAGAGAAAATGATACCAGATAGAAACTGGGACTTATAGAAAGAAATAAAGAGTACTGGACACGGTAATATATAATATGGGAAGTCTATTTTCAGTACTAAAATCATAATATATCTTCTAAAAAGTCCAAATGTAGATGTTTTAGGCAGTCAATAAGTCAATAGTCACCATTATTAGCTTTCTAATTTTATGTTTTTCTTTAAAAAATTATGGCATTCACTAGATTGTGTATGGAAAAAACTGGTTATGAATATTAATATATGACATTTAACTCATAAAATCTTTATTATACTATGCTTCTCTTTTTCTGATTTCTTTGGCTAACTTATTAGAATATTATGCTTAAATGAGCAGAAATATAAACTTGTGTTCACACCTAAATAATATTTTTATAGTAATTTCTTCTCTTTTTATAGTCTTAGTCTTTCGATTTACCTATGATAGCATTCTTCCTTTCCTAGCCAACCTGCTGATTTCACTCTTTCTCATCTGTACTTTCAAGCCAATTATTAAAAATAGAATTTAAGAATAGTATTAAGGAAAATCTGGAAAGAAAATATTTCTGAGTTTCTGCAAATATTTCATTGTTGTGATAATACTGTTTATGTAATTTTATATCCCACTTTTAAATCTAACACTATACTGTAGTTTTTATTTTTATATCTCTGCACAATATTCCACTCAATAGCTTCTATTCCTTTTTTATTTTTATTTTTATTATACTTTAAGTTTTAGGGTACATGTGCACAACGTGCAGGTTAGTTACATATGTATACTTGTGCCATGTTGGTGTGCTGCACCCATTAACTTGTCGTTTAACATTAGCTATATCTCCTAATGCTATTCCTCCCCCCTCCCCCCACCCCACAACAGGCCCCGGTAAGCAATGGCAGCAAAAGCCAAAACTGACAAATGGGATCTAATTAAACTAAAGAGCTTCTGCATGGCAAAAGAAACTACCATCAGAGTGAACAGGCAACCTACAGAATGGGAGAAAATTTTTGCAATCTACTCATCTGACAAAGGGCTAATATCCAGAATCTACAATGAACTCCAACAAATTTACAACAAAAAAACAAACAACCCCATCAAAAAGTGGGTGAAGGATATGAACAGACACTTCTCAAAAGAAGACATTTATGCAGCCAAAAGATGCATGAAAAAATGCTCATCATCACTGGCCATCAGAGAAATGCAAATCAAAACCACAATGAGATATCATCTCACACCAGTTAGAATGGCAATCATTAAAAAGTCAGGAAACAACAGGTGCTGGACGGGATGTGGAGAAATAGGAACACTTTTACACTGTTGGTGGGACTGTAAACTAGTTCAACCATTGTGGAAGTTGGTGTGGCAATTCCTCAGGGATCTAGAACTAGAAATACCATTTGACCCAGCCATCCCGTTACTGGGTATATACCCAAAGGATTATAAAACATGCTGCTATAAAGACACATGCACACGTATGTTTATTGCGGTACTATTCACAATAGCAAAGACTAGGAACCAACCCAAATGTCCAACAATGATAGAATGGATTAAGAAAATGTGGCACATATACACCATGGAATACTATGCAGCCATAAAAAAGGATGAGTTCATGTCATTTGTAGGGACATGGATGAAGCTGGAAACCATTATTCTCAGCAAACTATCGCAAGGACAAAAAACCAAACACCGCATGTTCTCACTCATAGGTGGGAATTGAACAATGAGAACACTTGGACACAGGAAGAGGAACATCTATTGCTTTTTTAAAAAAATTATTCTATTGCCAGTGATTAAGAGCTTTTTTTCAGTTTGGACATTTTGGCTAGAGGATAGGTGGCTTCAATGAATCATTCTGTGTTCTTAAGTTTGTTGTTGCATTTATTCTTGTGTAATTTTTCTGTTTCTGACCTAAGGCTGGTTCTTATCTCATTTGCAACTGTATAGTCATTAACATCACAGTAGTTTATTTTCTCAACTGTTCCTCTTTGCTTCCTTTTCTACCTGCCACATCCCACCTCTAAAATGTGTAACCTCATTCATTCTGTAGGGTCCAATTCAAATCTTACCTTCTTTATTTAACTATACCTGAACCTCTCCACTAAACCTCTGTGGCACAGGATAAATAGTAGATGTTTGATAAATATATATGTGTGTGCATGTGTGTGTGTGTTTTGACTTAAAATTGAACAATAGAAAGTGTGGTCACTTAAAATTAAATTAAATCTGGAACTAGTCATTTAATTTACAAATGAATTTAGCAACATTATTTTTCTCCTAACAGATATATTTTTCATCAATCCTAAGACTCAATCTCTGAAAATAGCATGATATTTTAAAATTTCTGATTGTGGCTATCATCATATAGCTATAATTACCCACTTACGCACTTCAAAACTTGCGTAAGTGTAAGGGTGTAAGTGTCTTGAAAGAAATTCTGGGGAAAGCAGTAAGCATTCTTTTAAGATGCAGTGCATTACCAGTTCTCTTGATCTTGGATAATGTTGTGTGGTAAAATATGACATATCAACAACTGGTAAGTGAAAAGTGATCCCAAAGAGTTGGACTCTAAATGTGAAGGTTTAGGAAAATCTTAATGATTTAACCAGTTTAGATAGTTTATATTTTCCCCTTTTATGTATGCACAAATATGTTATACCTGAAAAGATCAGGCCAGGTGCAGTGGCTCATGCCTATAATCCCAGCACTTTGGGAGGCCAAGGTGGTAGGATCTTTTGAGCTCAGGAGTTCAAAACCAGCCTGTGCAACACAGTGAAAGCCTGTCTGTAAAAAAATTAAAAAATTAGCTGACATGTCCATAATCCTAATACTTTGGGAGGTCAAGGCAAGCAGTTTGCTTGAGCTCAGGAGTTTGAGACCAGCTGGGCAACATGGTGAAACACCATCTCTACAAAAAATATAAAAATTAGCCAGGTGTGGTGGTACACAACTGTAGTCCCAGCTACTTGGGAGGCTGAGGTGGAAGGATCACTTGATCCAGGAGGTTGAGACTGCAGTGAGCCAACATCTTGCCACTGCACTCCACCCTGGGTAAAAAATTGAGACCCTGTCTCAAAAAAAAAAAAAAAAAAAAAATTAGCTGGGTATGGTGGCACACGACTACAGTCCCAGCCACTTGGATAGCTTTAGCCCAGGAGGTTGAGGCTACAATAAGCTGTGATCACACCACTGCACTCCATCCTGGCTGACAGAGCAAGACCCTATACATACATGTATATATTTTATATAATTTTTGTTGTTATCTCTGTTAAAAATGTCCATGAACTGCTGGAGTTTATTTTTAATCCAAGATTCTATTAGTAACAAAATATTTCCATCAATGTATAATTATATTTTTAATACAGTATTGGCTTTGGAAATTTGTTAAGAGCCTTTTGAAAAACCTAAATAAATTATATTGACTAGCTCTCCTTTGTCTACATTTCTAATTAACCCCTCCCAGAAGGCTAATAGAATTTTACTAAAGCTTCACACTATAAATAATGGAATCCAAGGTAGCAGCAATACAACAAAACAAAAATTCCAGTTAAGAGTTCAGAAGCCCCACCCAAAGTCATTATCATCCATTTACAGCCACTACATTATTTCCCTTGCATCTGACCATAAATTCACAAGAATTATGACTTTCAGCTAGGGGATATGAAATGGGTGGGTGAGAGCTTTGCAAATAATTTAATCACAGATGAATAGCATATGTATGTTTATATATGTATGTATGTTAAAAGGACATATGACATTTATATCTTATACACAGTAAAATTTGTATGTATGTATATATGTGTACAAGATATATATGTATTTTGTACATATATAATGTATGTGTGTATGCATGTGTGTATGTGTATACATGTGATGATTATGATGAGTTCACTGTGTAGGGAAGGGATAGAGGCAAAGAAGGGGGTTGGGAAAGAGAGACCTGAGAGTATTCAGGGCAGAGAAGGAAATACGTGCAATTACGTGGAAAGAAGAAATGAAGCTCGTCCCATGTGAACCTCAAAATTCAACATCTCTGAAAACTTGACTCATCATCTACTCCTACTGTGGGATGGAAGGAGAGGAGAATAAATTTTGGACATATATTTAGAAAACAAAATCACCAGAAGACAGTGTGGCACAGTGGCAAGAGCACTGGCTATGGAATCACCCCTGACCTTGAACCCCAGCTCTGCCTCCAACCAGCTAAGTGACAGTGGGCAACTTAACCTCTTTGAGTCTCCATTTTCTTATTTGTAAGATGGGTGCAGTAATAGCAGCTATCTAACTTGGCTGCTGGAAATATGAGTCCTTACTAGACTCCACAGAGCAACCCTTTCCTGTGACCCCAGTCTCTTCACCTCTCTAGGCTCCTTGCCCCAGCAAGAGGCTCGTGCTTCACCTATCAGCTTAGGCTCCTCCCATCCTTTTTCATTTTTTTAAAGCTTCCTACGAGCTTTGACCTTTTCTAGCCTTATGTCTGTCTTTGTTTTGTTGCACATTACTTCATCTTGGATCCTTGATGGCAAATGCCTGTCAGTACTCTTCTCCAAATGATTTTCAGGGAGCCCAATCTCCATAAAGCATTAGTGGAATAGGATTACCTAAGAAAAAGTGCCCCTAGGGCCAAATAAATTTGAATAAGTATGGGTTAAAGAATATTAAGCCAGGTTATTTTACTAGGGGATTTCTCAGATGTGCTAATGTGCATTACAAGACAGGTAAATCATGTAAAGTTTTACACAAACTGAACTGACCATATGACTTTTTTAACTGAAGAATCATATGACACTAGTATTCCTCAAAACACATTTTATTAGAAGGGAGACAATGGTTCAAACAGTTACTGTATTCATTATTTGCCCCATTCCCTGCCTTTTGGGAAACCTAGTCTGGGGCTCCTGACTCTCCCCAACTGCCTCCTCACAATAGTCAACTGAGCCATAGTTGGCTGAGTTAAAAGATGTTCATTCAGTACAAGAAGACTCCAGTTAATATAGGAAAGTAATATTAAAATTATCAATGGTCATCGACAAGATCAAGATGAAGATGGTTCTACCTGATAGCGAAAACTTTAGAGTAAACTGTAGATAGAGTCAGTCTTGGGAAACAAAAGAAAAACACAAGGCGAGTCCTGACATTCCAAAAAGCAAGGAGCATTGCTACTAGTAAATGTCAGATTAAAAAAAGCTTTTCTCCAGGGTTATTTTTAAATCATTTTAAGATTCCTGTAATAGCCAAGAATTTACATCATTTTTGATAACTACATGACAACTTAATTATTCTAGCCAGAGAACTACAAATTACTAGCAGATCGTAAGTTAGGATTTTGAGTCTCATGCTTTACATTTTACAGACCTGAGAAATCTAGCTAGTGGAAATATTCCAAGTCTTTAAAACATGATTCTGGGATGAAACAAAGTGGCAATTTTTAAAATATATATTTTAAGACTGATTTTACCTCTTTTGTTGTGATTTTATGATGAGCAATTTATAAACATAAACATTAATATATTTAACATGATATAGCTAATAACCAGTTCTTCCATGCTCCTATCTAAATGCTAACATTTAGACACCATAGTAGCAGGTGTCTAGGCTTCAGATGAAACAGGGACTCAGTCCCATCAGCATCTCGGGGTTGGTAAAACTTCTATGTGTATTTGGCCTGGGGACGGGGAAGCTCACAAAGCTCTTCTCTTCTCCCAGAGATTCTCTCTTTTATTTTGCACCAAGTTTTCTAGTGGGTAGAGCCACAGGGTTTAAAAGCTCTAAAGATAAGCCTCCCTATCCATGAGCATGGAATGTTTTTCCATTTGTTTGTGTCATCTCTAATTTCTATGAGCAGTGTTTTGTAGTTCTTCTTGTAGAGATATTTCACCTAGAAATACCAAAGTTTTAGGTATTTTATTATTTGGTGGCAATTGCGAATGGGATTGCATTACTGATTTGGCTCTCAGCTGACTGTTGTTGGTGTATAAAAATGCTAGCGATTTTTGTACATTGATTTTGTATCCTCAGACTTTGCTAAAGTTGTTTATCAGCTAAAGGAGCTTTTGGGCCAAGACTATGGGTCCAAAAGGGTCTAGATATAGGAGCATGTCAACTGCAAACAGAGATAATTTGACTTCCTCTCATTCTGGGCCTAGGAATGAGCAAAGATTTCATTGCAAAGATGCCAAAGGCCATTGCAACAAAAGCAAAAAGTTGATAAATGGGACCTTATTTAAGAGCTTTTGCATAGCAAAAGAAACTATCAACAGAGTAAACAGACAACTTACAGAATGGGAGAAAATTTTTGCAAACTATGCATCAGACAAAGGTTTAATATCCAGAATCTATAAGAAACTTCAACGAATTTACAATAAAAAAAAACCCCATTAAAAAGGTGGCACAGGACATGAATAGACACTTTTTCAAAAGAAGACATATATGCAGTCAACAAGCATATGAAGAAATGCTCAACATCACTGATCATTAGAGAAACGTGAATCAAAACTACAATGAGATACCATCTCACACCAGTCAGAATGGCTATTACTAAAAAGTCAAAAAAATAACAGATGCTGGTGAGGTTGTGGAGAAAAAGGAATGCTTATACATCTACCAGATGGTGAGAACTATAATATGAAAACAAATAATATGTGGGTGGAAGTGTAAATTAGTTCAACCATTGTGGAAAAGTGTGGTGATTTCTCAAAGACCTAAAAACAGAAATAACATCTGACCCAAAAATCTCATTACTGGGTATATACCCAAAGGAATATAAATCATTCTATCATAAAGACACATGCACGCATATGTTCATTGAAGCACTATTCACAATAGCAAAAACATGGAATCAACCTAAATGCCATCAATGGTAGAGTGGATAAAGAAAATGTGGTACATATACACCATGGAATACTATGCGGCCATAAAAAAGAATGGGATCATGGCCTTTGCAAGAACATGAATGGAGCTAGAGGCCATTATCCTTAGCAAACTAATGCAGGAACAGAAAACAGCATGTTCACACTTATAAGTGGGAGCTAAACGATGAGAACACATGGACACATAGAGGGGAATAACACACACTGGGGCCTATTGGAGAGTGGAGGATGAGAGGAGGGAGAGGATCAGGAAAAATAACTAATGGGTAAAAGGCTTAATATCTGGGTAATGAAATAATCTGTACAACAAACCCCCATGACATAAGTTTCCTATATAACAAACCTGCCCATGTACCCCTGAACTTAAAATAAAAGTTAAATTAAGAAAAAAAAAAAGATAGGGCTTTCTTTCTTTCAACTCCTTTTTCTTCTCTGCTGGAGTTCTAAGCCAGAATCTGTTACAACATACAAGGGAATATATTATTTCCTCTTGTCCCTCCTTCCACCTGGCTGGGCCAGGACTAGACCCCAGTTGTAGCCCCAGTTGTGGCTGAGGGAAAGCACATTCATGTCATGTCCCTCTGTGGTGTCTTCCAGCCAGGTCCTGACAGGTGTGTGTTAGGTCAGTCTCTAATGAGAGCTCTAAGATCAGGATGTGTCCTGGGTGACATGTTAGGGGGATGGGGGAGGAGGAAGTGATGAGTGAGAGAAAGAAATCTGAACTTACAGCTTCCTTGGTCTGAAGCCATACGGTCTAAGTGGCTTACAGAAAAAGGAGGGCTCCATAAAGCAGAACCCACCTTACCAGGCCCTCTTAAAATAGGGATGAGAGTCTGAGCCACAACAAAAATTAGAATGAGACTTTCCTTTTCTCACCATTATTCCTGTACATTGACCTCCCTTAGAGATCATAGGGAAAGGGCTGGCTATGAGTAAACTCTAGATTCCATGGTCACAGTGACCTCTAATAAAAGCCTCCTTAATGACCATGGGTTGCTCAAATAGAGTTAAACAAGAATCTAAGTGCTTCTGATTTCTCTGGAGCCTAGAAACCCTACTGCAAAACAATCTAATCATCTCTCTCCACAATTAGACTATTGATATTCAAATAATACATGATATGTCTAGTGTAGTGGCTGGGGTTGGGAGGGGTCACAGAAGCCAGAAGGGAAAAATAAGTGCTCCTTAAAGAAATAAGAAGTAAGGAAAGTCTAACACAGTGGACATCACCACAGGACATGAATGTCAGAAAAAGTGGGGTTTGTAGGGACATGTGAATTCAGACTTGAACTCTTCCAGCTCACACTCACCAGAGAGCCAATGCATCCTGAGAAGGAAAAGGCTGAATGAGGCAGAAGGGGAGGACCCAACTAGTGTTCTGTGACATCTGACCTCTTTTAGAAAGAGGTCTTAGTTGCAAACAACTGAAAAGAAGTGATTGGTTTAAATAGAAAAATAGTTCATGAATGGAGTTTAAGATTCTCTAAAGGACACTTTGGGAGGCCAAGGTGGGTGGATCATGAGTTCAGGAGATCAAGACCATCCTGGCTAACATGGTGAAACCCTGTCTCTACTAAAAATACAAGAAATTAGCCAGGCGAGGTGGTGGGCACCTGTAGTCCCAGCTGCTCGGGAGGCTGAGGCAGGAGAATGGCGTGAACCTGGGGGGCAGAGCCTGCAGTGAGCAGAGATCACGCCACTGCACTCCAGCCTGGATGACAGCGAGACTCTGTCTCAAAAAAAAAAAAAAGATTCTCCAAAGGCTGGAGAAACAGGATCTGGAGGCAACCTCACTGGGAACCATGCCCAAAATCACACTGCAGAGCTCACCACTGATGCTACCACCACAGACACTGCTGCTTGCATCACCAAGACTATTGATACTGGACAATGGGCCCGGACACCACCTTAGGAACCTACAACTTCACTGCCTCTAAAAGCGGGATACAGCCTCCCTGAACCTTGCTAGAATGGATTCCATTTCTTTAGAATTCCAGCTCTGGCAAATGATTGACTGATCCCAGGGTCCATATCTGTTCCCCAGCTACTTAGTAGGAAGTAGGGTCTCAGATAGGGACCCTCTTGCCCAAACACTGGAAGAATGTCCAAAGGTGCTGATAGCCAATGAAGACTGCCCTGAGTTCATGCATTAGCTACATACTAGAAAGGGAAAGAATTTTCCAACTGGCCAATGAGCCTCAGCTAATCAGAGACTGAGACAAAATTTGAACCCAAGCATTTTGGCTCTCAAAGCTACACTTTTATGTAGTAGAGAATTCTACCAAGATAAGCAAACTTAACCTAAAATTAACAAACTTGTGAGACCTAGACAAATTTAACTCATACACAATTTAAATTTAAATTTAGAGGCATTTTAGTCCTTTATCATAGATTGCACAAAAAACCAGAATTATAGTTTATTATTTTTCTAGCTCTGGAAATACCTGTTTCATTGTTAAAGGAGAAATTAATTCCAAAATGTAGCATTGCTTATAATGACAAAAAAAAAATGAAAACACAATATGCATTGTGAAGGGAATGGATACATAAAATGTGGCATGTTGCTCCCCGGTTCCAAGATGGCCGAATAGGAACAGCTGCAGTCTACAGCTCCCAGCATGAACGATGCAGAAGATGGATGATTTCAGCATTTCCAGCTAAGGTACCGGGTTCATCTCACTGGGGTTTGTCAGACAGTAGGTGCAGGACAGTGGGTGCAGCACACCGAGCGTGAGCCAAAGCAGGGTGAGTCATCGCCTCACCTAGGAAGTGCAGGGGGTCAGGGAATTCCCTTTCTTAGCCAAGGAAAGGGGTGACAGACAGCACCTGGAAAATTGGGTCACTCTCACCCTAATACTCAGCATTTCCAACAGTCTTAGCAAACAGCACACCAGGAGATTATATCCCGCACCTGTCTCAGAGGGTCCCATGCCCACGGAGCCTCACTCATTGCTAGCACTGCAGTCTGAGATCAAACTGCAAGGTGGCAGTGAGGTTGGGGAAGGGGCACCCGCCATTGCTGAGGCTTCAGTAGGTAAACAAAGCGGCCGGGAAGTTCAAACTGGGTGGAGCCCACAGCAGCTCAAGGAGGCCTGCCTGCCTCTGTAGACTCCACCTCTGGAGGCAGGGCATAGCCGAACAAAAGGCAGCAGAAACCTCTGACAGCTTGGAAGACAGTAGCGGTTCTCCCAGCAGGATCAGCTTGAGATCTGAGAACGGACAGACTGCCTCCTCGAGTGGGTCCCTGACCCCCGAGTTGCCTAACTGGGAGGCACCCCCAGTAGGGGCAGACTGACACCTCACACAGCCGGGTACCCCTCTGAGACGAAACTTCCAGAGAACGATCAGGCAGCAACATTTGCTGTTCACCAATATTCGCTATTCTGCAGCCTCTGCTGCTGATACCCAGCCAAACAGCATCTGGAGTGGACCTCCAGCAAACTCCAACAGACCTGCAGCTGAGGGTCCTGACTGTTAGAAGGAAAACTAACAAACAGAAAGGACATCCACACCAAAACCCCATCTGTATGTCACCATCGTCAAAGACCAAAGGTAGATAAAACCACAAAGATGGGGAAATAACAGAGCAGAAAAACTGAAAATTCTAAAAATCAGAGTGCCTCTCCTCCTCCAAAGGAACGCAGCTCCTCGCCAGCAAAGGAACAAAACTGGATGGAGAATGACTCTGACGAGTTGAGAGAAGAAGGCTTCAGATGATCAAACTTCTCTGAGCTAAAGGAGGAAGTTTGAACCCATGGCAAAGAAGTTAAAAACCTTGAAAAAAGATTAGATGAATGGCTAACTAGAATAACCAATGTAGAGAAGTCCTTAAATGACCTGATGGAGCTGAAAACCATGGCACGAGAACTGCGTGACGAATGCACAAGCTTCAGTAACTGATTCGATCAAATGGAAGAAAGGGTTTCAGTGATGGAAGATCAAATGAATGAAATGAAGTGAGAAGAGAAGTTTAGAGAAAAAAGAATAAAAAGAAATGAACAAAGCCTCCAAGAAATATGGGACTATGTGAAAAGACCAAATCTACATCTGATTGGTGTACCTGAAAGTGATGGGGAGAATGGAACCAAGTTGGAAAACACTCTGCAGGATATTATCCAGGAGAACTTTCCCAACCTAGCAAGGCAGGCCAACATTCAAATTCAGGAAATACAGAGAACGCCACAAAGATACTCCTCGAGAAGAGCAACTCCAAGACACATAATTGTCAGATTCACCAAAGTTGAAATGAAGGAAAAAATGTTAAGGGCAGCCAGAGAGAAAGGTCAGGTTACTCACAAAGGGAAGCCCATCAGACCAACACCTGATCTTTCAGCAGAAACTCTACAAGCCAGAAGAGAGTGGGGACCAATATCCAACATTCTTAAAGAAAAGAATTTTCAACCCAGAATTTCATATCCAGACAAACTAAGCTTCATAAGTGAAGGAGAAATAAAATACTTTACAGACAAGCAAATGCTGAGAGATTTTGCCACCACCAGGCCTGCCCTAAAAGAGCTCCTGAAGGAAGCAATAAACATGGAAAGGAACAACCGGTACCAGCCACTGCAAAATCATGCCAAATTGTAAAGACCGTCAATGCTAGGAAGAAACTGCATCAACTAATGAGCAAAATAACCAGCTAACATCATAATGACAGGATCAAATTCACACATAACAATATTAACCTTAAATGTAAATGGGCTAAATGCTCCAATTAAAACACACAGACTGGCAAATTGGATAAAGAGTCAAGACCCATCAGTGTGCTGTATTCAGGAAACCCATCTCACATGCAGAGACAAACATAGGCTCAAAATAAAGGGATGGAGGAAGATCTACCAAGCAAATGGAAAACAAAAAAAGGCAGGGGTTGCAATCCTAGTCTCGGATAAAACAGACTTTAAACCAACAAAGATCAAAAGAGACAAAGAAGGCCATTATATAATGGTAAAGGCATCAGTTCAACAAGAAGAGCTAACTATCCTAAATATATATGCACCCAATACAGGAGCACCCAGATTCATAAAGCAAGTCCTTAGAGACCTACAAAAAGACTTAGACTCCCACACAATAATAATGGGAGACTTTAACACCCCACTGTCAACATTAGACAGATCAACAAGACAGAAAGTTAACAAGGATATCCTGGAATGGAACTCAGCTCTGCACCAAGCAGACCTAATAGACATACACAGAACTCTCCACCCCAAATCAACAGAATATACATTCTTCTCAGCACCACATTGCACTTATTCCAAAATTGACCACATAGTTGAAAATAAAGCACTTCTCAGCAAATGTAAAAGAACAGAAATTATAACAAACTGTCTCTCAGACCACAGTGCAATCAAACTAGAACTCAGGATTCAGAAACTCATTCAAAACCGCTCAACTACACGGAAACTGAACAACCTGCTCCTGAATGACTACTGGGTACATAACGAAATGAAGGCAGAAATAAAGATGTTCTTTGAAACCAACGAGAACAAAGACACAACATACCAGAATCTCTGGGACACATTCAAAGCAGTGTAGAGGGAAATTTATAGCACTAAATGCCCACAGGAGAAAGCAGCAAAGATCTAAAATTGACAGCCTAACATCACGATTAAAAGAACTAGAGAGGCAAGAGCAAACACATTCAAAAGCTAGCACAAGGCAAGAAATAACTAAGATCAGAGCAGAACTGAAGGAGATAGAGACACAAAAAAACCCTTCAAAAAATCAATGAATCCAGGAGCTGGTTTTTTGAAAAGATCAACAAAATTGATAGACCACTAAGAAGACTAATAAAGAATAAAAGAGAGAGGAATCAAATAGATGCAATAAAAAATGATAAAGGGGATATCACCACCGATCCCACAGAAATACAAACTACCATCAGAGAATACTATAAACACCTCTATGCAAATAAACTGGAAAATCTAGAAGAAATGGATAAATTCCTGGACACACACACCCTCCCAAGACAAAACGAGGAAGAAGTTGAATCTCTGAATAGACCAATAACAGGCTGTGAAATTGAGGCAATAATTAATAGCTTACCAACCAAAAAAAGTCCAGGACCAGACAGATTAACAGCCCAATTCTACCAGAAGTACAAGGAGGAGCTGGTACCATTCCTTCTGAAACTATTCCAATCAATAGGAAAAGAGGAACTCCTCCCTAACTCATTTTATGAGGCCAGCATCATCCTGATATCAAAGCCTGGCAGAGACACAACAAAAAAAAAGAGAGTTTTAGACCAATATCCTTGATGAACATCCATGCAAAAATCCTCAATAAAATACTGGCAAACCGAATCCAGCAGCATATCAAAAAGCTTATCAACCATGATCAAGTGGGCTTCATCCCTGGGATGCAAGACTGGTTCGACATATGCAAATCAATAAATGTAATCTAGCATATAAATAGAACCAACGACAAAAACCACATGATCGTCTCAATAGATGCAGAAAAGGCCTTTGACAAAATTCAACACCCCTTCATGCTAAAAACTCTCAATAAATTCAGTATTGATGGGATATATCTCAAAATAATAAGAGCTACTTATGACAAACCCACAGCCAATGTCATACTGAATGGGCAAAAACTGGAAACATTCCCTTTGAAAACTGGCACAAGACAGGGATGCCCTCTCTCACCACTCCTATTCAATGCAGTGTTGGAAGTTCTAGCCAGGGCAATCAGGCAGGAGAAAGAAATAAAGGGTATTCTATTAGGAAAAGAGGAAGTCAAATTGTCCTTGTTTGCAGATGACATGATTGTATATCTAGAAAACCCCATCATCTCAGCACAAAATCTCCTTAAGCTGATAAGCAACTTCAGCAAAGTCTCAGATCCAAAATCACTATGCAAAAATCACAAGCATTCTCATACACCAATAACAAACAAACAGAGAGTCAAATCATGAGTGAACTCCCATTCACAATTGCTTCAAAGAGAATAAAATACCTAGGAATCCAACTTACAAGGGATGTGAAGGACCTCTTCAAGGAGAACTACAAACCATTGCCCAACGAAATCAAAGAGGATACAAAAAAATGGAAGAACAGTCCATGCTCATGGGTAGGAAGAATCAATATCATGAAAATGGCCATACTGCCCAAGGTAATTTATAGATTCAATGCCATCCCCATCAAGCTACCAATGACTTTCTTCACAGAGTTGGAAAAAACTACTTTAAAGTTCATATGGAAGCAAAAAAGAGCCCACATTGCCAAGTCAATCCTGAGCCAAAGGAACAAAGCTGGAGGCATCACGCTACCTGACTTCAAACTATACTACAAGGCTACTGTACCCAAAACAGCATGGTACTGGTACCAAAACAGAGATATAGACCAATAGAACACAACAGAGCCCTCAGAAATAATGCCACATATCTACAACCATCTGATCTTTGACAAATCTGAGAAAAACAAGAAATGGGGAAAGGATTCCCTATTTAACAAATGGTGCTGGGAAAACTGGTTAGCCACATGTAGAAAGCTGAAACTGGATCCCTTCCTTACACCTTATACAAAAATTAATTCAAGATGGATTAAAGACTTAAATTTTAGACCTGAAACCATAAAAACCCTGGAAGAAAACCTAGGCAATACCTTTCAGGACATAGGCATGGGCAAGGAGTTCATGTCTAAAACACCAAAAGCAATGGCAACGAAAGCCAAAATTGACAAATGGGATCTAATTAAACTAAAGAGCTTCTGCCCAGCAAAAGAAACTACCATCAGAGTGAACGGGCAACCTACAGAATGGGAGAAAATTTTTGCAATCTACTCATCTGACAAAGGGCTAATATCCAGAATCTACAAAGAACTCAAACAAATTTACAAGAAAAACACAAACAACCCCATCAACAAGTGGGCAAAGGACATGAACAGACACTTCTCAAAAGAAGACATTTATGCAGCCAATAGACACATGAAAAAATGGTCATCATCACTGGCCATCAGAGAAATGCAAATCAAAACCACAATGAGACACCATCTCACACCAGTTAGAATGGCAATCATTAAAAAGTCAGGAAACAACAGGTGCTGGAGGGGATGTGGAGAAATAGGAACACTTTTACACTGTTGGGATTGTAAACTAGTTCAACCATTGTGGAAGTTGGTGTGGCGATTCCTCAGGGATCTAGAACTAGAAATACCATTTGACCCAGCCATCCCATTACTGGGTATATACCCAAAGGATTATAAATCATGCTGCTATAAAGACACATGCACACGTATGTTTATTGCAGCACTATTCACAATAGCAAAGACTTGGAACCAACCCAAATGTCCAACAAAGATAGACTGGATTAAGAAAATGTGGCACATATACACCATGGAATACTATGCAGCCATAAAGAATGATGAGTTCATGTCCTTTATAGGGACATGGATGAAGCTGGACACCATCATTCTCAGTAAACTATCGCAAGGACAAAAAACCAAACACTGCATGTTCTCACTCATAGGTGGGAATTGAACAATGAGAACACTTGGACACAGGAAGGGGAACATCACACACCGGGGCCTGTTGTGGGGTGGGGGGAGGGGGGAGGGATAGCATTAGGAGATATACCTAATGTACATGACGAGTTAATGGGTGCAGCACACCAACATGGCACACGTATACATATGTAACAAACCTGCACGTTGTGCACATGGGCCCTAGAACTTAAAGTATAATAAAAAAAAAAGAAAAAAAATGTGGCACGTTGTATGATGGAATACTACACTACTTATGAGGAACAAATTTTATCAGCATAAGTCAACATGGCTAGAGCTAAAAAGTATGTTCCATGACAAAGGCAAATTGTTGAACAATATGCAAGGTATAATATATTTACATCTATCTTTGAGACACACAAAACAGTATATTATAGTGTTTATGGTAAAAAAGATTCTTTGGCCAACCTTTATTCAGTCTCCTGAACCTTTTCATAAGCCCATCTGTGCACCTCTTTACAAAATTCAGTTTTAGCAAAGAACCTTGCTAAGTCAGTTTAGCAAGAATGCCCACCCTTGATATCTAACCATGCTCAATATCTGACCGAGTTCATCCTCCACTATCTCCCAGGTGGCGTCTGATCACTCTGGCCCATCTTCAGCAAGAATCCTATTAGGTCACTTTAGACAGGAAACCCCCTTACCCCTGACGTTTTCTCTTAGTAGTTTTCCATCCACTGATCCCCACTCTGCCCCTTGGCTATAAATTCCCACTTGCCCATGCTGAATTCAAAGTTGAGCCCAATCTCTCTTCCCCACTGCAAAATCCCATTGCTGTGGTCCCAATGCATGTCATGATGGTCCTGAATAAAGTCTTCCTTACCATGCTTTAACAAGTATCATTTAATATTTTTTTCTTTAACAATAGGCAGATAGATGTATAGTCAAATTACCAAAGGAAAGAAAAAGCACGAACTAGAAGAACACACACGAAATTCATGATAGTGGATGTGCTTGGGAGGGAAGGAGATGTACGGGACTGAGAAGGGGTACAAATCTGTTTTTAATACTTTATTTTTTATTAAAAGTATTTGAAGCAAATGTAATGGAATAACATTTTTTCATTCTGGATGGTGGAACATACATAAATTTTTTTCCAAATGAAAGAAGAAGGAGGAAAGAAAGAAGGAGGGAGAATATGGAAAAGGAAGAAAAGAGGGAGAAGAAATGGATTTCAGTTTTCAGATAGACAAGGGATTTGGTTTGTTCAAAGGAAATTCCTCCCAGGTGTCCTGTCTGTAACTCCTTTAAGCTCTTGCCCCCAGCTCAGCCACACAGGTCCCACCTAAGCAGAAACTCCAGCCCAAATCAATAGCCTTGGTTTTGAACAACTTAAATTCTTCCTGCTTTTGGATCTTCATTTCTTTCCTGTTCACTCTTGACTTTGTTCCATGCTACTTTTTCCTGAGAGCCTGTCATTTCCTGGCTTCCACCTGGATCTTCTTGATGAAATCCTGTTTTTCTCCTTACTTGTGCCATCTCTGTCACTTCTGCCCAGTCCCCACTCCACCCCTAACTTTTATTTACCCAGGTAGGGGTGTCCACCTTTCTCTCACCAGACAGCTTCTGGCCCTGAAAGTGAGTGGGAACCAGGTAGTAACCAAGAAAGTAGGACTGAGCTGGGGTAGAGCTTTCCTGATACTTCTCTTTAGAGCTCCCACAAATCAGTTAGGGGTGCGGGCTTTCAATTAAGAATTTCCAACACTGAAAAAAATCCATTTTAGAAAAATGTAATTATGGTATATTTGGAATTAAGATGAATTGTGTATTTGTAAACAGAGGTTATTAAATACTATGAAAGACAGGGAAATTTAAAACACCAGCTAATTTAGAATTTTCCTTTTTCAATGAAAGTATGCCTGTGTTGAGACTGATGTTACCACAATAGTACCAAGCCAAAAAAAAAAAAAGTTTTTCTGCATTTGTTACAATTGCCTGCAATTTAAAGAACAACATGGATTAAATAGGATTTTATGAGTTAGGGTGAGAAATTAGTCACTCTCTTTAAATTATTCATGGACTGGACATGGTGGCTCACATCTATAGTCCTAGCACTTTGGGAGGACAAGGTAGGAGAATCACTTGAGCCCAGGAGTTCAAGACCAGTCTGGGTAACACAGAGAGACTCCTTCTCTACAAAAAAATTTAAAATTAGCCAAGTGTGGTGGCATATGCCTGTGATCACAGTTACTTGGGAGGCTGAGGTGGGAGAATCTCTTGAGCCCAGGAATTTGAAGCTGCAGTGAGCCATGTCAGTGCCACTGCTCTCCAGCCTGGGCAACAGAGTAAGATCCTGTCTCAAAAGATAGTAATTATTATAATTTTGTGGGAAATTTATTTTTAAATTCCAAAGAAGTGAATCACCAACTAATTTGTGAATGTATTTTTAATTCCCGTCCTATGCTAGACAATAAACAAAACACACAGCACAGCCCCACTTTCTCAAGAAACTTATTTCTGTGCCAGAAAAAACCAAAATGGAAGTATTTTTCTATGAGTTTTTGAAATGAGATTGTTTGTTTGCTTTGGACATTTTAAATGAAGGCCTCCTAGATTTAATCATTTTTGGAGCAGCCAATGTGTAATGAGGGCATAGATAAGGGGTAGATGAAAAACACAAAGTATGTTCCCAGCCAAAGTAATATCTTTAAAATTTATTGTTTTCAGGCATACAATAATATAGATGGCAAATATCATACAAAATCAAGCTTAAAAATAAAATATGATAGATACTACTGAAGCCTCCGTTACCCTCTTAGATCCTATTTCCCCGTCTCCATCGTCAAAATCCATTTTAGATGGATTTATATTATCCAGAAATTGGTGTTCATCATTCCCATGCATATTTCTACAATTCTGTAATATACGTATGTTTCCATAGACATTATATGGTACTGCATTGATGGTTTTAAACTTCACACAAATAGTATTATACTGTATATATTCTCCTGCAACTTTCTTCTTCTCTTTCACATTTTGTACAATTCAGCCATGTTGATATATTCATCGTACTGTCGTATACTACTTCTACTATTGCTCCTGTTGCTGTCGTTACCACTGTTAATGGATTTTATTTTGTGCTTGACACTGTTCTAGGCATTTTAAAGTATTGTACACTGTTCTAGTATTTAATCATGTTATCCTCAAAAAATCTTTTTATCAGATAGGTACTACTGTGATCCTCATCATCAAGTGAAGAAAAATTTGGGGTTTAAGCTCAAGATCACATGATCAATAAATTAGTATGAAGACATCACAATTAATTTATGCGTCCTTATGGACATCAATGTGATTTCCAGGTATTCAGCATTACAAATGTTGAATGCTGCAGTGAGCATCCTGTATATGGCTCCCTGTGCACCTGTACAAGAATTTCTGGGAGTGTACACCTTGAAGTGAAATTGCAGCATCAGAGGAAATCCACATTCTCAACTTGACGAAATTTTTCCAAATTGTTCTAAGTGATTATTCTAATTTGCAACCCCCCACACCCACTCCTGCCCCAACAGTGTTGATTCATAAGGACCTATCACTGGGGTTTTCAGACTTAAACTTTTACCAATATGATAGTTTTACCTCACTGTGGGTTTTTTTTTTTTGCATTTTTTTATTTCTGCCTTTGTTTGTGCTGCTAATATTTAAGAGTGAGTAATTTATAAAGAACCAAAATTTATTTTCTTGTAGTTCTAGAGGCTGGAAAGTGCAAGACCAAGGTGCCAGCAGGTGTGACTGCCTGCTGAGGAACATTCTCTGCTCCCAGCGTGGCACCTTGTTGCTACATCCTCCGGAGCGGAGGAACACTGTGTCCTCACATGGTGGAAGACAGAAGGGCAAGTCCATCAAGGCCTTGTGTAAGGGTCCCTAATTCCATTCATAAGGAGAGGCACACTAATCACCTTATCACCTCTTAAAGGCCCCACTTCTTAATACCATCACATTGTAAGTTTCAATGCCTGAATTTTGGAGGGGACACATTCAAACCATAGCAATTATTCTTGAGTTTAAGCTCTTATTCCTCCATGAATTGCCTATCCATATCCTTTGCAACTTGGTTCTGTTTCTTTTTAGGAATGCTGCACATATTAAATACTAATCCTTTGTCCATCACCTACATTGTAAACACCTTCTTCCAGTCTGTGGTTTATCATGTCCCCCATCCTATCTTTTATAATACAGAACTTTTTTTAATGTAGTCAAATTTACCAATATTTTGTTTATGGTTCGGGCTTATTTTGTTTTTTTAAAAAACATATTTTCATGCTCTAACATAAATTCTTTTAAATGTCCCTTGTATCAGTTGAAGGGCAGGGCACAGTGGCTTATGCCTCCAATCCCTGCACTTTGGGAAGTTCAAGACCAAGCCTGGCCAATATAGTGAGACCCCTGTCTCTACAAAAATAAAAATAAAAAACTAGCCAGATGTGGTGGTACCTACCTGTAGTCCCAGCTACTTGGAAGGCAGAAGGCAGAGGCAGGAGGATCCCTGGAGCCAGGAGTTCAAGGCTACAGTGAGCTATGATTGTATCACTTCATTTCAGCCAGGGCAATAGCTCAAGATGCTCTCTCTTTTCCGTTTCTTTTTTTTTTTTTTTTTTTTTTTTTGAGACTGAGTTTCACTCTTGTTTCCCAGGCCGGAGTGTAGTGGCACAGTCTCGGCTCACTGCAACCTCCACCTCCTGGGTTCAAGCGACTCCTGCCTCAGCCTCCCAAGTAGCTAGGATTACAGGCACCCACCACGACGCCTGGCTAATTTTTGTATTTTTAGCAGAGACGAGGTTTCACCATGTTAGCCAGGCTGGTCACGAACTCCTGACCTCAGGTGATCTGCCCGCCTCGGCCTCCCAAAGTGCTGGGATTACAGGCATGAGCCACCGTGCCCGGCCTAAGACCCTCTCTCAAAAAAAAGAAAAGAAAAAGAAAAAGAAAGAAGAAGGCCAGGTGCGGTGGCTCATGCCTGTAATCGCAGCACTTTGGGAGTCCAAGGCGGGCAGATCACCTGAGGTCAGGGGTTCCAGACCAGCCTGGTCAACATGGTGAAGCCACATCTCTATTAAAAAATACAAAAATTAGCCGGGTGTGGTGGCGTGCACTTGTAGTTCCAGCTACTCAGGAGGCTGAGTCAAAAGAATTGCTTGAACCCAGGAGGTGGAGGTTGCAGTGAGCGGAGACCGTGCCACTGTACTCTAGCCAGGTGGTAGAGGGAGACTCCAACTCAAAAAAAAAAAAAAAAAGGAAAAAGATTTTGTTTTGGGCATCAATTTCCAATTCATGTAGGTCAATTTTTGTGCATGGTAAGATGTGGAACTCTAGTTTTACTTTTTCTCCTTGTGGTTCATCATTTTTCTATTTATCAATATTCCACTCTCCCCTCACTGATCTGTATTGCTATCTCATTTATTTCTTTTTTCTTTTTTTTTTTTTTTTTTTTAACCAAGACAGGGTCTCACTCTATCACCCAGGCTGGAGTGCAGTGGCATTATCATGGTTCACTGCAGCCTTGACCTTCCAGGCTCAAGCGATCTTTCCACCTCAGCCTCTTGAGTAACTGGTATCACAGACATATGCCATGGCATGATGCCATGCCTGGCTAATTGTGGTATTTTTTTGTAGAGACAGGGTTTTTCCATGTTGCCCAGGCTGGTCTCAACCTCCTGGGCTTAAGCAATCTTCTCCCTTCGGCCTCCCAAAGTGTTGAGATTACAGCCGTGAGGCACCGTACCTGGCCTTCTTCCATTTCTGGAGCATGTTTTCTTATGTGCATAAGCCTGTTCCTGGACTCTCTACTCTGTCCCATTATTCCATTTGTCTAGCCCTGCACTTACACCACACTGTTGAATTACTTAACTTTATTTTCAATTCTGTTATCTAATATGGCATGTCTCCTTGCTTTTTCAACTTTAACATTACTCCTGGCTCTTTTTGGCCCTTTGATCTGTCATGTGAGTTTGAGTCAGATTATTAAATTCCACAGAAAATGTTTTTTATTGTATCAATATTTATTAATTCAAGGTTTATGGTATTAATGTTATTTATTAGTTTGGCAAAAATTGAGCTTTTTATATTCCATGGGTATCTGCCTGTTTCTTATCAGGCTGTCAGTCCTGGCCCCCCAGCATATCAGGCTCTACATTCCTCTTTCAGCTATAGGGTCTTGCTCAAATTTCCCCTTTCCATTGTTTCTTTTCTTTTTTTTTTTTTCTTTTTTTTTTTTTTTTTTTTGAGATGGAGTCTCGCTCTGTGGCCCAGGCTGGAGTGCATGGAATGCAGTGGTGAGATCTTGGCTCACTGCAACCTCTGTCTCCTGGGTTCAAGATTCTCCTGCCTCAGCCTCTTGAGTAACTAGGACTATAGGCATGCACTACCACACCCGGCTAATTTTTGTATTTTTAGTAGAGACAGGGTTTCACCTTGTTAGTTAGGCTGGTCTCGAACTCCTGACCTCAAGTGATCCATCTGCCTCAGCCTCCCAAAGTGCCCTTTATTTATTTACTTATTTATAGCTCCATACACTTCTGCCTTTTTCTGGGCCCCCCAGGGATAGGTCTGGAGGAGGAGGCCAGCGGCCCTTGCTAGCCTCCTACTTGTCAAGAACCGCAAGTCTCTTGTTTATGTTTTAATTTTGAGAGCCCAGAGGCCCCAGAGAATGTCATTTATGTCACTCCAGCGAGAGATGCATGGTAATATCAAAGCTGTTTCCCCCCCCACCCCCGACAAAAAAGATAAGAATTCAACCAATGGCTGGAAAAGGGGATGCAAAAAGGATGTGAGCTGAGAGGCACAGTTTATGAGAAGAGTCCAGCACCCGGACTCTCCTCTTCAGGTTGAACCCCAAAGTTGTGGGGTTGATGGAGCTTTCTGATGAGTTTGGGGGGCCTGCAGAGCAGAGAAACTTTGTGCCTCCCTTGCCAGCTGTGGCCTTGAGGAAATGAAGAAAAGGCCCCACAGAAGCTCCAAGTACAGTCTGATTCAGCAATACCCCAGCACTGCTGAGTGTGTTGTCCAGGCAAGTGAACCGGACAGCAGCCCCACAGAGGCCCACACCAGCCAGGTGGCACAGGACAGCCTCTGGAATCATCCTTTGCTCTGACAAAGGACACAGGGAAGCCTGCAGATGAAAAGGGTCTATGACTGGGACAAAGGGGAAGCAACATCGGTGGACCAGCTGACTATAAGCCATGTGGAGCTGAAGATGTCAGCAAGGGAGCAGGGTCGACACAGTGCATGGCCAAGCTCAAGAGAGAGGTGCAGGGGCAGAGGCCAGCCCCTGCACGGGCATTCCTCCCCCAGTGTCAGAACACTTCCCAGGAACCTCAGGCCTCCCCCAAGGAGAAGGAAAGGAAAAGAGGAAATAGGAGAGTTGCCAAATGAACAGAGCAATTAGATAAAAGTATTTTTAAACCTAAAGGGACTGCATTGTATCAAATTAGCAAGCCTAAGTTTCCTACCATTAGCAACGCCTAAATGGAGTCCAGTTATAATGCTATAATGAGCCCTCGATCTTTGTGCACGGGTAAACTGAAATAGTGAATTTCATACCTGTGACAGCTTTCACTTTCATTTTTATCTTATTGGTTTAAACATTTTTGCCATTGAAACTTTCTCATTTTATCTGTTTTGTTCAGTCTATTGTTTCATTGGTCACCAACTTATTTCCTTTTTAAGCTTTTCCACTATGTTCTCTTTGTATTTTATTATTATTAGAGTTACACATATTTTCCGAGAGTAGTAAATACTATAATAGATCTGTAAGACAATTTCTTTGATCCACCAATTCTATACTTTTAAAAAGAAAATAGTGTAAAAATATTTAAAATGGAAGCTAAGCCAGGCAACTCAAGATAGATCTGTATAGCAAACTAGCAAATAAAATAGTTTGACTTATCTTTTTATAGCCAAACTTAAATATCCAACATAAAATTTAATGTACAGCAGAAGCATCTGTTATCTGAAAGTTAATATATATTGTGATATATATTATATATCACATAATGATATGTGATGTATATATCAGAAAGCAGAGTTCGTTTTAACTGAAACTTTGTACATTGCAGTCTTTTACTTTTATTTAACAGATCAGTGAAGTCCATCAGCTGGTTAGTCATAATAATTTGGTGACTGAGAACAATCTAATATGGCAAACATAGTGAATAAACTGAGTGAATAAACCCTGTTTTCTACAGCACACATCCCAACACAAGTGCTAACAAACATTTATTTCTCATCAGTCTTTAGAACTACTAATACGAACTTTCAATATTGAAGGGAAGCTCTTGGCCCTCCTGAGTAAATAGACTTAGATTGTAACCGGATAATTTAGCTTCAAAATGCATTTTACAACTTTTTTTGCCTTTCTCTTGGGGTTTCAAGACATAACCTTGAAGCAAACTGCAGAAGCCTTTTCTCTTAGCCTTAAAGTAGACTACACATCCCTCCCTTTCTCACCATATTCCCTTCACATTTACCTAACTGTATACTAGTATCTAATTATGTGCCTTCTTAGAAGTTCCAGGGGCTAATCTTGAGACACACAGGCCAAGCCTGGAGACCCACCTGCAAAATTCCAGAGATCACTTCAAGGCGGCTAATTAACAACTTGGCCATTGTTGAGATGGTGGTCCACGATCCAGGTGGGCAGGACCCAAGATAGTCACCTGAACATGACACTCTGACATTGTACTCAGCCTAATTCTTGTATGCCTTCCTTATCAAGTTTTCCCTTTTTAAACCCCCACCTTCCCCCACAAAATTGAAATGGTTGCTTTGGATAGGAATCTGGACACTTCCCATTTACTAGTTTCAGTTAATATTAATAAAGTCACTTTCTGCTAGACCTCGCTCTTGTTAATTGGACTCTGCAAGTGGTGAGCATCCATACCTGCATTCAGTTACAATTTGGTGGCTCTTACAGGAAGCACTGTGAGCTCCCAGAGCCTGGGCCTGCCGGTCTAGTTTCTGTCCGGCAGGGCACAGTGCCGCCTGTGAGCTACAGCTACTGGGCTACTGTGGCTACTGTGTCCCCTTGGCTGGAACGTTAGGAAGTTGCCCTGCAGCTGCCGAGACGCTTTTGTCTCGAGGATCCTCTTTCTCTTCCTGCTGTGGTGCCTGCTGCCTTCAATGCTTTGCTGGTGCAAAGAGAGTAACCTTTAGAGAACTCGACACATTTTGGAATTTTGGAAACTTGGAACTGGGTGAGTCTGTTGGAGTGCACCCGACCACCCTCTGCCTCCTTTAGGGTGTCGCTGTGGCTCTGCTCTATTTAGACTTGGCCGCTGATGACACCATTTGAGCACTTTATGCATTTATGTTTATTTGTGTTTTTGGCACCCTTAGGGCTTTGCTCAGTTCAGACTTATTCACCTGGGAGGCCGGCTTGAAACTGAGGCAAGGGATTTGAGACTGTACTCAGCCTCTTAACTGGTGATTTGTTTGAAGGTGCATGAATGTGTGTCCTTTGTATGTGGGCCCTGAATGATCCCTTTCTCTCTCTCTCTCTCTCTCTTTCCCCTTGTTCAAACATCATCCTCCTGATTATCTCAGAAGCCACCTACAGCCTTATTCCTCTCGGCCAAAAGCACCTTTAGCTCCCTCTGGTTGGAAACACTTCACCTTGACTGGTGACTTGCAGAGGTGGGAGGGATTTGTTCCCCACCGTTTGGTTCACTGTGGCCCAGGGCAACACTTGTGCATTAATTAAGGCTGTGTAATATAGATAGATGTAGATATAGATATAGATATAGATATAGATATAGATATAGATATAGATATAGATATAGATACCACCGTGTAGGTCTGAGGTGCTGAGTCTCTCCATGACCCCGTACCGTGTGGTGGTTGGGAGGCTCACAAGCCTCCCCTCCTTCCTTTCTCTTTCCCCTTCCCTCCTATAAAATTTGACCTTTCTTCTCTCCATTCCTGTCTTTTCTTTTTCTCTTTTCCTACTCAATCCAGGGATCCAGCATGGCAGCGGAAAAGCAGTTTCCAACATTCTGGCCCCTGATTTTGTCATCCTCTTTGGGATTCCAGCTGGTTACATATTATGGCCCATTTATGTGCACATTTTAAACTGATGGGCAAATTACAACAAGAAAAATGTAGAGCTCAAATGGTTAACCTGCACTACAGAGTTAAGTAGAGTCTTCGAAAGGTCTCTATCTTCTCTTCTTTTCTGCCTGCTTTAAATCTGCTGTTACTAAGCTGCTGGTGCTGAGATAAAACTCGTTATTTATGGTGTAACTAGAATATAAACATTGAAAACTCATTAGAAACTGAAGGAAAAAAACTGCCATAGAGACTGCTTTACCCCAAATTTTGGTTCACAGCTTTCCTTGGATTACCTATCAGGGCAAAGTTTAGCCATGGGAACAGATTCCAATTTTGTCACAAAAATAACTTGGAGCCAGCAATCCCCACAAATAACTGGAAAATTAGTTAAAGTCATGATGGGAAGCAGGGCATGGGAAGAGGGGAGAGTCAGACACGCCTCACTATACCTTCCCCAACTTTTTGGATTTTAGGCACAACTGATCATCATTAACATTAAAACAGTTCATAAGACTGATCAAACAGAACCTGTAAAGATAAAATACCAAATTATAAACAGGACCTAGGGCAATGCCAGGCAAGGGTTAAGTCACTCACTCCTACACTTAAAGAGTAAACTATGTCTCAAATGCCTCAAGATTTTTGTTTTTCTCTAGCAGCCAAACAATACCTGGCTTCAAGATAAGCCAACTGACTGACTCCTGGCCTCTATGCCACCAGCCATAACTACAGCTTTAATTAGACAAGAGACTAATCTCAGTAACTTTCCCCTAATGAAAGACTACCAACCATGGGCTAGTTTACAGAAAGTGCACACTTACATGGCTTTATGTCCTATAAAGACCTTTTGATACATAAGGCCTAAAAGTAATATATTTAAATGTAAATTCTCCACCTCAAAATAAACATGGGTCATACATGTATATTTGTTCAATACACATATGTCAGGACCATCTTTGTAAATATTCATAGTTCCTCCTGTTAAGTGTGTATATTTAGCCAACCTGTTGTCATATGCACACAAGAAATCTGGGTTCAATTGATAGTGGGAACCATGAACTATAACTAAGACTAAATGCTGTACATATTTCCTGGATAACTCCAAAAGCATATCCTCAGCCCTACAAGACATACAGGCAAACTAGTGCTATGTCTAATCCCACAATGTCTTTAAATCATATGGCTTTAGATATCCTAACTATGGCCCAGGGCAACACTTGTGCGGTAATTAAGGCTGTGTAATATAGATAGATATAGATATAGACATAGATATAGATATAGATATAGAAAGATACCAGATTCTTCTCACAATATAACTCAAGCTATTCAGGCCTTAAATACCCATATTTCTATTGGATATTATATATGCTATAGATGCTCTCTCTCAAGAGCCTGTGACAGCATGGTTTAGTCAACTTCCTAAGACATTGAAGACTCTCCTACACAGTATAATTGGCCTTCTGCTCATTGCTCTCTTTGGTTGCTATGGATTTTATTGCTGCCGTACACTTTATATGGGAATGCAGGACACGCTTTCCCCAAAAATCCTAGGTCCTCACACCATAATGCTCCAACAAATCCCTACTATGAATCCAGGGACTCAAGAATATTTCCAGCTCCTGATCAACAGATTCCATTCCAATACTCCCTAACTACACCCTTCTCAGCAGGAAGTAGCTGCTTTTCATAGAAATGGAATGGAATTTGAGAGCAGGGAATTGAAACTCAAGAGCTTAGCTTCAAACCTTTTTTAAAAATCTTTTTTGCCTCTCTCTTGGGTTTCAAGATAGAACCTTGAAGCAAACTGCAGAAGCCTTTTACCCTAGCCTAAAAATAGACCAGTGACTTTCTTCACAGAATTGGAAAAAACTACTTTAAAGTTCATATGGAACCAAAAAAGAGCCCGCATCGCCAAGTCAATCCTAAGCCAAAAGAACAAGGCTGGAGGCATCACGCTACCTGACTTCAAACTATACTACAAGGCTACAGTAACCAAAACAGCATGGTACTGGTACCAAAACAGAGATATAGATCAATGGAACAGAACAGAGCCCTCAGAAGTAATGCTGCATATCTATAACTATCTGATCTTTGACAAACCTGAGAAAAATAAGCAATGGGGAAAGGATTCCCTATTTAATAAATGGTGATGGGAAAACTGGCTAGCCATATGTAGAAAGCTGAAACTGGATCCCTTCCTTACACCTTATACAAAAATTAATTCAAGATGGATTAAAGACTTAAACGTTAGACCTAAAACCATAAAAACTCTAGAAGAAAACCTAGGCAATACCATTCAGGACATAGGCATGGGCAAGGACTTCATGTCTAAAACACCAAAAGCAATGGCAACAAAAGCCAAAATTGACAAATGGGATCTAATTAAACTAAAGAGCTTCTGCACAGCAAAAGAAACTACCATCAGAGTGAACAGGCAACCTACAAAATGGGAGAAAATTTTCTCAACCTGCTCATCTGACAAAGGGCTAATATCCAGAATCTACAATGAACTCAAACAAATTTACAACAAAAAAACAAACAACCCCATCAAAAAGTGGGCAAAGGACATGAACAGACACTTCTCAAAAGAAGACATTTATGCAGCCAAAAAACACATGAAAAAATGCTCACCATCACTGGCCATCAGAGAAATGCAAATCAAAACCACAATAAGATACCATCTCACACCAGTTAGAATGGCAATCATTAAAAAGTCAGGAAACAACAGGTGCTGGAGGGGATGTGGAGAAATAGGAACACTTTTACACTGTTGGTGGGACTGTATACTAGTTCAACCATTGTGGAAGTCAGTGTGACGATTCCTCAGGGATCTAGAACTAGAAATACCATTTGACCCAGCCATCCCATTACTGGGTATATACCCAAAGGATTATAAATCATGCTGCTATAAAGACACATGCACAGGTATGTTTATTGCGGCACTATTCACAATAGCAAAGACTTGGAACCAACCCAAATGTCCAACAATGATAGACTGGATTAAGAAAATGTGGCACATATACACCATGGAATACTATGCAGCCATTAAAAATGATGAGTTCATGTCCTTTGTAGGGACATGGAAGAAATTGGAAATCATCATTCTCAGTAAACTATCGCAAGGACAAAAAACCAAACACTGCATGTTCTCACTCATAGGTGGGAATTGAACAATGAGAACACATGGACACAGGAAGGGGAACATCACACTCTGGGGACTGTTGTGGGGTGGGGGGAGGGGGGAGGGATAGCATTAGGAGATATACCTAATGCTAAATGACGAGTTAATGGGTGCAGCACACCAGCATGGCACATGTATACATATGTAACTAACCTGCACATTGTGCACCTGTACCCTAAAACTTAAAGTATAATAATAATAAAATAAAAATAAAAAGAAGCCCAAGACCAAAAAAAAAAAAAAAATAGACTCCACGTCCCTCCCTTTCCCACCCATAGACACTCCCTTCACATTTATTTAACTGTGTACTGGTATCTAATTATGTGCCTTCTTAGAAGTTCCAGGGGCTAATCTTCAGACACACAGCCTAAGCCTGGAGACTCAGTGACACAATTCCAGAGACTACTTCAAGCTGGCTAATCAATAACTCGGCCGTTGCTGAGATGTCTCCAGATGTCTCCAGCCCACGATCCAGGTGGACTGGGACCCAAGATAGCCACCTGAACCAGACACACATTGTACTCAGCCTAATTCTTGCATGCCTTCCTTATCAAGTTTTCCTTTTTTAAACCCCTGCCTCCCCCAACCCTAAAATCAAAGCTTTGAACAGGAATCCGGTCACTTCCCCTTTCCTGGTTTCCACTAATAGTCACTTTCTTTCTACCAGAGCTCCCTCTTGTTAATTGCACTCTGTAAGTGGTGAGCAACTGCACCTGTGTTTGGTTACAAGGTGAAGCCGAAAACGTACAGTAAAAAACAGAGTAATTATATATTTAAGTTACAGTTTATGGCAAATCATATTGGAAGTATTTACTCACCATCTGCCTTATCTATCTAAATAAAGGCTAACTGTTAATCCAGCACTTTCAATGCTTTCGACTCTCAAAGACACTTGTATCAACAGCTTCCTGGAGGTTTCCTACAAGTTCCTGTTTAAAAACAATTTGCACTCTATGTTAAGTATAATTTTAATCAAGGCTGAATCAAAGATATTGGGGCATACAATAATTTATTTCCATATATACAGTCTTAAAACAGTTTACCCATACAATATTAATTTCATTAATTGTATCTCTAAATCAAAGAGTGGATTACACAAAATTGTGTATCTGCTGTCCTTTTTATTACGCATATTTAATGTTATGGTTAAGAATACCTAAACACTGATATTGTAATTCTCTTTTTTCCTTGGGAATCTGAAATTTGAATGTAAACCAAAGGAGATACAGTAGTACCAAAATGAGGAGAGTAAAAGCCCTAGAGTGCTGAATTTGAATCCAAAGTATCCATATGAATCCAGGAGGTATTTTATCATCGCTTTATAAATATAGTGTCCCAAAAGTTTTAGGGCAATATTAAGTTCTAAAATTTCAGGAAAACAAATGTTAGGAATTTATAAAACACATCCTTTAAAACAGCAGTCCCCAACCTTTTTGGCACCAGGGACCAGTTTCATGGAAGACAATTTTTCCACGGAAGGGGAGCATAGAGGGATGGTTTCAGGATGAAACTGTTTCACCTCAGACTCAGATAATCAGGCATTAGATTCTCATGAGGAGCACCCAACCTGGATCCCTCACATGCACAGTTCACAATAGGGGTCGCACTCCTATGAGAATCTAATGCTGCCACTGATCTGACAGGAGATGGGTCCACAGCCTGGGTGTTGGGGACCTCTGCTTTAAAAGCTTAAGTATTTAAATTTGTTATACTTATTTAATTTTGTGAATTTTGAATAATAAATTTGCATTCTCAATTAGGATTACTGATGAGAAAACAAAGTACCACCTGTGGCCTATCAAGGGCTTTGAATCTGAGTTGGATCAATCCTCTAAATCCAGCTGCCAGGGAAGGGAAATACCAGAGGACAGAGGAACAGGCTAAGCTTCACTGTGAGCATGCAGTTGCAAAAGCCAGACTGTGAGAAACTACATGTCAAAGGGCCTGGGTTCCTCAACAGATAAATTGTCAGGAAAAGAAAGGGACAGAGGGGAAATCTGTGGATTATGAGTTTAAAAGAAATAAACTTCAAAAATTAGCAAGTCTAAGTTACAGTAGCTAGGGATTCTGGTATGTGGGAAGCAATATAGGCAATGGAAAGCAAGATATTCCTTGCAAGTAGACACATAATTTCTGCTAACATTCTATTGACCAAAACCAGGTCACATGGCCACATCTGTCCAGCTCCAGCTGAGGCCTGTGAATATCTCTAGCTAGGTAGCCATGTGCCTTGCTAAAATGTGGAGGTTTGATTATCAAAAGAAGAGACAGTAGATAATGGTGAATACTTATTAGTCTCTGCCACTCCCTTAAAAATGGAATACACAAACTCGCACTGTGATTTCTAACTTACACTGTACAGCTTCTCTGAATTATTCTGGAACTTAAATTTGTGCTTGTCTTTACTTGTTATTCAGAAAGTATCTAGAGCCTCTCTTGATTTTCTTTATTTTCTCCCTGACAGCATCAGGAAAGTCAGAATCTCAATCAAGCCAGGGTCTAAACAGAAACTAAGACTCAAGGAAGTAGTTTGCATTGAGAGGAGAAAGGAGATATGCATAGATAGGAGACACCAGAAAGGGAAGGAGAAGGAAGGAGAAGGTTGTGCTCTGAGGACTTTCCATTCCCATGAGGCCTGGGGTGCTTCCTGCTTTGCATTCTGTGCATATCCCTTAAACTCCTTTTTTACTTAAGCATCCTCAGGTGGATTTCTGTGTCTTGCAAACAATCTTCAGGAAGTATATAGCAACCTGTTCTAACATACTTGATCCCAAGTAGAAACAGTTTTATTTCCAGCAGGATTACAGGAACATTGCCTTATTTTGTATAACAGTCTCCCCCAGGTACCCCACTTTATAATGAAAGCGAATTGGCTTAGGTTTGGATTATATCAAATAGGGCATTTTATGACTAAGTAAAAAATCTTTTCATTGTGCTATTTATAGTTACTATGGTTAAACTTCCTTTGCTGTACAGCACTTTACTTTTCTTGGAGTTAATTGCCTGTTTTTTTTCATTTTCTTTTTTTTTTATATGTACCCATTAATTCAATGATCATTAAACCCTTCAGCAGGACTCAACTGTGAATCCTTTCTTTGCCTCTTGAGACATTTTTCCCTGCAACTTTTGTCATCTTGCTCCTTTCAGGCATAGTTGCCCTAGAGGATTTCTGGGTGTTCTTCCTCCATCATTCTGGGAATTCCATTACTGTTTTCTTGTGCCAGATCACCTCTTTCTTGTATCCTATGCCTTCTTTTTGCTTTTCAACCCCTTGTGTTTTTGAGACACATCCTCTACTACCTTCTTGTAAAGGGTGCATGGCAGGTAAAGTCTTTGAAAAATTGGATGTCTAAGACATTTTATTCTGCACACCTTCTTGATCAATAGTTTGGGCAGTATTTCCCTGAATGCTGAAGTCATTTCTTCATTTGCACCTAATTTTCAGTGTTGAAGTCAAGAAGTCAAAATCTGATACAATAAAGTTAACCCTTATAATTAGCGATCTAAAATTTCATAATGATGTGCTCTGGTGTGGTCTTTTTTTAGCCGTGTTGCTGAGTACTCAGTGGGCTCTTAAATTTGAAACCTTCTATCCTAAAGTTCTGCAGAATTGTCTTGTATTCTTTCCCTGACAGTTTTTTCCACTCCATTTTTTCTGTTCTCTATTACTTTTGTGCCTATTAGACTAATGTTAGGCCTGCTGGATTGATCTTTAATTTGTTCTTTTCTCTCCTATTGTCCATCAAGTCTTCTTGCTCCACTTCCCATTTAAAGTTGATGGTATCCTCTTTCTTGCTATTTCTGAACACCCCTCTTTATATAACATCTTGATTATTTTATTATAGATAGCATTGCTCTTCTAATCTAAAGTGTTCTTCTGTTGCATTGTCTCTGCTTTCTCTGGGAGGTTTCTTCTTGATTATTTTGTTCTCTATCTTAAATGTTGAAAGATTTTCTCAAATATCTGGATGTCCCATGGATGACCGGTTATATTTAAGAGTGAGGCATTGAAAAAAAGAGAGATTGGAATCTCTATATGCTTGGGCAGAGATTGTCTAAAGGAGAGGGGCTGCTTCCCTGGAGGGTGACATGGGGGAATGCTGCTTTTATTTCAGAGGATCAACATGTGTCAGTGTTTATAGGTCTTTTCTCTTGAACCTATGCAAGATGAGATTTTGTGTTGTATTTTAGACATGAATATTTTATAAACTCCATCTCATATTTCACCTATACAACTACAAGGAGGAAATATCTGGGAAATTTACATGGTAAACATTGAAAACTTTTTAACAAGTATGGTGATAATTAGTGGCTTAATTATAACAAAACAAGACAGAAAATTCAATTTCCCATGATGAATAAAGTTTATAACACAAGTGAACACACAGCTGTCTCTACCAAATAGAATTTTCTGCAGTATACAAAGTCTCAAGATTATAAATTACAATTGTTATATTTAGATGTTACTTGTCTGGAGATTCTCTGCCCTTAGTAAGCAAATATTTAAGAGTAAGTATAATTATATTTTCAAGGGTCAGAGCATGTGTAAACAGAAAGCCAAACTTACAGAGAACTTCACCCGTTTGGCTTAGAATTTTTAACCATTGTGTCCTTGATATAATAAAATGTAAGAATCCTTTAATTATTCATGTCTCATTAACACGAGGCATATAACTCATTCCTGATTCTAAAGTACTTGTTTCAACCAAGTTCTTATTTCTCTGTTGTTGTGTTTTTTTTTTTTTTTTTAGAGACGGAGTCTCTCTCTGTCACCCAGGCTGGAGTGCAGTGGCGCGATCTCAGCTCACTGCAACCTCCACCTCCCGGGTTCAAGCAATACTCCTGCCTCAGCCTCCCAAGTAGCTGGGACGACTGGCATACACCACTACGCCCGGCTAATTTTTTGTATTTTAGTAGAGATGGGGTTTTACCGTGTTTCCCAGGCTGGTCTTGAACTCCTGAGCTCAGGCAATCCGCCCGCCTAGGCCTCCCAAATTGCTGGGATTATAGGTGTGAGCCACTGCGCCCAGTCATCTATGTTTCTTTTTACATACATGTATGCCTTGTGATCTACTCATTTCCTTTCATTTTATTCTAGGCGAAATTATTTTCAAGTTAATATATTTTTACAGGCCAGTCATTTTCTCATGGCTGGTGGGATTATGGGAAAGTGGGGTCTCGAGGTGACAAATCTGGCAGCCAACTTTTTTTGTAGCCAAGAAGAGGAGACTAGGAAGGAATCTCGCAATTCAATATACAGTCTTTCACTTCATCCGCCTGATCTCATATGGTACCTCACTCCCACTTGCTTGTTTAATTTATTCAGTATCATTATAGTGGAGTTCTGGGAGACAGCAGATATAAATTTGTGTTCCATATAGTATGTTTAATTGGAAGTCTTGATAGATTTCTTTGGAAACAGCATCTTCACTAGATTATTTGTGGGAGTAAGAAAATGATTCTTGACCATTCCATTTTTTGGAGATATCTCAAAAGTTCTATATATTGCTTCTGTTTACTTTTCATTGACAATAATTTATTCAAATGGCTAGATATAGCTGTGAAGGAGGCTGAGAAATGCCAGTCCGGTCTCAATTACACCATCTGTTGATTGGTAAATTAAACAAGATAAGGCCTGTAAAGTACTGAGAATATAACTATATAAGTAGATGTTAGGTAAATTGTAGTCATCATCTATACTTTTGTGCTTGATAATCAGCTGGATTTTTTTTTTAAGATGAAGTCTTCCTCTGTCACCCAGGCTGGAATGCAGTGGCATGATCTTGGCTCACTGCAACCTGCATGTCCTGGGTTCAAGCAATTCTCCTGCCTCAGCCTCCTGAGCAGCTGAGATTACAGGTACCACCACGCCTGGCTAATTTTTGTATTTTGAATAGAGAGGGGTTTTCACCATGTTGGCGAGGCTGGTCTCAATCTCAAGTGATCTGCCTGCCTCGATAATCAGCTAGAATTTTATTTTAGCAGATTAAAGGCCATGATTAGTAATAGTGTCACTAAAGTCCCACCTGGAGACAAACTAGTTTGATAAAACAAGTTCTATATATGCTGATCCTCTCTGGGAAGATTAATAATTTCACCCAATACTGAAAAAGTCAACCTGTAAGGAAGGTCTGGGAAAACTTCATTCTATTCCAATTGGGACCCATGCTATAAATTACTAATAGAAATTTTGCTTAATATGAATGTAAAGAAGGGCATTTTCCATAACGTTGAAGCAAAGCATCTCCCTCTAATTCTGATCCTTAGACAGACCAGGGTCAGCACCTGTTTACACCCTTTAACCAAACTCTCCCTAGACTAAGACAGAATGAGAGGGCTCTGAACTCTGTAAAACACTGTGTTAGTGATGATTTAATGCTCTTCTACAAATGCCTTTTGAGAAAGGTTCTCTCAATATTTTATACCAACAGACTTTGACAGACTGAAATCAATCCTGTTTGTCCTTCCTTAGGCAAACATGGGCCTTGTCTTTGTAATTCCAGGGTGGATAAAAACTATTAAGGAGAAACTATCATTCCATCATAAAACTTGGCAAGTATGCCTGTAAAACAGCACCCAGAGGACATACTGCTCCATGCCATGCACAGAAGCCTAACTGGGTTCTCGTTTTGCAGAGCAGCAAAGAACACTTGGTTATTGCCTCATGAGCAGTGACCAAGAAAAGGCATATCAGCACATTTTAGAGCACTACATCTGTCAGTCATGCCAAAATACTAGGTAGCTCCCGTGGCTGTCTGTCTGGTGCCTAGAATACAGCCTGGCTCAGGACTGCACATAATATTTTTTGAGTAATTATTTTAAGCTTAGAGAAACCAGGGTGCTATACCTCAGCGGTCACCCAGAAAAGGTGAAGTCTAAGACCACAAGTCTTATTTTAAGGCAAATAGAATTTTACTTTACTATTTCAAACTACTTTATTTAAAAATTAGTTTACACTGTCCTATCTCCTAAACAGAAAGACTTTTATTTAACTTTATTCATCTATTTTACATGTTTTCATTTTCTGCAAATTAATTTTGTACAGCCACTGGAAACATGAACATTGTAGTTCATTTGTTGGTCATTTGCCTTACAAAACATAACAAACTCTTTTGACTTAATTTTTCTATTGAATTGGCCTGTTTGAGGTACCGAACAGAACGGAAATTCAATCCACACTGTATTTGGTATTTTAAATCCAAAGCATTTAAAAACCTCCCATATCCTAGGAAAAGTGTGGACCAAACAGAAAAGCTCTAGAAAGACAGCCATTTAGCCAAGGCCAGAGAAGAGAGTCCTTTTCCACCCCTCTCTGAGAGTGAAGGTCACAAAGGGACTGAGCAAGATGATGTTTCCGTCCTTGTAAGGCTGTTTTGACAATAGGACTTCATTGCATTTCAAGGGTCAGTTTCACAATATATAGGTATATTGTCCTGCTTAGTCGGGGCCCACTTTTGCAAGAAAAAATACCCTGACACAGTGGCAGGAATCACCACTTGTCTGCCTGAGTTCCTGTTTCTCCTCCAGGATTCCTGAACAGGTGCAGAGGTACAGTCAAGGCAGGGAGCGAGGAGCTGACCTATTGCCACATACAAGTCTGGGATGTGATGTTTTACTGACATCAACAGTGCTTACACAAACCCCATGGCTTTGCTGGTTGTGTTCTCATAACCAAGCCCAGCATTTGTAGTGTTAACTCTGCAGCAGGATGTGAAAAACTTAACCCTTCTCCCTTTGCTATGTTTTGCTTAACCCTCGTGTGGATTTAAATATTTTTCTCAGTCCTCAGGAAACTTAATTCTCTCAGGCTTTTAGGGATGGTGAAGCATTTATGTGCTAAAAACTGGGACTCCTTTGGAGCCATCTTTTCTGAGGGGATGGTTGCATATGTGTTCCATTTGCTTGCCTTTACACCCCTACCCCCTTGCAGTTAGGCATGGTCAAGTGACTTGCTTTGGCTGATGAAATGTGAGCAGAATTGATGTGTCACTTCTGGAAGGAAGCATGTAATTGCAGGTACTCAAACTCCAGCCTGCTCTTCCCTTTCTTGGTCATTGGGACGGCATGTACTGAGAAAAGTCTCCCCCAGTCTGTGATCCTAAGTCCCTGTGATGAGCAGAGCCCCTCCTGCCAATCCATGTTAGACATGGAATGAGCAGGACATAAACCTTTGTTACTTTAAATCGCTGACATTAAAAAAAAAAAAAAACCTCTATGATAACCTAATTCATTCTAATAGAGGGCTATTAAGGGTACATTAAGGGCTACTGTGTACTTGGAGGAGGAAGTGGAATGAAGGTTTTTGTGCATGAGGGAGTAAAGAGAGAAGTGGTGGCCCCAAGGGAGAGGCTGGGGAGCACATTCGAGAGTGGGTCCAAGGGTCCTGGAATGGGCAGCTGGGCTCTGTCTCTGCAAGTGACTGCAGGTGACTTCCTCTGTCCCTGCAGGTGACTCTCTTTGGCAGTCAGTGGCTAGAGAATGCTGAGTCAAAAAGCAGGATGCTTGCAAGGGAATTATTCATGTGCCGAAGAACTCAGTAGAACCACAGAACTGACCTAGTCCAAGAAGCCTGTGCCAAAGAAGGTTCCAGGTTCAGGGGAATGCTCACTGCTAACAATTCCAGGTGCTGGACACATTCACAGGAAGATGGATTCATGGTCTGCATTAATCTGGGTCTCTAAGAAGCAGATGCTATAAGGAGATTAAGATAAGCAAGAGATTTGTTAGCACAACACCAATGAGAAAAAATGGGGAGGGAGCCGGAGCCTAAGGAGGTGGGAAGAACAATCAGGCCACAGTGAGTCCTGAGGTCTCTGAAGGAGATGGGGAAGGAAGGGAGGGAGGGAGGCCTTCGACTGTTGTGCAGCTCTAGGAAAATTTCAGCATGACTGATGAGTCTTCGAGCCAAAAATCACTCTTTAGCGGAATCCTATGTTTCTCATGTCTTAGTATCCTTGCCACAGTTACGACTGGCTGGACTAAGGCCCTAGAAAGCATGGGCTGGGCTTAATGCTGTGAGGAATTTCAGACGGCAGCACTGAGACCCTCAGTTAACAATGCTCCCGTGGTAGAAGATCTGAGAGGAGAATTTCCAAAGAAACCACACAGTTGCCACACCATCCTTTATACCACTTACAAAAGTCTAATAGGAAGAAGATTGATTATTACCCATAACATGCAGAACATTATCTTGGTGCTAATAATCCTATCATATATTTGTTTCAAGGTTTACAGCTTATCCTGGGCTTTCACATATCTCTTCTCATTTGAAATGGTCAGGGTGGCATTCCCTCCATTATAACGGTGGGAATCCTGAAGCTCCCTAGGGCATCTGACCATGCAGAGGGGAGTAGAACCAAGCACTTGGCTCTTTCACCCTTGTCCAGGGCTCAGTCCACTGTATAATAGAAACACCTGCTGACAGCCAGTGCTCCCAACATGTTGGTCATGTCTTTAAATGAAAATTAATCTTGGCCAGGCACACTGCCTCACGTATGTAATCCCAGCACTTTAGAAGGCCGAGGCGGGTGGATCACCTGAGGTCAGGAGTTTGAGAGCAGCCTGGCCAACATGGTGAAACCCGGTCTCTACTAAATATACAAAAATTAGCCGGGCGTGGGCACACACCTGTAATCCCAGCTACTTGGGAGGCTGAGGCAGGAGAATCACTTGAACCCACGAGGCAGAGGTTGCAGTGAGCTGAGCTTGCGCCATTGCACTCCAGCCTGGGCAACAAGAGTGAAACTCCATATCAAAAAAAAAAGAAAAAGAAAATTAGTGTCAGGCTACTTGCTTAATAGACTGCTCCAGAAAGAAAATACACTTCAAGAAGCCTCCTCCTTTGTTTGTTCTGTCAGTAGAGGTAGCATTTATAGGATGAGAACAAATCAAACATAAAACCAAGGGGTTAATTTGATAAGGTGAGTCTGCCCTGCTTGCTTTTGGTTAATTGCTTTTTAGGATTTTTTTCCCCCTTTTCCATGAAGCTGAAGGCCACAGTAGCTGAAGGCCTCACTGCTAAATGCCAAAACTTTTTTTTTTTTTAACTCTGTCACCAGGGCTGGAGTGCAATGATGATCATAGCTTGATCCCACGAAATCCTGGACTCAAGCAATCCTCCCACCTCAGCCTCCTGACTAGCTGGGACCACAGGTGCACACCATCATGCCCAGCTAATTTTCAAAAATTATTTTTTGTAGAGATGAGGTCCCACTATGTTGCCCAGGCTGGTCTCAAGCGATCCTCCCACCATGGCCTCCCAAAAGGCTGGGATTGCAGGTACGAGCCACCATGCCCAGCCTGAACACTGAAACTTAACCTTCACTGGCTACTTTACAGATAACACATTTATAGGTCACCAAGCGACCTATAGTGGTCGCTTCAGTTGTTGTTCAGGAACCTGAGCCAGCTCCTGTCCAGTTTAAACCAGTAGAGACCACCGACCCTTCAACTGGGTATGCCCAAGAGGTGCCTCTGATGTCAGAGGTCCAAAAACTCCAACCTCAGATCATGCTACCACCACCATTGTCTGTACATGTGTCTTATGAAATGCCATAAACCCCAACCACACTTGTGCAGAACGAACCTGTTACTTCAGTTTTTCCTACTACCAATCACATTTCCCCAAGGCTTAGATCATCCCACTTCCCTAACCCATTAATATCCCTAAGCCTTATCTTTGGGGAGGTGAATTTGAGAGCTGTTCTCCTGCCTCCTTGCTTGGTGCCCTTGTGAACAAATCTTTTCTCTTTTGCAAAACCTGTGTCACAGAGATTGATTTACTGCATGCAGGCAGAATGGACCTGGACGGTCATAAGGTTTCCCATCTACCAGGAAACTCTTTATGAGAAGAGTGTCCATGGGCTAGAGTCTCTCATTGCCAGAGCAGCCCAGTGTGGCTGCAGGATGCGGGCGGAGAGGCTTCTGGGCTGAGATATCTTCCCTGTAAATGGAGAGAAGTTCGGGGTTAGAGATGCAGATTCTGCAGGAAACCCCTCCCAAAGCCATAATACCTTTCTCAGCCTTTCAATAGGCTTGTTTATGTGGGACTAGACCAGCAGATACTTTTATTTAACATTAATGGAGGTTTTCTTCTTTCCAAAAAGAAAGAACTAAAAACAGTGAAACAGGAATTACCCAGACCATGGGAAAAATCCAAATCATAGTTCCAGCCCATGAATTGGCACAGCTCAGGAGGGAAGACGAAGATACAGACTTGTGCAAAGTTTCAGTGTCAAAGAGACCAGGCAGCCCAATAAATGAGCCATGGCAAGTGAAATGAAAATAAATATGAACGCTTCAAGTATCAAGAAGAAAGGAATACAATATGTCAATTCAAGGATTGTTGATTATATGGAAGCCATCTGAAAGCATTGATATTTTCATTGGTTATCAGAAAAACACCCAAGAACAAAGACCTTTTAAATTATGAAATTATCTCCCAGAGGAATAAAATGTGAAACATTTCCATTCCCATAGCACACTTCATCCAACTTCCTTTTAGAGTAGGATGGAAACAAATTGCACTTTAGATCTATTCATGTTTGCTTCCAACGACAGGAAAATGTTCTGGATCCATTAAACAGCACTGAACCTGACATTTATTTTATGCTTAAGAATCACTTATTCAGGGGTAGGAAATTGCTTTCCTTTCTTAGTAGAAGCAATTGCCCTGGGTAGTCAGATTGGAAATAGCAGGGTATTGGGCTGGAAAAGGGTACCCAAGTTCTAGTATTGATGACCACAACTAGGTCAGGTTGGGCAGGTCATGCAACCACCCTATTTCCTTATTTATAAAATAAGAAAGATATTAATGGTTCAAAGTGTTTTTTGCTCCCCCAATTGGCCTGGGAGCTTTGAATGAATACAGGTGACTGGGACTTCCCCCAGAACTGCTGAATCAGAATCTCTGGGAATCTAGATTTTTTAAAGATCTCCCTGGTGAAATCACCAGGTAGTCATTCTGTAGACCAGTGTTTTAGGAGCAACTAGACAAGAAGTTCAATTCCACTCCCCCACCAACAGTTCTCAAATTCTGTGATGGGGAAGAAGTAGGAAGAAGAGGGTCAGGGAGAGGCCATTCTTCTCTGCATAGAGCACCTATGCACACCTATGTTAGAAGTGCAGGGTGCAAAGTGCTGGGATGCAGGCATGAGCTACTGCATCTTGGCCAAGTGCAGTAGCTCACACCTGTAACCCCAGCACTTTGGGAGGCCGAGGCAGGTGGATCACCTGAGGCCAGGAGTTAGAGACCAGCCTGGTCACCATGGTCTCTACTAAAAATACAAAAATTAGCTGGGCATGGTGGCACGCACCTGTAATCCCAGCTACTTGGGAGGTTGAGGCAGGAGAATCACTTGAACCTGGGAGGCAGAGGTTGCAATGAGCCAAGATCGCACCAAAGCACTCCAGCCTGGGCAACAGAGTGAGACACCGTCTCAAAAAAAAAAAAAAAAGAAGAAGAAGAAGAAAAGAAAAAGAAAAGAAATGCAGAATCTTGGAGCCTACTCCAGGAACCTACTGAATTAGAATCTGTATTTTAACAAGATCCCCATGTGGTTCACAAGCACTTTAAAGTTAGACAGTCCTACTCTATTCCACGTAATCAGGAGTGCGCCTATGTACTTGCATGCCAACCAGTCATTTTCCTACCCAATCTCTGTGGCTTGGCCAACCCAGGAACATACCACAAAGGAAACATTCCCAGGTTACCTGGGAATATCAGGTGATATCACTTACTGGCTGCCATTCTCCTGAAAGCATGAGAATTTGGGACATCACCAACTCACTATAAGTCTCTTATTAAACTTGGCTTAAGTTCCCATGAAGGCAAAAGAATGATGCCAAGTGAGAGAGCTAGGCTGTGTTTGTGGGTGTGTTGTATGTGTGTGTGTGATAGAGAGAGTGATTATTATTAATAACGTTTGTGTGTGTGTGTGTGTGAGAGAGAGAGAGAAAGAGAGAGAGAGAGATTATTATTAACCAGGTAAAAATTTTCCAGAGGAATTCCAGAGGTGAGGATGACAGTCTCAGGCAGAAGGAAATTTTAAATTGTGTTTGACTATTGTTATTTAATTGGGGTAGAGGAAAATAAAATATATTGCAGCTCAAACTTTCTTTCTCAGGTGCTTGCTATCCTTACCCACATCCTGTCTTGAGAGCTCATTACCAAATAAAGAGAAAAAATATAACATCCCCACATGGAAAAATATTTATTTTTGCTTTTGGAGGAGAGAGAGCAGTCCAATTTACAAAAAGCCCCTATAGTTGGTCACTCCTCACAGAAAACCCTGCTGATCTACTTCCCAGTTTATGTAACTTCAGTGCTTTCGCAAAGCAGGAGGTGGTCAAGAAATGTGTATTAAATAAGTTCATTTGATACCTGTCTTCATAGCACTTATAACAATGATGCCTACCTCCTCTGCCAGAGAGAAAGCTTCGTCTAGTTTCTTGTCCAGTATACCCTCAGCATCTGTCGTATGGCTCACAGTTGGCTCCCAATAAAAACTTGATGGATGAATAACTAAACAAATACTTCTTCTGTATCTCACAAAACATCCAGTATACCACGAGAAAACATTTGATTGATTGATATTGATTGAAAGCAATGTTTCAGGAAATTAAAACTTTTCTGGAAACTGCAGTGCTGTAAGTCTCTGTTATTTCCCTTTTCAGCTCACCGAGTGACATTTTGCCATTTTCTCAAGCATAAAGCAGCATCAGTAATGTGTATTACTATGGGAAGAATGTTAAGAAAATTAGTGAGAATGTGAATTTAAAAAAACAACAACCATGGAGCAAAAGAAACCACAGAGCACTAAATGATAATGGTCAGTGAAGGATCATTTCCTGCTGCTCCCCATCCCATGATATATGTGCAAAAATAAACAAGGGGGAAAAGCCGTATTTTAAGACAGAATGTGAAAAAATAATGACTCAGTAGTATGATTCAAACATAATGCAAGAGGAACTGATTAAAACAAAGGAAACGAAGGTTTTCATTGGTGGACATTATTGTACAAAACTGTGCTTAAGCAAGGCTGTCTGATGAGGATGGCAGTACATTGGTTCTGACATGTGGAAAGTCCCCAAAATGTAGGTTAGCCTGCATTAAAGGTTAACGTTCATGCAAGGATAGAAGTCCCTCAAACGATCAGCTGGGTTTTGTTCCCTTCCCCTCAACAGGACAAGAGTCAAGCATGGGGTGAAGGTAGGGAAAGCCAGATATTAAAAGACACAATCTCAAAACAGGGTTTAATGTTTTTCTTTGGAAGCATTCTTCATTCCCTAGTCAGACTCAGATCAAATAAAACAAAACAAAAAAAACTTTGTTTTTGTCTGACTGGAACTCATTTTGCAATTTAAACATATGTCCTAATTTGGTTCTCAGTAGCAACGGAAAATAATAAGTTAATTTCTTCTTCATGAGGAAATTCAAGCTAATCCAAATTACAATTAAACCATTCATCTTTTCTTTATTGAATCCATTTTCTGTAACCCTTTTGCAAATTTCTGAATTAAGGTTGCATTCTGAATCCTATCTAAATCATAAAATACCAAAACATATTTAAATGTTTGTATAACTAATGACTTGGGAAAGAAGAGTAAGGAAAAGCATTACAGCATACACGATTAAAAATTATTTACAAAGTGTTAAAGTCCACAGAGGGGATTTTGCATTTGTAAGTATATTTTCCAACTAAAGATGTTAACCCTTTGTTTTTCATATATATTGCAAGTGTTTTTCTCTGTTTGTTTAACTTCCTTGTTTAACTTTCATTACATATTAAAATATTCTCTCAAACTGCAAGAAGTTAAAGCAGTATAGTCCTGACACAGGTATAGATGAATAGATCAACAGAATAGAACAGAGTCCAAAAACATCCATTTATACTATTACTACTAATAAATCATAATGGTGCCCAACACCATGAAACTAGTCAATGCCCCTGGGTGCCAATGCCGTACTTAAACTGTCTCCATGAACCCTCACCAAGGCAGGCAGAGGCAGAGTTACTCAAACGCAGACCTCTCAGACCCCCAAATATACACTCTTTATAAAAATATGCTAGAACCTTCATTTTGTATCAGCACTATTTAAAACAATTACAGAAGGCGTATTGGAACAGTCAGCTAAAAATGTGAGGAAAAGTAAAATTAGATTACTCTCTTGTATCATTAAACCTTTTTTAGGTGGACTAAAATCTGAAATGTAAAAAAAAATTAAGTACTGTATTAAATATAGAAGAGTTTTATAATCAAAGTAAATAAGGCCATTCTTAGAATGATATCAAGGTCAGACACCATAGAGGAAAACTGACCTGTTTGACAACTTAGATGAAGGAAGACACTATAAAGAAAGTTATACAAACCTAGAGAAACATTTGCAACATATGTGAAAAACAAAGAGTTAATATCCTCAGAAAATGCACTCACAAATAAATATGAAAAATATCAACATTTCAATCAAAACTGGGGAAAAGATATGAATAGACATTTCACAAAGAATGAAAATAAATTGCCAAGAAATATATAAAAATATGTCCACTTTCACTTATTAGTGTTATAAAACACAGAAAATACCCAGAGCTAGTGAGAAAGTGTGTGCAGGAATAGGCATTTTTGTACACTGCTGGTAGATGCATAAATTGATACAAAAAAGATACATTTCTTTATCCATGAAATAAAGAGGGTAGATTAAGTAATCTCTAAGATTCTTTCAAGATCTAAACTTCTAAGGATCTGTATTTCTCTGAGTTGTGTCAATGATGTATTAAAGGATGTAGCAATCAATAAAATATGTTTTTGTAGAAATAAGATATGTTTTCCTCTCCAGTGATTTACATCTATTTTGAGAATTTATATGATTTATATCATAAACCTTATTGTGCTCAACACAAATATGTACCAAGGCAAGCATATGGAAGCACTTGGGGTTTTAGAGTTGTTTTAGTCTGTTCTCACACTGCTATAAAGAACTTCCTGAGACTGGGTAATTTATAAAGGACAGAGATTTAATCGACTCACAGTTCTGTATGGCTGGGGAGGCCACAGGAAACTTACGATTGTGGTGGAAGGTGAAGAGAAGGCAGGCACCTTCTTCACAGGGTGTCTGAATACAGGAGGAACTACCAAACACTTAGAAAACCATCACATTTTGGGTCAGGGGTGGTGGCTCATGCCTGTAATCCCAGCACGTTGGGAGGCCGAGGCAGGCAGATCACCTGAGGTCAGGAGTTCGAGACCAGCCTGACCAACGTAGAGAAACCCAGACTCTACTAAAAATACAAAATTAGCCAGGCATGGTGGCACATGCCTGTGATCCCAGCTACTCGGGAGGCTGAGGCTGGGAATTGCGTGAGCCCAGGAGGCGGAGGTTGCGGTGACCTGAGATCATGCCATCGCACTCCAGCCTGGGCAACAAGAGCGAAACTCCATCTCAAAAAAAAAAAAAAAGAAAAAGAAAAGAAAACCATCAAATTTTGTGAGAACTGACTATCACAAAAACAGCATGGGGGAAATTGCCCTCATGATCCAATTACCTCCACCTGGTCTCTCCCTTGACACATGGGGATTACAGGGGGTTATAATTCAAGATGAGATTTGAGTGGGGACACAAAGCCTAACCATATCAAGAGTCAACCAGGAATTGACTCTACAGAGGAAACCAGGAATTCAACAGACAGTGACAACACCGTGTGAACATCTAGACCAGAGCTAAGCACAGGCTGTGGGGGCACATGAGACAGGCATTTAATCCAGGTTTGGTGATAAGGAGTGTCAGAAAGATTCTCCACAGGCAGCACCATGTGCAAAGGGGAGCCCCTGGAGGGCATGGGGAGTCCTAGGAGCTACTGGGATCACCAAGGCTGGAGAGGTGGACAGCTAAGAGCCCAGACAGGAAAGAAAGGTTTTATATGTCATCTTAAGAAGCTTGGATGTTATTCTTACAGTAAATGTAAACCACCACAGAAATTTAAGTAGGAAAATGACCTACTTAAATCAGATTTGCATTTGAAAAAAATCACTCTAGGAGATCCCATTTCCAGTAAGACCATACACTGAGAGAGCCAGAAAAGGTTTCACATAAAAAAACATGAAATGGGTACAAGCTTTAAAAATTAGTTCAAGACCATAATTGATACCACAGAAAAAGAAATGAAATCCTGAGACACCAAACATAGAGGGAACTGAAAATCAGAATGGTAAGTGCCTGAGCAGATGTGACACTCTCTGAATAAGAGTGGCAAGTTTTGTCCTCCTTCAAGAACTTAAACTTAACTGACACTCAATGAAGCTTGGGCCTCGGAGGAGCAGGGAGTTAAAGCAAAGACTCTGAAGAGTGACCCCTTCAGTATCTCATTCCTTCTCAGCTCCTTCAGGATGTCACTCCAGAGATGCTTCCGTCTCATGCTTACATCATCAATTTGTTTCTCCTCCTGGATCATTCCTGACAGCACGCTAATAAGCTGTTATCTTTCCCATCTCAAGAATCCTTTCTTTGATCTCAGTTCCCCTGCCAGCTAACACCCCATTAGTCAGCTCTTCTTTGCAATGAAACTCCTCGAAAAGTTGCCTATACTTAGCACCTCCAATTTCTGTCTATTGTCAAGTTTACCAGTGAGCTTCACAATACTATTGGCTAAACTGCAGACCTTATTGACATCTCACCCATTGTTCCATTCATTTTCTTTTTCTGTTCCAGAACTTTATCCAGGTCTCATATTGCATTTACTTGTTATTTTTTCTTACTCTTCTCCAATGTGTGACAGTTCTTTAGTATTTACTTGTCTTTCATGACCTTGACACTGAGATCTGGTCGGCATATGTCAAGTGAAACTTGAAAGTTTCAGGTAGAAGGCTGAATGTGTGTGTGTCTGGAACACATAAGCATATTTCAGAGGTATCAGTATCTGGAGGAGGGTTGAAACCATGGGTACAGATGGGTCACATAGGAAGGATACCGACAGCAAAATGAGAAAAGACAAGTTGCTAGAATGGAATACTGAAGAAGAGAAGCTGAGAAAGGGTGGCCAGAGAAGTAGGAAAAAAGCTATGGCGGTATCTTGACAGAATCCAGGAGATGAGAGAACATTAAGAAGTAAACTTGCGGCCGGGTGCGGTGGCTCACGCCTGTAATCCCAGCACTTTGGGAGGCCGGGGCGGGTGGATCACGAAGTCAGGAGATCGAGACCATCCTGGCTAACACAATGAAACCCTGTCTCTACTAAAAATACAAAAAATTAGCCGGGCATGGTGGCGGGTGCCTGTGGTCCCAGCTACTCGGGAGGCTGAGGCAGGAGAATGGTCTGAACCCGGAGGTGGAGCTTGCAGTGAGCCGAGATTGCACCACTGCACTCCAGCCTGGGCGACAGAGTGAGACTCCATCTCCAAAAAAAAAGAAAAAAACAGCAACAGTGACAAATATTAGCAAAGTGAAATCCTCCCTGTTAAAGCCATATAGGCAAATAATCAAGATCAATCTATTCTTGTTGCATATGGTAACTTCAAGTCAGTAAGATTTTACCCTGACAAATCCATTTCTTGTTTGTACACTCATTGATATAGTATGGACATTTGTCTCCTCCAAATCTTGTGTTGAAATGTGATCCCCAATATTGCAGGTGGGGCCTAATGGGAGGTGTTTGGGTCATAGAGGCAGAGTCCTCATGTATGCTTTGATGTAATTAGTGAGTTCTCTATTAGCTTTCATGAGAGCTGATTGTTGAAAAGAGCTTGGCACCTCCTTGCCTTCTGTCTTGCTCCCTCTCTCCCTTTGTGACACAGGGGCTCCCTTTTGTCTTCCACCATGAATAGAAGTGGTCTGAGACCCTCACAAGAAGCAGATGCTGGCGCCATGCTTCTTACACAGCCTGCAGAACCATGAGCCAAATAAACTTTTGTTTACAAATTACCAGCCCCAGGTATTCCTTTATAGCAACACAAATGGACTAATACATTCATATTCAGTGAAGACTGACTGTGTGCAGGACCTGTCCCAGCGTCTCTCTTCCCTTCTCTTCTCCTATTGAGACAAATCCAAACTCTCTCTTGGTTGTTTCCTGAGCTTCCAGAAACAAGCATGGACTCAACACATAAACTTATCTTTTGTACTTGGTTAATTCCTAAATCCCCTGGGCTTCCCATTCCATTACTGTGTATGTTAAAGTCAAATAGTTTTTCTGAGATTATAACCTTCAGTTTCCTGTATATTATCCTCAGTGTTTTGTAATCATTAAAAACATATTTAAAAATCCATGTGCTCATTCTTTTGCTTTTCCCATATAATCTTGTTTCACAATTCTCTAAGTCAACTCTGTTCGGTACTCTCTTGGGATCATCTATATACTTTGTAATGACATTTCCACTGAATCTAATCTAATGCTTTCCTCCCTGGATTAGCACACATGGTCCCAAAGTTCCTTCACTATATTCCTGCATTAATGGCCACCTACTATTAAACGCTACTAGTTGTTCTTTTTTCCATCAAGGAACTTAAATCTTGTAAGAAAGATAAATCATCAAATTAAACAATTATAACACAATGCAGAATATGCCAGAAAAATGAGCAAAAAGACTGAGACTTTACTGGAGAAAAAAATCACCTTTGGCTTGAGTGACCTGAGAGGGCTTCATGGAAAAGGTGGCATTTAAGTGTGGTCTTAAGTGGAGAGGCCGAGTGCAGTGGCTCATGCCAGCAATCCCAGCACTTTTGGAGGCCAAGGCAGGAGGATTGTTTGAGCCCAGGAGTTTGAGACCAGCCTAGGCATCATTAGTGAGACCCCATCTCTACAAAAGGAATTTTAAAAATTAGCTAGACTTAGTGGCACATGCCTATGGTCCCAGCTACTTGGGAGACTGAGGTGGGAGGATTGCTTGAGTCCAGTATTTCACGGCCACAGTGAGCAGTGATCACACCACTGTACTCCAGCCAGGGTAACAGGGCAAGACCCTGTCTCAACAACAACAACAAAAAAAAAAGAAGAAGAAGAAGAAGAAGATGTAGAAGGATTACGATAGGTGAGGTGTAGGTGAAGATGGAAGGATGGAAGAGTGATGGAGGGGCAATGGTGCGAGCAAGAGCAGCAAGGCAGGAAAGCACAGAGAAAGTCCAGGAAGCTATGTGTAGGTGTGGTGGAAGACAATATATCAGAGACAAGAAGAGGGAGAAAATACTTGTAGCCAACTCTGAGCTCTTATTATAAGCCTGGCAACCCACAAAGTGCTTTGTGTTCATTCATCATGCCATTGAATCCTCACAAAACCCAAAGGGCATATATCATTCCCTTTCCATTTAACAGGTGAGGAAACCAAGGTACAGCAGGATAAAGTGACTGGTCTAACATGGCCCAAATAGGAAGTGGCTGAGCCAGGATTTGGACACGGTAAGTGATTTCAGAGCTGTTGTACACTGTGCAGTGTGGCCAGAGAAGTCAGGGGATTGAGTGAACATGGGGCCCAGATCCAGGGAAGCACTGAGTAGTCACGGATATGAAGAGAGGAAAGAGTTTCAAGAAGGCAGAGATTGTTTGTAGTCATAAATCTCTGCAAGAATCCACGGCCCAGGACATAGAAAAGCCTTTGAGGGATGAGTAGTTGGCTACTGGAGACCTTCTGGAGAGCACTTTCAGCAAAGCAGTGGTGAAGAAGCCCAACCCCAGAGGGTTAAACAGGGAGAGGGTGGGAGAATGGGGTGTGGTGACCAGAAAACCACCTTATCAAGAAGAAAGAGGACAGTAGTGAGAAAAGAGGGATAAACTTATAATTCTTTTTTCAGGCTAATGATACTTGGGCTCATTTAGACGTAGAGGATAAGTTAGTGGAAATTGTTAGAGAAAAAAGATAGCTGAAGTGACAAAGTCCTTTTTGAGGTGGGAGGTAAAGTTATCAAAGATGTGAGAAAGGCTCAGAGCACCACAGAGAGGAAGGAAGTCAAGGGGAAGGGAAGGGAGGGCCTGTGAAGATGTATTGTGAGGTCGTGAGGCACAGGCTGAAGAAGTCTACTTTTGATGACCAAAATCTCCCATAAAGAAGGAAGCCATTGCCAGTGCTGAAAGTAGTAGGTTCAGCTGGAGGTGGAGATTTAAGGATTGTAGTAATCATTCACAAAAACCTGCAGAAAGTCAACAAAAGTTGTGTTGGGTCTGGCCTGGTATAACCAAATGGAGCAGGCTCACACCTCTTTATTCAGCTGTGATGCCAGTCCCTGGAGAGCACACCAAGCAACACACTCACCTTGTGTGTGCTGCTTTCCAGAACCAGCCACCTGCACCACAGACAAGGGAAATGAATACCCAGGTGAGATGGAGCAGGGCAGAGAACAAGAAATCTCAACAAGATACAGCACATCCATTAAGGAAGAACAAAACATTATGAGAGAGACAGTTTTCAGAGTTAGATGCCCTTTCTCATTTATATGAAAATCTGTATTTCATATTTCAGTATGTCCAATTAAAAATGCATAATTAAGACCCAGGCATGGTGGCTCATGCCTGTAATCCCAGCACTTTGGGAGGCCAAGGCAGGTGGATCACTTGAGATCAGGAGTTTGAGACCAGCCCAGACAATACGGTGAAACCGAGTCTCTACTAAAAATACAAAAAAATTAGCCGGGCATGGTGCCACACACCTGTAGTCCCACCTACTCAGGAGGCTGAGGCACGAGAATAGCTTGAACCTGGGAAGTGGAGGTTGCAGAGAGCTGAGATCACGCCACTGCACTCCAGCCTGAGTAAGAGTGAGACTCGGTCTAAAAAGAAGAAAAAGCATAATTAAGTATTCGTATTGAATATTTAAAGTATATGTGATATTTAAGTATGTCTAATTGAAAATTCCTAATTACTCTAAAAGGATATGAACTTTAACAAATGTGCAAGTACACATGCTGGAAGCTACCTATAAATGTCTCCTGAAAATAAACAGTTGAAAAATGCAATATAGGCATCAGCACCTTTCTCTTTTTGTTTCATATCATTTAACCTAATGTGCTAATTCATGGAAAATATTATGTAATTGCAAAGTTGTTTGGGGTTAAATCAAGTTGTGCCTCTTTTAGTCAAAACTTACTGCAAGACTTATTTTTAATTTTTTTGCTGTTAATTTGGGGCCTAAGTACCTATTAAAAATGTGATTTAAATAAGTTAAAAAGCATTTTAAACAGGTTTATGTCTATTGTGGGGTCCAGCTTAAAGAACCACATTAGATGACTTAGTCTTAGTCTTATTTTTATTTTTAGCTTTAGCAGAGGTTCTAATGATTTGCTAAATCTTCTACTCTCTTTGTTTTCATCATCTTGAAACCAAGAAACTTTATAAATGTTTACTGAACATATATGTGGAATTTTGGAGAAAACTTGGCTAAGTCACTCTTTGGATAGCCCCTACTCCCTATCCTGGCTTCTTTGTCTTGACACTTGCCATTCAGTCCTGTTCTGAATTATTTAGACATCTAAACATCTTGGGACAGTGATTTTTTTTTACAAAATTATTAAAGTAGACTTTATTCATCATGACGCCTCTCCCACGTCTTTTTGATGAACTGATGCTTCTCTTTTCAATTACTTTGCCTTATAAGCTTCTTGGAATTTCAAAACTATAAGTTTTGGGAAGCCATAGGCAATGCTTGAGGTTACCATAAGAGATCTACACATTTCCATTTCCATTTTCCCCGAAAACAACAGTAATGGGAAGAGGTGAAAACCAGGCATCTGCTAGTCCATACATACAACCTTATGTGAGGTGAAAGCACACCCTTTTCTATGGGAAGATGCAGCTCACCATGGGGATCATGGCTTAGGGAGCAGAGTTATTGGCGTGATTTCAGCCCCCACTCACTCCCTCAGACCATGATAGCTTTGTAGAGATTACAAGCCAGCCTCTAGTCAGCTCAGACTCTAAAGGGTCCAAAACAAAATTCCTCAGGTTATAATGGGGTTCAGGAAGAAACTATGAACAATTCCAACCATAACACTCAAAGGGAACTGATACTTTGAATAAACAACCAGACACAGGCAAAGCATGTCAGTCTCAAAGCAATCAGCTTCTCCTTCAATTCATTTACTAAGTTGTGCTTGTTTGAAACTCATGTTTTTAATTTCAGAAAATTTTTTTGAGCTACACTTGAATTGCCTTAAGGGCCTTTATTATTTTTGTTAGTTCAAATTACAACCAGTCCCATTCCATGGCTCTGGTGTGTTAGAGCCTGTTTTAGTAGTTCTTCCTCTCCACTGATGCTTGGCTCTTTGGGTTTGTTATTTCTCTTGGTGCTGCTCATAGAGACTCACTTTACGTATATTGCCTAGCAATCTGTGACGTTTTATAGCAGGCGCTTCCAGGAGGAACTTATTCTCTGCTCCCTGGTTTTCTCTTGCTCTCCCATGTTAGCAAGGTCTCATGCTTCTTCATTTCCTAAGGACCCAAAGAGTCTGGTGATGTTTCCCACAGCTGATGTTGCTCTTCCCTCAAGGGTCAAGGATTCCTTAAGCCAAACAATCCCAGCCATAAACACTCATGGTTCCTTACTCAAGGTTCTCCTACCGTTGTCTTCAAGCTCTCATTTGGACCATAGAGAAGGGAGCCCAGCTACACCTTGGTTTTGAAAATGATGAACTATCATTGTCATTATTGTTGTTGTTGTTTCCATTTTACAATGAACTCATTTTAAACCACAGATCCATTATTTCAATGGCTCAATCTTTTTCATTGTGGACCCCAAAGTACACATTTAACAAAGAATTCTTCACTGACCTTTCATTATTACATTTACCACTGATAGATGTGGTGAAGTCGGTACACCAAACATAAGATCTGCAAAATACATCTACTCAGAATATGAGTATGGAATTAACTATTGCCTTAATGGTTCTATTGGATTCTGTGGGTCTACATCACTACAATGTGCCATGTGGTAAAACAATTCTCCCACAGCTTTTCTTTGTTGGAACAAGGGTCCAACATTTCTTCTTATACTGTGCCATGACATCATAGGACCTTGGCACCAATGTGATTGTGAAGAGAAGCCCATGGGAACAGTAGTAGGTCACATTGACTACATGAGCCAGAAGAGATTTATGTACATGTTTAAAATTATTTAAATGAATAACATTAAAACTTCTTATGGAACTTGTTCATCTTTGGGATATGGGGGTCCAAGTTTGAGAAACTTGCAGTAAAGATTGCCCCTAAATGGTCTCTAGCCATGAGTCTCAGAGCCTACACTCAAAAGCCTTCCTAGTTTTAGAGTAGTTTGCATTCTTTAGAAGAAAAAAATATTTTTTATATACCCATGTGAAATGCTACCAGATTCAGTTCTGTTTTTAGATGTTTGCAGTTGACTTTATGGGATTTTCTTTTTTTATCAGCATTTTTCCTGGAGAAAAAAAAAATTGAATTGATACGCTAACTCATAACTTTCTTTTCTCAGTATCTTGAAAATATTAACTACCTATCTCCTACGCAAATTCTTAAGTACAAGCCTTTCACAAAGGCTCTAGAATTCAATTTTTTAAAGAGTTGTAATTCTTTTCCTTTTTTTGTTTTTTTTTCCTCCCATTCCCCCATCTCCTCACTGCTGACTGAAGTTTCAAACCTTGGGAAACCTCATTTGGAAAGACAAAAGAGCAGGAGGGAGCCTTCACTTACTTGTGGTTTGCAAATACTTTGCTTTTAATCTCATTGTAAATGCACATAAATAGATTCCTAATTTTCTTAGTTTCACTGTACCTAGTACATGATTGGTATGTGCTTCTATCCAGTGAGAAGCAGCTTAATTTTTTTCAAATCTGTAATAACTTTAGTTCATTTACATTTAATGGTATTCATGATATCTTTGTATATATATCTACCATCTTACTATTTTAATTGATCCCACTTGTTTTGTGTTTTTCCTTCTTTTGAATTTACTAAATATGTTACTGCATTTTCTACTTTATTATTATGTATTCTTTTACTATTACTTAGCAGTTACTCTACAGATTACAACATGCATTCTTTATTACTACATTGCATATATTAATATTTTAATCACCTCCTAGGCAATGCTAAAACCTTAAAACATCTTAACTCCATTCACTACCTATCCCCACCCAGAGCCTTTTGTGTTACTGTTGTTATGCATTTTAGTTTAACATATTTTTAAACTACACGAGACATGATTACTATCATTGTGTAGAGTGTACATTCATTTGGATTTATCCACATTTACTCTTTCTTTCCTGCATCTCTGTTTTTCCATCTGGGATCGTTTTCATTATGCCTGAGGAATTCCTGCTAGTATTCTTTTCAGTGTGAATCTTCTGGTACAGAATTATTTTAGCTTTTATTTGCTGGAAAATGTTCTTGTGTTTTCTTTTACTGGAAGAACATTTTCACTAGGTATAGAACTCCAGGCTGGGCGTGGTGGCTCACGCCTGTAATCCCACCACTTTGGGAGGCCAAGGCAGGTGGATCACCTGAGGTCAGGAGTTCGAGGCCAGCCCAGCCAACATGGTGAAACCTCATCTCTACTAAAAATACAAAAATTAGCCTGGCATGGTGGCACATGCTTGTAATCCCAGCTACTCAGGAGGCTGAGGCAGAAGAATTGCTTGAACCCGGGAGGCAGAGGTTGCAGTGAATCGAGATTGCACCATTGCACTCCAGCCTGGGCAGCAAGAGCGAAACTCTGCCTCAAAAAAAAAAAAAAGAACTCCAGGTTGGCACCCGGGGGTATTTCTCAAACCCCTGTCCTCACTCCCAGGATTTAAAAAACTTGCATTCGCTGGCAAATTTCTTTCCAGCAGACATCGGCACACTACTGCTCAGGCAGCTCTGCTGTCTATTTCCCCGCTATGGTGTCAGAAATACAGGTGCAAGACCCAGGAAGACTTTGCTTCAGGTTCTCTGACTTTCCCCTGGCTCCATCCCAAAGGCTCTTCCCAGGCTTTCATATACTTCACCTCCCTCTTCTCTTCACTACTTTCCCATTAATCTTCAGTACTGGTGACTTGCAATCCACATATACATTATTCAACAGTTTCTAATTGTTGGAAAGGTTTTGAGAAGTAAATGGGTATGTACTTAATTTTTGTGAAAAGAAATTCAAGGTTAAGAAGGGCTTGCTATATTTCAGACTAGATAACTGTATGAGTATTAAGTAATCTGACTTTCCATCTGATTACTAACTTGATTTGTCAGGGGAAGAAATGCTAGCTAGCTGCTAAAACAAACAAACTATTTATCTCAGAAGCCTAGCCCAATAGAATTTTACTTTGTACTCTTAGAGAGTTCATCTGGGTTTCCAGCGGGCAGCCTTCCATGTGGAAATCAGGAATGCTGCCTTCTTTAATCCCTGTACCTCTGAGGCCTCCTCTGCATTTAGCCAGCAGGAGAAAGAAGAGTGTAATTGGAGGCTTATGCAAGGCTGCTTTTCACAGGCTGAGCATCTAAGCGGTGCACATCAGTCTCACCCACATGCACGGGCCAGGACTCAGTCCATGGCCCCACCCAACTTTAAGAGAGGCCAGGAAATGTCATCAAGCTATGTGCCCAGGAAAAGGAAGAAACTGGTCTAGCAAGGAGTTAGTCTCTATCATAGTAATTAATAAGAATTCAATTTAAAATCATTGACTTTTTCCAAACCCAGCTCAAGAAGAATTATTTAATGTACACTTAATTTGTGCTCAAAATAACTCAGATATGATAAAAATTAACATAAACACTAAAGTGTAATTTATTCCTGTTAGTGGTGCTTTTTTTCTCCTTAACATTCATAAAAATAATAAAACTAATGGCTTTTAAATATTCCATGATAGACCGTAGAATTTTCACTAGTGTGGATCATTATTCCAAAATCTACTACATGTAGCATTAGGAGCAGCATAACCCCTGGTCTGTCCCAAGGGTTATTTTTCCATTCCCACCTTGAGGTCACGAGAAGTTAAAGGAACTGTGCTAAGGGACACTCATACTCACTGCAGTTGTACTGTCAGCTGTTCTTGGCCAACTGCCATCACCACCACCATCACCACCACTCTGACACCGCCTAACGATGCCTAAGAGCCTTCCTCACATTGGCTGCTCCATTCTTCTCCTAATTCTTCATACCCCTGACATTCCTTATTTTTAAGACAAACTCATCTCTTCTTCTTTGCCATTTCTGTTCAGTGACCATCTCTCCTCTTTTTATGAAGGTAGGGACCATATGTTTCCATGTTCACAGCTCTATCTCCAGTAATATCTGGTGGATTAACAAATGAGGCTATGTGGGATCAGCCAAAAAGTGAGGTACATGATGTACCTCACTTTTGTACCTCTCTTTTCACCTCAAAACATCTGTCTCTATATATACCATTTTCACATTCATAACTCCTGTCATGGAGATATGGAAATGATCTTTACTTTCTTTCTATGGCTTATCTTTTTTTTTTTTTTTTTTGAGATGGAATTTTGCTCTTGTCACCCAGGCTGGAGTGCAATGGTGCAATCTCGGCTCACTGCAACCTCCGCCTCCCAGGTTCAAGCAATTCTCCTGTCTCAGCCTCCTGAGTAGCTGGGATTACAGGTGCCTGCCACTACACCCAGCTAATTTTTCGTATTTTTAGTAGAGACGGGGTTTCACCATGTTGCCCAGGCTGGTCTCGAACTCCTGACCTCAGGTGATCTGCCCGCCTCGGCCTCCCAAAGTTCTGGGATTATAGGCGTGAGCCACTGCGCCCAGCCTTATCTCTTTAATATCATGTCCCATCCTAATATCTCTCAGCCTTCCTCCCTCAATCATCTCCTCTTTCTCTTTATGCTCTCCTTTTCCACTGGTTTTTCTTTTTTTTTTTCATCTAAAACAAGTCTGTTTGAAAAGCAAAGTACTTTCACAATATACTGTCAGTTCAGCCTTTTTGCTTCTAGAACACAAAGGACATAAAGTGCACAAGTATCTAAAAAAGTGCCTGGCTCAGAAAGCACATCAGTAGGTCTTTCATTTCACAGATTAGAAAACTGAAGCTCAGAGATTACAACTATATCCCCATAATCAAAAAGCAGTAATTTATATACAGCCAAGTCTCTCTACCAAATCACAAGACTCACCCAAGAAAAACTAAATGACACATTAATTGTTTAGTTTCTCAAACAAAAGTTGATGCACTCTCTGAATAGACCAATAACAGGAGCTGAAATTGTGGCAATAATCAATAGTTTACCAACCAAAAAGAGTCCAGGACCAGATGGATTCACAGCCGAATTCTACCAGAGGTACAAGGAGGAACTGGTACCATTCCTTCTGAAACTATTCCAATCAATAGAAAAAGAGGGAATCCTCCCTAACTCATTTTATGAGGCCAGCATCATTCTGATACCAAAGCCGGGCAGAGACACAACGAAAAAAGAGAATTATAGACCAATATCCTTGATGAACATTGATGCAAAAATCCTCAATAAAATACTGGCAAACCGAATCCAGCAGCACATCAAAAAGCTTATCCACCATGATCAAGTGGGCTTCATCCCTGGGATGCAAGGCTGGTTCAATATACGCAAATCAATAAATGTAATCCAGCATATAAACAGAGCCAAAGACAAAAACCACATGATGATCTCAATAGATGCAGAAAAAGCCTTTGACAAAATTCAACAACCTTCATGCTAAAAACTCTCAATAAATTAGGTATTGATGGGACGTATTTCAAAATGATAAGAGCTATCTATGACAAACCCACAGCCAATATCATACTGAATGGGCAAAAACTGGAAGCATTCCCTTTGAAAACTGGCACAAGACAAGGATGCCCTCTCTCACCACTCCTATTCAACATAGTGTTGGAAGTTCTGGCCAGGGCAATTAGGCAGGAGAAGGAAATAAAGGGTATTCAATTAGGAAAAGAGGAAGTCAAATTGTCCCTGTTTGCAGACGACATGATTGTATATCTAGAAAACCCCATTGTCTCAGCCCAAAATCTCCTTAAGCTGATAAGCAACTTCAGCAAAGTCTCAGGATACAAAATCAATGTGCAAAAATCACAAGTATTCTTATACACCAACAACAGACAAACAGAGAGCCAAATCATGAGTGAACTCCCATTCACAATTGCTTCAAAGAGAATAAAATACCTAGGAATCCAACTTACAAGGGATGTGAAGGACCTCTTCAAGGAGAACTACAAACCACTGCTCAAAGAAATAAAAGAGGATACAAACAAATGGAAGAACATTCCATGCTCATGGGTAGGAAGAATCAATATTGTGAAAATGGCCATACTGCCCAAGGTAATTTATAGATTCAATGCCATCCCCATCAAGCTACCAATGACTTTCTTCACAGAATTGGAAAAAACTACTTTAAAGTTCATATGGAACCAAAAAAGAGCCCGCATCGCCAAGTCAATCCTAAGCCAAAAGAACAAAGCTGGAGGCATCACACTACCTGACTTCAAACTATACTACAAGGCTACAGTAACCAAAACAGCATGGTACTGGTACCAAAACAGAGATATAGATCAATGGAACAGAACAGAGCCCTCAGAAATAATGCCGCATACCTACAACTATCTGATCTTTGACAAACCTGAGAAAAACAAGCAATGGGGAAAGGATTCCCTATTTAATAAATGGTGCTGGGAAAACTGGCTAGCCATATGTAGAAAGCTGAAACTGGATCCCTTCCTTACACCTTATACAAAAATCAATTCAAGATGGATTAAAGATTTAAACGTTAGACCTAAAACCATAAAAACCCTAGAAGAAAACCTAGGCATTACCATTCAGGACATAGGCATGGGCAAGGACTTCATGTCCAAAACACCAAAAGCAATGGCAACAAAAGAAAAAAATTGACAAATGGGATCTAATTAAAATAAAGAGCTTCTGCACAGCAAAAGAAACTACCATCAGAGTGAACAGGCAACCTACAAAATGGGAGAAAATTTTTGCAACCTACTCATCTGACAAAGGGCTAATATCCAGAATCTACAATGAACTCAAACAAATTTACAAGAAAAAAACAAACAACCCCATCAAAAAGTGGGTGAAGGACATGAACAGACACTTCTCAAAAGAAGACATTTATGCAGCCAAAAAACACATGAAAAAATGCTCATCATCACTGGCCATCAGAGAAATGCAAATCAAAACCACAATGAGATACCATCTCACACCAGTTAGAATGGCAATCATTAAAAAGTCAGGAAACAACAGGTGCTGGAGAGGATGTGGAGAAACAGGAACATTTTTACACTGTTGGTGGGACTGTAAACTAGTTCAACCATTGTGGAAGTCAGTGTGGCGATTCCTCAGGGATCTAGAACTAGAAATACCATTTGACCCAGCCATCCCATTACTGGGTATATACCCAAATGACTATAAATCATGCTGCTATAAAGACACATGCACAGGTATGTTTATTGTGGCATTATTCACAATAGCAAAGACTTGGAACCAACCCAAATGTCCAACAATGATAGACTGGATTAAGAAAATGTGGCACATATACACCGTGGAATACTATGCAGCCATAAAAAATGATGAGTTCACGTCCTTTGTAGGGACATGGATGAAATTGGAAATCATCATTCTCAGTAAACTATCGCAAGAACAAAAAACCAAACACCGCATATTCTCACTCATAGGTGGGAATTGAACAATGAGATCACATGGACACAGGAAGGGGAATATCACACTCTGGGGACTGTTGTGGGGTGGGGGGAGGGGGGAGGGATAGCATTGGGAGATATACCTAATGCTAGATGACGAGTTAGTGGGTGCAGCGCACCAGCGTATACATATGTAACTAACCTGCACAATGTGCACATGTACCCTAAAACTTAAAGTATAAAAAAAAAAAAAAAAGTTGATGCACACGGTACAGCCACTTCTTTTAAAAAGTTTGGCAGTTCTTTTGAGAGCTAAACATACACCTAACATGTGATACAACCATTTCACTCCTAGCTTAGCCAAAAGAAATGAAAGCACATGTCTGTATATTTCTGTAAAGACTTGTACAAAAATGCTCACAGTAGCTTTATTGTTAATAGGCAAAACTTATGAAGTTCAATATAGGTCAATAAAATTGTCTTTTTAAAAGTTCATGCACATACTTGATATTTGATAGAATTTCTTTCTCAATTGGTTTCAACCAAGTAAAAAGCTGCTTTTCACTTTTACTCAATAGAAGATGTTAAAAAACTTAACACAGCTCCTTCAGTAAATGTCTTCAGGTCATTGAAGGTCATCCCAGGTGACCCAATTGGTGTTTCCTTGCAACATTCTGATAAAAACTTCAACGTTACTGGAAGACATCTGGAGAGCTTCTTCTGCCTTTGTAATCATGGAGTCTGAGAAGTCCAATATACTGACACACTGGAGAATGAGGAAAGCCACTGGTGTATTTCAATGCAAGTTCCAAGGCCTGAGAACCAGGGATAATGGGTGAGTGGGGGTGGGGGGCAATTGGAGAAAGTTCTGGAATTCAAAGGTCCAAGAACCAAGAGTTCCAATGTTGGATGTCCCATGGGAGCGCTACTGTTTTTTCTTTGTTAGCCCTCAAAATATGAAGCTTTTGACCAATTTTTAAAAGATTCATTTTATCCCTCTGCTTCTCAAGCTTTTAATTTCTTTTACACCAAAATTACATTGCTCCCTCCAGTGACACATAACCCATGCACTCCATCTTCTGTGATCTGATAATTACCCTACTCTGTGCTCATAAAGGTCATCAGTGACTCCTCGTTGCCAAATTCAATGATCTTTTCTCAGTTCTCATTTTCCTTGATCACTCTGCAAAATCTGAACTATTGTATACTGCAGCAGAAACTGCTGGTTGACCACAAAATATCCCATTCCCCCTTTCTTCCTTATCAACACAATTCCAATTTTATTCAAGATGGTAATCTGTCCAACTGAAGGACAACATTCCCCAACCTCTCTTGCAGTAGAGATGGTCTTATGAAATGTAAGCTGACATGCTTATATTCATTAGGTTAATGCCCACTGCTGTAACAAATTCTAAATTCTCACCAGCATAACACAATAGTATATTTTTGCTCACCTATGTTCAAAATGTGTATTCCTGGTCACCAGTAAACATTCCACGTGGTCATTCTGGGGTCCACGGTCCTTTCATATATTTCTTCATCATTTTCTAAGACCTCAGAGTCCTCCACATCCAGCTTGCAGATGGGGAAAGGGGATGAACAGCAGCATGTGGGAGAAAAGAACTCAGCTATATGGTGATACATTACTGCAAGGGAGGCAGAAAAATGTAGCTTATGGGACTGCTCAAGAACAGGAAATGGATTTTGTGAGAAACCAGCTGGTCTCTGCTAAATGGCTAAGTCGTTCAACTAACGGATTCTAGCCCGGCCAGATCTGCAGGCGTGATTGGAACAGACCACAGTCACTGCTTCCTGACTGGGTGTATCCTAGGGCAGAAAACCTCACTCGATCAGTCCCTAAAGCCAAAGATCAGTGTTTCCTCTTCACTCTCCACCATAACAAGTGTATTATTCTTAACATCTTCTCTTCTTCTTATTGCTGTGTTAACCCACAAGTTAATTTTCACTTTTCCTTAATAAGAACTGTTCCCAATCACAATCACTCATGAGCTTTTACAGCTATGAAAAGTGAAGTTTGAGAAGTAAATACCAAGATAAAGAAATAAATTAATAAGTTGTCCATAAATTTGTAATTTAAAATTCCCAAAGAGAAGGAAAATTACATAATTTGACTGATGCTGGTTATTGTCCACAATGTTTTTTACCAAGTACAAAAAAGTACAGATGATGCTGACAAAATGCAGAGATCACAGTTGTCTCACTGCCCACATCAACAACTCTCTTGTTAGTTTAAATCACTCTGTAGAATCTAAATCAAAGTTCTCCCCAGCATTTGCTTACCATGTTTACAGCCTTAGATGAAGTTTGGTGTCTACTCTTGATCCATTGGTTAGAAGTGTCATACCTGTAGATTATCCTTCATCCAGCTCAGATTTCTGTCTAGTAGGAAGACAGTTTATCTGTATTTAAATTCAAGCTGATCATAGAAACATTTGTACCAGGTAATTTTCTCCTCCTGTCTCTCCAGTTTTATTAACAGTAATGATAATCATTCTCAAAGTTGGAAGTGTCCAACTCTTCCAATTGTTTATTCTCAAAGCTTTCTTGCTTTTTTAAAAAAAGTGTGTTTTTTAAATAATTTATCTTTCAAAAAATTTGCACCAGTTGATGTCATAGAGAAAAACAATCAATTTCAAAAGTCAATTTCAATTGTTTACTTTATGTCTTCCTCCAGAGCCACATTCAGGTATATAAAATAATTTTGAGTCCCAGACTTGTATTTGCATACAATTTGTGTTTATTTAACCTGGGCTCTCTGCTTGGTGGTTGAACAGAAGAATACCTTTGCTTCTTAGATAAGATACCAAATTGTTTAAGACTCAAAAATAGTCTTTCAGGACATGGACAAATAGTAGAAGGTATTATCGTTATTCATTCATTCAGTAAACATTTATTGAGAATCTATTGTGTGTCTAGCAGTGTGTGCTGGGACACAGGGGCACAAAGTTGAATAAGGCATCGCCCCTGCCCTTGAGAGACTCACGCCCAACATGCAAACAAACACACAATGTCATACCGCAAATGTCCGGGGCATATGAGGGAATCCAAGGGACTGGGTAATGTAGGTTTGGAATGAGGGTGAGGAATTTCTGGGAAGAATCTGAAGAAGATTTCTGAGTGATCAGAGAGATGAAATAAAAATTGAAGACTATGCTGGGAAAAAGGTAAATCAAAAACAGTGATATTGTTTGAATATTTGTATGCACCAAACCTCATGTTGGAATTTAATCCCCAACGTTGGAGGTGGGGCCTGGTGGGAGGTGAATGGATCATGGGGGCGGATCCCTCATGAATGGTTTGGCACCATCTGCTTGGTATTGTCCTCAAGATAGTGAATAACTTCTCATGAGGTCTGGTTGTTTAAACATGTGTGATACCCTCCCCCCTCTCTCTCTTGCTCCCACTCTTACCCTGTGACATGCCTGCTCACCCTTCACCTTCCTCCATGAGTAAAAGCTCCTTGAGGACTCCCCAGAAGCCAAGCAGATGTCGGCACCATGCTTCCTGTATAGCCTGCAGAACTATGAGCCAATTGAAAAAATGCTCATCATCACTGGCCATCAGAGAAATGCAAATCAAAACCACAATGAGACACCATCTCACACCAGTTAGAATGGCAATCATTAAAAAGTCAGGAAACAACAGGCGCTGGAGAGGATGTGGAGAAATAGGAACACTTTTACACTGTTGGTGGGATTGTAAACTAGTTCAACCATTGTGGAAGTTGGTGTGGCGATTCCTCAGGGATATAGAACTAGAAATACCATTTGACCCAGCAATCCCATTACTGGGTATATACCCAAAGGATTATAAATCATGCTGCTATAAAGACACATGCACATGTATGTTTATAGTGGCACTATTCACAATAGCAAAGACTTGGAACCAACCCAAATGTCCAACAATGATAGACTGGATTAAGAAATTGTGGCACATATACACCATGGAATACTATGCAGCCATAAGAAATGATGAGTTCATGTCCTTTGTAGGGACATGGATGAAGCTGGAAACCATCATTCTCAGCAAACTATCACAAGGACAAAAAACCAAACACCGCATGTTCTCACTCATAGGTGGGAATTAAACAATGAGAACACATGGACACAAGAAGGGGAACATCACACACCGGGGCCTGTTGTGGGGTTGGGGGAGGGGGGAGGGATAGCATTAGGAGATATACCTAATGTCAAATGACGAGTTAATGGGTGCAGCACAATAACATGGCACATGTATACATATGTAACAAACCTGCACGTTGTGCACATGTACCCTAAAACTTAAAGTATAAAAAAAAAAAAACCTCTGTTACTTATAAATTACTCAGACTCAGGTGTTTTTTTTCTTTTTTAAAAGTGTTTAATGTTGTCTGTCACGGTGAAAGTTATTTCTTTATAGCAACATAAGAACAACCTAACACAAACAGTATGAGTAAAACACAAATTAGTATTGGAATGCTGTGGCCTGGTCAGTGGCTTCACTTCCCTGGCTCACCAAAAAGGTGTTCAGGGAGGGTCCTTTAAACCTGAGGTAGGTATAGTGGGCCTTAAGGGCCCACAGCCTCTGAGTCTCAGGTGAGATGCCCAGCAGCACTGCTATCAGTACTGGACACTGTAATGTGCCACCCAGATCCCATTCAGGACTGAAAGGCTTATTCCCCGCGCTGTGGCACAGTCCTCAGCCATCAGCCCCCTCCATGTATTGCCTTGGCTGAGAGAGCTGCAGCACCCAAGGCTCTATGCCCTTCCCCAGGGCAACCTGCCCCCAGTCACTGGCCCATTCAGGGATACAAAAGCCTAGTATCCTTACCTTCAAGTGAGACAACTTTGAGGGGCCTTGTCAGCTTCTGAGTTTCCAGTCAGGTTAGTTAAGGTCTGTCATTGGAACTATCACAACCCAATTTCTCTACTCAATCCTGTTTCTGTTCCTTCTTTTTCACAGGTGTCAATCTCAAAAGCACTTCCTAATAAATACGCTACATATCCTATCCTCATCTCCATCTCAGAGTCTGCTTTTCTCAGGCAACCAAACCAGCCATAGCTGCCAACAACTTCCCTTGGAAGCTTATGCAAGCTGCTAGAAAAGCTCAGTAATCAGTGAACCCTCACAACCTGTCATCAGGTTACAAATGGATTATACCACCATTTATTTACTCTCAGGTCATCACCCAAAGACGTTTTCAAAAAATTCATGCTGATCTTTTGAAAGCGTATTTTCTCAAATTCCTACACATACAGAGATCCTGATCCTGATTTACACATGGACAGAAGCCAAAGATCAAAATGGAAATTCTTGCTAGGCAAAAGGTTGGGGAAGCCTGAAAAGCAGGAATAAGAATCAAACAAACATGAAGATTTTATTAAACTACCTGCAAATAGCAAACAGATGCCAAAATATTTGGGCAGACCACCACAAGACATTGTGTGACCCCAAAAACACAGGGCACTGACACATGGTCTGTCCCTGGTGGTAGTTCTGCCTCTTGACTTCTGAGCAGATAGAGGAAGTGGCAGGATCTCTCCTTTCTCTCTCACTCTCTGGTCTTCTCTGCAATTCTCTTTCTCCAAGGCAGAGGCTTGGGGAATCCAAAAGACCTGGATGCCAATTCTAGACTCATCACATACCAGTTGTGTGAACTTAAACAAGTTATTAACCTCTCTGAGTCTCATTTTCCTTATCCAAGAAAAGAGAGATAAAGAAAACTTCTGCAGTGCAGTTGGCAGGAATAAAAACATTAATGAACATCACTTACGGAGCCACGCAGAGCATGCCACAGCACAGTGCTTAACATTCTCACCTGAGCTGCACACAGGAATTAACTGGGGAGCTTCAAAAAAGATACTGAAGCCTGGAGGGCAACCCCAAAGAGTCTGATATCATCAATTTGGGGTGCTGAAGCATCACAAAGGTTTAAAGCTCTCCAGGTGATTCCAAAGTGCAGCCAAGATTGCTAACTATTGTTCTATGCAGATTATTTCATTTAAGCCAGATACTACCCTAAGAGTTCAGTCCAATTATCCCCCTTCACCCTCCTTCCCTCCTTTCTACAGACAAGCGGATTGAGGTTTAGAAAGGTTAGAAGATTATGCAAGGGTACACAGCTAGCAAGGGGCAAAGCTGAGATTTAAGTTCACACAGTATGACTCCCAGGACCTAACACATCATGGCCACACTTCTATGCTACCACTCCAGGTCCTGAATGTGAACGAACATCTAGCATGGTCTCTAGCATGCAGAACATGCTCCAAATTTGAGAGCTAAGTTTGTTTATCATTTGTTAGCATCCCTCCTCTCCATTCCTTGCTCTTCACAAGCCCCAGCCCAAAATATCACTTGGAGTTCAGTAGAAGTGAGCAATGGATAAGATTTAGAAGCATAGTTAGAATGGATCCAGAAAAAAATAAATGTTCCTTTTTCCTTCTTTTCCCCTTCCTAGATCCCCACCATAAGCATACATTTCTTGTATTAGTCTGTTCTCATGCTGCTAATAAAGACATACCTGAGACTGGGTAATTTATAAAGGAAAGAGGTCCAACTGACTCACAGTTCCACATGGCTGGGGAGGCCTCACAATAATGGCAGAAGGTGGATGAGGAGCAGTCACGTCTTACATGGCAGCAGGCAAGAGAGAACTTGTGTAGGGGAACTCTCCTTTATAAAACCATCAGATGTTGTGAGACTTATTCACTATCACAGAACAGCATGGGAAAGACCTGCCCCCATGATTAATTACATTTCATCAGTTCCCTCCCATGACCACATGGGAATTATAGGAGCTACATTCAAGATGAGACTTGGGTGGGGACAGAACCAAACCATATCACTTGTTTTACATTTAAAGTCTTTTAAAATAATTATTACATATACAACATTGAAAATATCAGAAACCAAGGAGATATTTTTCTGCCATCCCTTCTCAAGTCTAAGTGAATGTTTTCATTTGCCTATGTCAGCTTCTGAGCCTTGTCCATGAGAATCTATGATTTTTATGTTTATATTGCCATAATATAATTATATATTTAAAATAGTCATCCACATGATGTCATATATTTTCAGAAGATTTGTCCTATAACCCAATTAAGCAGCCTGGTACAGCTCTGTAGATAATGGAGGTAATTTTACCACTAACTTAGCCTAAGATATTTTCATTAAAGGTTTCCCTTTTAAGGAAAAAATGTACTTAGCCTGGTTACTCTGAAAGCTGATATAAAAATGTATAAGCCTGTAGAGGTCACACGACATGATGTTTGCCTTTCCTTATCTGTTGTATGCCCCTCAGTGCCCACATGCTTCATCCCCTCACCCCCATGCTTGGCACAGAGTAGGAGCGCAAAAACTATTTGACGCATGAACAAATGATACTTTTCTTGGTTGTATGGTGAAATTACAAAATAGAATTTCTCGGGAACTGGGACAGAAGACTCCAAAGTTAGGCCTGAGAACAGGGTAGGGTGGACACCAGCAAAGCAATCAGGAAAGGCAACCGGAAACCCCATCGTAAAGGCCAGCTACAGTGGCTGAGAGGAAACGTGTGGTTTCCTGAATTGCACTTGTTCAAAACCTTCAACCTTAAAGCATGATGTATGTAAACCTTATCAAGGACCCACAGCTGGCCCAACAGTCACACTTTGGGGTTGTTTTCTTTAAAAGGTATTTGTAATCTTAGGGTTCCTAGGATAAATACGGAGTTGTAAGCCACTGTAGCATGAAAATAAAGCTGCAAAGAATTGAAGTAGGTATGCTTCAGAAGAACAACCCATGCAATATTTTTAGAGGAAGGATTCTTAAGCTAGTGTCCATTGGGTCTCCTCTGGGTACCATAGAAGGGCTTCAGGAAATGGTGAACAGCCTGAGATTGATGTAAAGTGTGTGTGTGTGTGTCTGCGTGTGTGTCTGTGTGTGTGTGCCTGTGTGTGTGTGTGTGTCTGTCTGTCTATGGAGGAGACCACAGCTTTCATCAAATTCTCATGTCTTTTGGTTATGGGGCCTGCTCTTCCTTTCACTTCATTAAGTCGAGTGGGGCTCTTCTAAACCCATTCTTATGTGCTAGGGGCTAGAGATGGGAATGAGAGAGAGTAGGTAGAAGACAAGGGAACTAACTCTATACAAGGCCTTCTATTGAGTCAATATAAGTGAAAGGCTTAGAGAGTGTCCAACCTGCATCAGGACCAATAAATATTAGCTCTTATTATTATTATTACACTATGCCAAAGCACTTCAAGTTTTCTCAACCTCACAACAACCCCACAAGTTCAGCATAAGTCTCATATTCCATTAGGTTGAACAACTAACCCAGGGTCACACAGCCAGTGGTGGAGTTCAGAACTATCTAATTCCAAGCTTAGATTCTTCTTTTCCACCCTGTGGCCTGAATTACTGGCCAGACTTTCAGTCTGGAGGCAGCCTCTCTGTCTACCCTTCAGGCTTTCACATCTAAATCCCAAGGGTCTTGCTCTTTCCCTGAGTCTGTCCATCAGAACTGGCATGAGGCCTAAAAATGAGCCGTTTCAAGCCCAGGCATCATCTACTCACTTACATAACAAAACCTTAGTCATCCCACTGAGATTCCACACTCAAAGCCAATTTCTCTCACAGGGCATCGAATGCTAGTTAAAGATATAAAATCACGCTTATCACAATTAACTCCCTTGCCTTTATGATGCAGCCAAGTCAAAGCCCAAACAGGAATAAATTTTTTCTAGTAGCCACAAATCAGAGGAGTGAGAAAGCTCTATGCCAAATCTACCATTTTCTGATTTCAAAATCCATGCTAAAAACTGCAGTTAAACATCAGCTACCAAAACACCCTTCTATCAAATAAGAATCATGGTGATTGCATGAATTGAGCACTTTCTATGTACTTGCTCTTTACGTGTTATTTCTATGCCTCAGAAGAGCCAAGCAGGCCAGATAGATGTTACTGCTTGAGAGGCTAAGCAAGTCCCATAAGGTCACACACACAGTGAGGAGCAGAACCTGGACTCAAACCCAGGCCTATCTGATGACAGCAACAGTGCTGCTAACCATGCCCTTCCCCCCAGCTCTCTACAGTCAATGTGATTCATGGCACCCAGGACCAACACCGGCTCTTGGCTTTCCCACAAACCACTTCCCTGAAATCTGGACAACTTCTTGGGAGGAGGAGTCATGGGAACAGGACAGATGAACTCCAAAATAGAAGATCGGGTGAGAGGTCCGGCTCTGCTACTTCTGTAGCTCTGTCACCACGGGCAGATCACTTAACTTTCCAAGGCCTCAGTTTCCTCGCCTATGCAATGGAGATGACCGTGAATGCCCCAAATTGCGCTGATCTAGTAGAGAAGAGGAGCTAAGGCTCAGGGGCTTTCCAGACGTGAGTTATCTTTACCTTTCCTTGACTAGCTAATTCAAGACAACTAGGTAGAAGCCCTTTCTCAGCCTCCCCTCTTCGCTCATCTTTCGAGTTCTTGGCCACCCCAGTTCAAACACCAGCACCATTGCCCTCCTCTCAGGTGGCTGCTGCTTAATTTCCCCTCCACTTTAGTAGTTCTTCTCTTGCCTCGCTAGAAGGACTGGTGTTGGGTGCTTGGAATTCTGGCTATTTTCCTCCTGCCGTTCCGACTCGGCACCAGAGTCTGTCTCTACTGAGAACGCAGCGCGTCAGGGCCGAGCTCTTCACTGGCCTGCTCCGCGCTCTTCAATGCCAGCGCCAGGCGCTCACCCTGCAGAGCGTCCCGCCTCTCAAAGAGGGGTGTGACCCGCGAGTTTAGATAGGAGGTTCCTGCCGTGGGGAACACCCCGCCGCCCTCGGAGCTTTTTCTGTGGCGCAGCTTCTCCGCCCGAGCCGCGCGCGGAGCTGCCGGGGGCTCCTTAGCACCCGGGCGCCGGGGCCCTCGCCCTTCCGCAGCCTTCACTCCAGCCCTCTGCTCCCGCACGCCATGAAGTCGCCGTTCTACCGCTGCCAGAACACCACCTCTGTGGAAAAAGGCAACTCGGCGGTGATGGGCGGGGTGCTCTTCAGCACCGGCCTCCTGGGCAACCTGCTGGCCCTGGGGCTGCTGGCGCGCTCGGGGCTGGGGTGGTGCTCGCGGCGTCCACTGCGCCCGCTGCCCTCGGTCTTCTACATGCTGGTGTGTGGCCTGACGGTCACCGACTTGCTGGGCAAGTGCCTCCTAAGCCCGGTGGTGCTGGCTGCCTACGCTCAGAACCGGAGTCTGCGGGTGCTTGCGCCCGCATTGGACAACTCGTTGTGCCAAGCCTTCGCCTTCTTCATGTCCTTCTTTGGGCTCTCCTCGACACTGCAACTCCTGGCCATGGCACTGGAGTGCTGGCTCTCCCTAGGGCACCCTTTCTTCTACCGACGGCACATCACCCTGCGCCTGGGCGCACTGGTGGCCCCGGTGGTGAGCGCCTTCTCCCTGGCTTTCTGCGCGCTACCTTTCATGGGCTTCGGGAAGTTCGTGCAGTACTGCCCCGGCACCTGGTGCTTTATCCAGATGGTCCACGAGGAGGGCTCGCTGTCGGTGCTGGGGTACTCTGTGCTCTACTCCAGCCTCATGGCGCTGCTGGTCCTCGCCACCGTGCTGTGCAACCTCGGCGCCATGCGCAACCTCTATGCGATGCACCGGCGGCTGCAGCGGCACCCGCGCTCCTGCACCAGGGACTGTGCCGAGCCGCGCGCGGACGGGAGGGAAGCGTCCCCTCAGCCCCTGGAGGAGCTGGATCACCTCCTGCTGCTGGCGCTGATGACCGTGCTCTTCACTATGTGTTCTCTGCCCGTAATTGTGAGTCCCCGGGCCCCGAGGCAGCAGGGCACTGAGACTGTCCGGCCGCGGATGCGGGGCGGGAAGGGTGGAGCGGATCGGGATGGACGCGGCGCCAGGCGAGCTGCGCCCTGGGCCAGGAAGGTTTGCTGCTGAGTTCCCCAAATTGGATTCCTTCCACAGCCCCGAGATATAACTCAGTTTGCGGAGCGAAATGAGGGAAAGTTAGAGAAAGGAAGGGAAAGGCTGAGCCCGGCGGTGTCTCCCTAGCCCAGCAAAACCCTCTCCATGTGGCAGAACTCCCTCCTCTCTGCTTCCTTCTGGGGAGATCTCGAGGTCATTTTTGCGCCTTAGGAGGAGCAGAACTTAGTTTCTCCTTGGCAACAGGAGTCTTCTACTTCCCGACGGCTGGGTGATGTTTTATTTTGTTAGACCTGCTCATGACTTCAGTGGTATCAGAAATGGGCGAATGGCGTCTGGGACGATCTTCTCCCCGGTGTTGGCATAGAAAGGGAAAAAGAGGTTTAAGCCAGCCAGAGTGATTTGCAGATGCATAGTTTTAATTTTGAAAAACGCGTGCGTAAACTTTGAGACGCCACGGCTGCTGTTTCTGGTGCTGCATCCGCCAGGGATTGTGGCGATGGAGGCCGAGGCTCTTTGTATGTTTTAGCTGCTGGTGTCGTTTTGACAACCTGACTTGACGGGTTTTGAGTGTATCTTGGCAAGTGAGGTGACATGAAAGCCATTATCTCCGGTTTCAATTTGGTAATGAGGATAGCGATGGAAATGAAATTATCTCCTCATTTTGAAGGCATTTGTTCCTGGAGTCCCCGCCAAGACACCTGGGAGTAGGTGAGGCTTGAGGAAACATTTTCAGTGCTGCTCCTCTCCTTTCTCCCAAGGTACCTGTTCAACAAAAACAATACTTACAGAAATTCCATTGCCAATCCCACGTTCTCGAAATCCTGAGACTTCTGTGAATAGGAAAGTTGTTAAATTTCTTCTCAGAATGTAGCCATTTTGGATATTACTTTCAATGGTGAATGAAAGGGAAATACAAAGCGATTTTCCTTTAAATGAAGGCCTTACTGCTTGCGGAAAAAGAAGTCTGGGGCATCAGCATGCAGGGGTGGGAACAGTATGCCCCCAAAATAAATAAACAAATACATAAATCTATATCTATCTAAATGTAGATATAGGCGCAGATGACATATAGCAGTGGTCTTCAGAATCACCAGCTCAGAATCACCAGCAAGGCTTCTAGAAAAAAAGATGGCTGGACCCCATTCCCCAGAGTTTCTAATTCAGACATTTTTAAAGAATTTTCATTCTTAACAAGTTCCCAGGTGATATGCAAGCTCAGATTCAGGGTTCACATTTGTAGAATCACACTCTAAAACAGGAGTTAGCAAACCACAGCTCACAGGCCAAATCTTTCCTGGCCACTGTTTTACATCTCCCTGGAGTTAAGAATAATTCTTACAAATGAATCTCTGCAATCAATTTGATGAGACCCAAGAGTTTTGAGCTTCAATTGAGCCAAATACTATTTCAAGAAAAATACTGTTCCAAGAAAACGTTTTATTCTTCTCCTTAGTAGATACATATTACAAAAAAATTGTACTCAGCCGGGAGCGGTGACTCACGCCTGTAATCACAGCACTTTGGGAGGCCGAGGCGGGCAGATCATGAGGTCAAGAGATCGAGACCATCCTGGCCAACATGGTGAAACCCCGTCTCTAAAAATACAAAAATTACCTGGGCGTGGTGGCATGCACTTGTAGTCCCAGCTTCTCAGGAGGCTGAGGCAGGAGAATCGCTTGAACCTGGGAGGCAGAGGTTGCAGTGAGCCAAGACTGTGTCACTGCACTCCAGCCTGGGCGACAGAGCAAGACTCCATCTAAAAAAAAAATTGTACTCAATTATTAATACATTTTGAATTCCATCAAAAAATTGTGGAAATGTGTTTTCTCCCATGTTATATTAGTACCTATCAAATATTTATGATTTTGTCTCTTGGCCATAAAACCTAAAATAGTTACTATCTGGTCCTTTATACAATCTTTAGGAGCTCCTATTGTAAAGTTGGGGCCTCACTTATCTATGCTGTGACAAAGTAGACAGTAGCCAAATGCATGGAAATTTTGACCTGAGTTTGAATGTTTTAGTCAGACCAATGCAGAAAGCAGCATCATACAGTGGAAAGAACATTGCATTTGGACATGTCTCTACGGAGACTTGGATAACTCCTAGGGTATTGTGAGGATTGAAGAAAATCAATGGAGTTGAAAAAGATTTTCCAAAAAAACTAGCAAGTTCCAAATATATTTAATGTTGACAGCATTCTTCACAAGAACCACTATTTTCTAGAGAGGATAAGGGCTTTAGCATCAGACATGGTTTTGAATCAGGCTTCATCACTTACTAGCTATGGTAGCAGCTAATTTACCCTTTCTGACCTCAGTTTCCTCATCTGTAAAATGATTATAACCATACTTGTTTTGTAAGATAGTAATGAAGATTTGAAATTACATACATAATATATACATTCATCACCTAGCCCAGTGTCTTGCCTCAATATATTAGCATCATTATTATTACTATTTATAACTTCCATGTATTATTGTTGCCTGCTGGACATAAAAAAAAATCAAGAACGATTATCGTCCCAGGAGATAGTGCTATATACTAAGGCAGTGGCTCTGAAACTTTTTTTTGGTCTAAGGACCCCTTTATACTCTTAAAATTATTAATGACCCAGATGGCTTTTATGTGGATTAAATCATCAGTATTTCTCATATTAGAAAATAAAACTAAGAAATTCTAAACATATGATTGCAAAACAAGATAAAATGTACCTCTTGTGTTTTCCATATGTACAAGGAAAATGTGGGGATTTCACAATGATTTGATGACAATAAGGTTACAGAGATTATAGCAAGTAAAGTGGAAAAATCCTGTTAAGAGCACAAAAGTACTGAAAACAGTCTCTGAAAATTCACGTGTGTACCCTCAACCTGCCACCTTAAAAGGTCTAGAAAACACAAGGATAAACAACCACATATTCTATTCTTTGTGAAAGTGATGTCATCATTTGTTATCTAGCCTCCATAAAATTCACTGTACACTTGTGAGAGAATGAAGGGGAAAAAGGCAAATCACATGTTTGTAATGACAGTAGTTTTGACCTACTGGACACATTGAATAGGTATTGGAGATTTTACACTCTTCTAAGTAATGGACCTAGCAATTGTATCTTTATCTGAAGGGGGAGACATGGGTGACAATAAGCTATATGGTTAAGTTGACTTAAAAAGAAAACATTTTACATGAGTTTTTTTTCTATTTGCCCCTTTCTCCTCAAAGTGGAGTGTGGCAAAATATAGTTCCAACTATTTGAGAATGCTTGATTAGTTGGGATCTAGACAACTGAATGATACTAGCATAATTAAAACAAATTATTTTATTTTCTAGGCAGCATTTATCCATGTCAAATCCATTAGGTTGACATTCAAGTCACTGGATTTGTATTAGAAATGTATTGTTCATTGGGGCTGGTGGCTCACACTTGTAATCGTAGCATTTTGGGAGGCCAAATCAGGAGGACTGTTTGAGCCCAGGTGTTTGAGACCAGCCTGGGCAACACAGTGAGACCCTGCCTCTACAAAAAAAATAAAAATAACTAGCCAGGCGTGGTGACACATGCCTGTAGTCCCAGCTACTTGGCTGAGGTGGGAGGATTGCTTGGGCCCAGAAGGTCAAGGCTGCATTGAGCCTTGATTGTGCCACTGCACCCCAGCCTGGGTGACAGAGTGAGACTCTGTCTTAAAAAAAAAAAAAAAATACATGGGCATTTTTAAAAGTGCTCAATATCCAGAAAGAATTGGTGTGAGAAGAACGCCCTCTGATGGAGTTGGGAGTCATTGAAATAATGTTGTTGCCACCTCCTGGACATCCCTGCCAGGCAGCCCTCTCTGGCTTCTGATGCCCTCTTCTATCCAGTCCACGCACTGTAACACAACAGACCTTGCCCTCTGCTCTATCCCTTTAAATCTACCTCAGACCCTTTCCCTGGGCCCATCACTTGCCTGTTGTCCCTTACGGGCCTCCAACAGCCTCCTTTGAAAGGAGCATCGCACCTATTCTTTCTGCTCCTCAAAATGGCATACACAGGAGAGCTCTCTCATCTCTGATTTCATGGATTCTGACAAGTGATTAAATAGCTTGTACTTATCTTTACCTGGCTTACAGACCCTCTCTCTCGTAACGCCTAGTATATACACGCACACCCTCTCTCATCCATCCCTGCTCCCCCACCAACCTCCAGGACATTGTGGTTTTCTAAGGTAAAAATGATTTGGGTGAAAATATGTTTTTTTGTTTGTTTTTTGAGACAGTGTTTCACTCTTGTCACCCAGGCTGGAGTACAATGGCACAATCTAGGCGCACTACAACCTCGGCCTCCCAGGTTCAAGCAATTCTCCTGCCTCAGCCTCCCGAGTAGCTGGGATTACAGGCGCCCACCACCATGCCCGGCTGATTTTTGTATTTTTAGTAGAGACGGTGTTTCACCATGTTGGCCAGGCTGGTCTCGAACTCCTGACCTCAAATGATCCACCCACCTCAGCCTCCCAGAGTGCTGGGATTACAGGCGTGAGCCACCGTGCCCGGCCTGAAAATATGTTATATGCCTTAGAGAATGCCTCTGAAGCTCATGCCATATTCTCTACACTTGCACTTTCTTCCGATTGTATCAAACTGGAAATTTGAAAATTCAATCTAGTTAAGTGTTCAGCATTAAAGTGAATTTTAAAAATCATACTCCAACAAACTTTTCATCAAGATTAATCAAATACAATATTTATGTTATGGAGAAGTTGTTAAGATTCCCTCCGCCCCCGCCCGACTTCAGATGGGCGAGGGCATCCAGATTAAACAGCTGAGTCCAGTGTAAGGTGTCTTCCTAAATGCACTAGATTGGAGTGGCTGAGCCTGCTGAAATGCTCTACAGAGAAGAAAGTAGAACAGTAAGGAAATGATTATGGGAAAAATGCATCTTCTCCAGGAGATGCTCTCTGATTGCCTCGAATGGGTCCAGTCTCTTATCCATATCCCTTCTTACTAATGTTGAGTTTGCACGCTTCCTGTTCCATTAGAGTCCATTTATCCTAAAATGTATTTAGAATTGTAGGCATAGAGAATGTAATGGAAAAAAGAAAAAAGTGGCCAGCCTTAGGCAGAGTGGAAAGCAATGGTTGTGCTGATCTAGAGATCAGTGTTGGCTGAATGGGAGGAAAAGCTGTTGTTTGAGGCACTTTGCAGGGCTCCAAGGAGGCTACAGAGACCTCAGGGAAGATCAAGACAAGAGGAGTTGGTTGGACCTAGGTAAGGCAGCCTTATATTTTTGTGCATGTTTTTGCCTTCTAGATTGAACAAGAAAAAAAAAAAGGATGTCAACCATGAAAAAGTAACAATTTGTGCTAAAAATAAGTATAGCAATTTACATGAGTTGAACAGTATTTTTTTCCAAGTCATCTCAGGTCTTTTCATTGTCATATTTCCAATCTCTTCACATTGATTAAAAGCTTCCATTCTATTGGTGTCTCCATACATATGACATTTCACAGGTGTGACTTATTTCTGAGAGAACTAATAGGAGAAGATAGGAAGCAGGGAGAAGAAAGAAAGGAGAACTGAAGAAAGTAAGTGCAAGGACACTAGCTAGAAAGAGATTCTGTATTTATGAAAGCATGCTGACCCTGTTTCTAAAAGATTCAGCAGATCTTCATGGCCTGGCAGGGACCTAGAAACTTGAGCCCAGCAGGTAGAATAGCCTTCAGGGACTTAATCAGACTGGGTCTCCGACAAGTACTCAGCTTCCTTCCCACCTCCCAGGTCTGGCCACACCCCACCTTCCCAGCTCCCCACTTGCACCCATCAGCTGCTGTGGCCTTAGCTACTTGTAAATGTACCAAAAATGGGTGTTCCAAGCTAAGCTGTCATGTTCTTACAGTAACTTAGGTGAAGTAAGTGAATCCATTGCTGCCATTAACCTTTCCACATCATAATGGAATGTTTTTCTTCAAAACAGTATCGCGCTTACTATGGAGCATTTAAGGATGTCAAGGAGAAAAACAGGACCTCTGAAGAAGCAGAAGACCTCCGAGCCTTGCGATTTCTATCTGTGATTTCAATTGTGGACCCTTGGATTTTTATCATTTTCAGATCTCCAGTATTTCGGATATTTTTTCACAAGATTTTCATTAGACCTCTTAGGTACAGGAGCCGGTGCAGCAATTCCACTAACATGGAATCCAGTCTGTGACAGTGTTTTTCACTCTGTGGTAAGCTGAGGAATATGTCACATTTTCAGTCAAAGAACCATGATTAAAAAAAAAAAGACAACTTACAATTTAAATCCTTAAAAGTTACCTCCCATAACAAAAGCATGTATATGTATTTTCAAAAGTATTTGATATCTTAACAATGTGTTACCATTCTATAGTCATGAACCCCTTCAGTGCATTTTCATTTTTTTATTAACAGCAACTAAAATTTTATATATTGTAACCAGTGTTAAAAGTCTTAAAAAACAATGGTATTAATTGTCCCTACATTTGTGCTTGGTGGCCCTATTTTTTTTTTTTAGAGAGGCCTTGAGACATACAGGTCTTTTAAAATACAGTAGAAACACCACTGTTTACGATTATACGATGGACATTCATAAAAAGCATAATTTCTTACCCTATTCATTTTTTGGTGAAACCTGATTCATTGATTTTATATCATTGCCGATGTTTAGTTCATTTCTTTGCCAATTGATCTAAGCATAGCCTGAATTATGATGTTCCTCAGAGAAGTGAGGTGGGAAATATGACCAGGTCAGGCAGTTGGAGGGGCTTCCCCAGCCACCATCGGGGAGTACTTGCTGCCTCAGGTGGAGACCTGAAGCTGTAACTAGATGCAGAGCAAGATATGACTATAGCCCACAACCCAAAGAAGCAAAAATTCGTTTTTATCTTTTGAAATCCAGTTTCTTTTGTATTGAGTCAAGGGTGTCAGTAGGAATCAAAAGTTGGGGGTGGGTTGCAAAATGTTCTTTCAGTTTTTAGAACCTCCATTTTATAAAAGAATTATCCTATCAATGGATTCTTTAGTGGAAGGATTTATGCTTCTTTGAAAACCAGTGTGTGACTCACTGTAGAGCCATGTTTACTGTTTGACTGTGTGGCACAGGGGGGCATTTGGCACAGCAAAAAGCCCACCCAGGACTTAGCCTCAGTTGACGATAGTAACAATGGCCTTAACATCTACCTTAACAGCTACCTATTACAGCCGTATTCTGCTGTCCGTGGAGACGGTAAGATCTTAGGTTCCAAGATTTTACTTCAAATTACACCTTCAAAACTGGAGCAGCATATAGCCGAAAAGGAGCACAACTGAGCACTTTAATAGTAATTTAAAAGTTTTCAAGGGTCAGCAATATGATGACTGAAAGGGAAAAGTGGAGGAAACGCAGCTGCAACTGAAGCGGAGACTCTAAACCCAGCTTGCAGGTAAGAGCTTTCACCTTTGGTAAAAGAACAGCTGGGGAGGTTCAAGGGGTTTCAGCATCTCTGGAGTTCCTTTGTATCTGACAATCTCAGGACTCCAAGGTGCAAAGCCTGCTGCATTTGCGTGATCTCAAGACCTCCAGCCAGAAGTCCCTTCCAAATATAAGAGTACTCATGTTTATTTATTTCCAACTGAGCAGCAACCTCCTTTGTTTCACTTATGTTTTTTCCAGTATCTGAGATAATATAAAGCTGGGTAATTTTTTATGTAATTTTTTGGTATAGCAAAACTGTGAAAAAGCCAAATTAGGCATACAAGGAGTATGATTTAACAGTATGACATGATGAAAAAAATACAGTTGTTTTTGAAATTTAACTTTTGTTTGTACCTTCAATGTGTAAGTACATGCATGTTTTATTGTCAGAGGAAGAACATGTTTTTTGTATTCTTTTTTTGGAGAGGTGTGTTAGGATAATTGTCCAGTTAATTTGAAAAGGCCCCAGATGAATCAATAAATATAATTTTATAGTATTTTGCAGAGGAAATTACTTTTCTTTAAATGAAAGAAAAGGGCTTGGCTTTCTTTTTAGTAGACAGTTGCCAGCAATATTTCATTGTCTGGCAGTTTCCTAGTGTGGATTTTTATATACTGTCCGATTAACACTTACATTACTTTAAACAAGCTTTCATTACTTTACTTACATTTCATTACTTTACATTACTTTAAACAAGCTTAGGTAAGTCCTTAGACTCACCTAAGGACCTAGTGCTCCTTTTTGTTTCATACAAAATGTAGATATACCATCTGGATGAAGTCTGTGTTGAGTTAAAACCAACTCTTCGGTAATCTGTATAGATTTATTCATTAATTCATTAAATAATTTACAGAGACCTTGTGCCAAGCAGTTGATTAGGGGCTGAGGAAAGGAATAAAAATAAGACTCAATCATGGTTCATGAGTTGCTCGTTGTCCACTGGGGTAGAGAGGAATGTCAACAGTTAGGATACAGCATAGAAATTCTCCATAGTATTGCGAGTACGCATTTACTATTAGAAGAGGAGGCCCAAACTAGGGACCACGTGTAGGGTTGTCAGGAGAACTTCACAGGAAGAAGATGCATTGAAAGTCAAGTATTGAAAACGAGTAGGAATTTTGACTCTGAAAACTGAAAAGAACACAGAGAAAGTTTACATAAGAGAAAATACATATGGTTAATAAATGTAGAAAAATATTCAGCCTAATCAAGGAAATGCAAAAATAAAACCAAATTGTATATCAACAACAAGCAACAACAACAACAAAAAACCTATGACTCTCAATAACAGAGGTTATTCAGAGAAGAACATTCATGTTCCCCTGGCGAGTTCGTAAATGTGTATACCCTTTCTTGATAGCAACCCAACAGTGTATCAAGAACCTAAAGCGTTCTTTGCTGTTGTTCCAGTAATTCCACTCTAGCATTCTCTTGCAGAGAATAATCAGTAGTCCTGGACAAGCAGCAGTAGCAACACCTGAAACTTACTACAAATGCAAATTCTCCAGCTCCACGTCAGACCTGTTGAATCAGAATCTCTTGGGTGGGGCCAGCAATCTGGGCTTTAACATGCCCTCCAGGTGATTCTCATGCATGCTAATATTTGAGAACCACTGCTCTACACAAAACAAAAAAAGAAAAGAAAAGAAAAATACCAAAAAAAGACAAGTAAATATGTGATAGACTATGTTTCTCTGACCTCTGATTCTCAGATCCTTTCAGTTGCAGATAATCCCTCACACCTGAACTTCCACAGTGTTTTTATCTGTAATGTTCTCAGCAAAGTTACAGCTTTGTAAACTAGTTCAACCATTGTGGAAGTCAGTGTGGCAATTCCTCAGGGATCTAGAACTAGAAATACCATTTCACCCAGCCATCCCATTACCGGGTATATACCCAAAGGATTATAAATCATGCTGCTATAAAAACACATGCACACGTATGTTTATAGTGGCACTATTCACAAGAGCAAATACTTGGAACCAACCTAAATGTCCAACAATGATAGACTGGATTAAGAAAATGTGGCACATATACACCATGGAATACTATGCAGCCATAAAGAATGATGAGTTCATGTCCTTTGTAGGGACATGGATGAAACTGGAAACCATCATTCTCAGCAAACTATCGCAAAGACAAAAATCCAAACACCACATGTTCTCACTCATAGGTGGGAATTGAACAATGAGAACACATGGACACAGGAAGGGGAACATCACACACCGGGGACTGTTGTGGGGTGGGGGGAGCTGGGAGAGATAGCATTAGGAGATATACCTAATGTAAATGACGAGTTAATGGGTGCAGCACACCAACATGGCACAGGTATACATATGTAACAAACCTGCACGTTGTGCACAGGTACCCTAAAACTTAAAGTATAATAATAATAAAGTTTTAAAAAAAAGAAAAAAAATAATATATCTTTCAATACTGGCAGCCATTACTGATTCCCAAGTTCATCACTGATAGCAGTGATGAGACCTGTCTTGCTCACTTGGAGGTAAAGATACTACCCTCGGCAATGATATTTCTTTGGACTGCTGCAGACATTTAATTGGGCACTAAGCCTGATGCTGTTGTGAAGGAAGATAAACTAAAGAGCCTTTGTTTATGAAAATATTGTCAAAGATTATATTTAAAGTGAGCTTTCATTAGGGATTGAATATTTTCTAACTCTCTATAGGATAGAAATTTCCATTGAAATACGTAAAGCTATTTTTAAACTTTCATAATTTGACTTTTTTGTATATTTTCAGGAAAATATTATACATTGAATCTTTCTTTCCAGGCATTAAAATCCTTGAGGACTAGATAGTCACCTATTTTTTTCTCATTTCTCCTAGTAATTCACATATATACTGTAGAAGAGCTATAAATATACTATAAATATATTGAATAAAACGCGTTCTCTCTCATGATAGTCCTAAAATGTACGTCTATTCAATAAGAGGCTGCTGTATGCTTGGTTAAAGATTCCTCTGTATCTGATGAAGAATGTTCTCATATCACCATATAAGGATTTTTCTCTTAGGCCAACCAAAGGTGAAAATAGTACACGTAGGAGAAAATATTTTTGCTCTATATTATTTCCCACTGTTATCGACATTATGTAAGTTAACATGTATGTTTCAATTTTTATCCAGGAAATAGCAACTCGTACATGATGAAATTAACAACATAAAAAGTTTGTTAATTAGGCAATGTTAACATTGTAAAAACAACTTTGTCTTATTAGAACAGTGTTGACTGGCCTGCTCTTTAATTATTTTCTTCAGTGAGGCTAGGATTGCTGGTCTGGGTGTTCCCAGACTCTAGGTGGAGGAAAGCTGAGCACATAGGATGGGTGGTACTATAATTAGGCTTCCTCTCTCTACCGTTTCACAATAGCCAAATTCAGTGGAATGAATCAGCAGATCTCGCCTGATAACAGTGAGGTGAACATTCTAGTCTTCCAGATATTTTTATACAAACTGCACGAACTCAGGAGTAAGTCCAATCATAACAAACCTGCATGTTGTGCACATGTACCCTAAAACTTAAAGTATAATAATAATAAAATTAAAAAAAAAATTGCAATGAATGTGTTTAGAACCGATCATGCTCTGGTTAAAAATACAGGGAGAAGATATAAGCTTTTTTTTTTTCCTACTAAAATGCCTCAACCGGGGAAGGCAATAAAAATACAGTCAAGTCAAAGCTCAAATGAAAGTATATTTTAGGCAAAGCATAGGGTCCTATGATGATCTTAAACTGAGTAAGCACTTGGAATCTAATTGGAAACACAGGACAAACTAGAAGGTAAAAATCATACAGTGTAGTGCAAATGTTACAAAGTACTAAAGTATGAGTTATAGATTTTAAAACAATAAAGCCCCAAATCAGCGATAATTGATGTTTAAGATTAGTCTAGCGGTGCGTTGTATAAACACCTGGGCAAACAAAGTTGGTAGCTTGCCAGCATCAATTTCTTATCACTACAAAATAGAATATGGAAACAATAACTGTCATGACACACAATTCATAATGAATTTAGAAAATACTTTTTATTCCCCCCAAATTAAAAAACACCCAGAGTTCCCAATTAGATGAAAAAGATAAAGTACAATGATTTACTGATTATGATTGTGTGAAAGTAAAATAAATCTTGGGACCCCAAACTCACTAAACCAAACAGAAACGTCAAGCTGGGAACTGGGTCACGCCAACCTGCATCTCATTTTGGTTCCTAAATAAGATGGCTAAAATACGAAAAGCTACATACCTCCTTCACATTTTGTCCACACGGAAATTCCTTGGGGGCCCCAAGACCTTTTTCCTAAAGTGTTTCTGTTAGAGTGCATCATGGCAATGTGAATGGATAGCTTTTCTCCACAGGTGTGGGGACATAGGAGAGAACTCAGTCATCCCTCTGTCCACCTGAGACAAATGCATATCTGATTGTTTCCTCTGCTCTATCGTCTGCATTATCTACATATGTAAAAATGCAGATTCACTGAGCCAGACAAAGGCATGAATGACTGTTTTCCCCTACCCTCTTCTCACATGAAAATTATGTATTTCTCAATATCCTTCCCTTTCCCCTTTAGATATTGAAACCCTCAAAATCATCTATGGGGAAAGGAATAGACCTATCTCCCAGGTGTGTATCCTTAACTTTGGCAAATAAACCTCAAAAAATGATTGAGATTTTCCTGGGTCATTTTCCTTGATTGACCACGGAGGGATCCTGAGTGAAGGTGGCCCTGGCCTGCAGCAGCTCTCCTATTGGTACCAGATTGGGCTCTTTATAGCCCAAACCAATAAGACAATTTGTTGAGGTCTGGGACCTCCTCCCTGCAGGAAGTTGGGGCTCTGAGGTTTAATTTGATGTTTAAAAAAAAAAAAAAAACACCTCTTTTTTTTTTTCTGGGAGTTTTTGCTTGCTTCCATCAGGGAAGGCAAGCTTGTCTGCTTCTTCATCAGTGGAGAACAGTCTTCAGCTTGAGTCTCATCACTAGGTAAGGAGGTGAGTTGGGAATCTGTCTTGCAAATTCTCTTTAATAACTAAAGGTACTGTTAACAACCAGCTGGTCTTAATTTCTCCTTACATTTAGAGCACTCAAATTGTATAATTTGTGTGATTGCTGTTCGTTTTGCTTAGATGTCTTATTTACTTGTTTCTGTCTTGTTAGGTGTTTTTTTGTATGCTTCAGTCCTTCTCTTATTGGATTTGGCCAACTCTAAACCCTCTAGCTTATAGTATGGAATTTTCCTCTCCAAAGAAATAAGAGCTCGCCCTTCTCAGCCTTTCTTAGGCAACTGAGAATTACATGAGGGTGTCTGGAAGAAACACTCCCTAAGATGTGCAACGGCTCTGAGTAGGATTTCCCCTCAGAAGAACGTACTTAGGGTGTAATCTCAGCTAGCAGGTGCAAATAAGGAGCTGATCTCCCATGCCTTGAGCCCCTGACACACTGTGCCAGGTAGCCACGATACCAGTTCAGCGAGTAACGGCCCTGAAAAGCTAGGTCCCCAAGCAGCACACTTTGGATCCAACAAACCCTCCGACTTGGTCAAATCTGAAGGAAAACTCTAAATTATGTGGAAGGAGCCCTTTAAGTTGGCTGAAACCCCCACAGCTGTGGAACACAAAGTTCCACCCTTAGAAACTCTGGCCAGGTATATGCAAAAACACTTATGGTGAATTGTCATGCAAATATTTAATCAAGTGGACCACTATAATCAAGGCAGATTCTAACCTACAGAGGCCTAGATGGGGATCTTCTGAGATGCCCAAATTAGTGTACCTGTGAACTAGGATGCAAAACGCAGGCACAAAACTAAACAACCAGAATGGGAGAGCTACTTTCAATGGTACCTAGAGAGTAGCAAATGGGGGGAAGATCACCTCATGTCCTTACAATAAGCCAACAAACAACTTAGAAATGCTAACCAAGGACTCTCTAAAGTTCTATCTCTCTTAAAGAAATCCCCAGAATCCCTTACTTCCCTGTGGCACCTCCCCACCTCCACTTACACCCCCACTTTACCCCTGACCTCTCTGAACTTCCCGGACCAGATCTGTTCCCTCCTTCTCCTGCATGTTCTAATTTAACATCTTCCTCTCCTTGTACACCACTCACTCAACAGAAGGCAGTAGGGAGTCTAACTTCCAAGACCCTACCTCCTGACAATTCCCTGACAGTGCCAGTGGCAGCCTCTCATCTGGAAGATGTGGAAAAGGGGGACCCTGCAGGGCCATCTCTCATGATCACCCTGTTTTGGGAACAACCGGTAACACATAGGGGAACCCCGGTGATTGTCTACCAACGCTGGTCAAAGGCTGAGTTGCAGGGCATAAAGAATTTCTGGGCCCCCATAAGATCCAATTGAGTTTGCCCAAGAATTTGAATTCATTATCAGAACCTATGACCCAGGCCATTCAGACCTCTAACAGCTGGCACACATGTTGGTCTCGGAAGCTAAAGCTAAGGAATAGCTGGACAAAGTACAGTGGTCAGACCCTGTAGCAGACTTAACCCTTGAAGGCCCAATAGAGCTACAATAACCAGCCCCCAGAAGTCGAGAACACAGACACAAAGATGTGTGGGAATGAGCAACTGCTCTGTTAAATACCATTTCTTCAATATTCCAAAGGGTTGTGGATTGGGATAAAATCCAGCAATGCCACCAGAACCGAAATGAATCAATTTTAGATTATTTTATACATTTTGACTGAGATAATATGCTCCAAATAATTAACTTACACTCTCTCGCCTGGTCCTTCTGACGAAACCCCTCATGACTATGTTCTGATGACTGACCAACTTCTCACTTCTGGGACAGACTTACAAGAGATGCCACTGGATAATGCTGAGATAGAATGGTATACAGATGGGTCTTATTTAAGAGGATGGGGATGGAAATTTTAGAGCAGGATATGCTGTGGTCTCTTTACTAGAGGTAGTTGAAGCTGGTCCTCTTCCTCAAGCCAAATCAGCTGAAGGGGCCAAATTGATTGCCCTGACTCAAGCTTGTCGATTAGCAAAAGACAAGGCTGCAAACATACCCTGACACCTGCTAAGCATTTGGAGTTGCTCAGGACTTCGGAATGTGAAAGGAGAGAGGATATTTAACCTCCTCAGGGCAACCCATAAAAAATGGACAACCAACTCTCAGAGCTGTTAGAAACTATTCTCAACCAAAACTTTTGACAGTTGTAAAAATCCCAGGTCACTCTACATTGGACACCACTAAAAGTGGAGATAACAAATTTGCTATTGCTACAGCTGAAAAAGCAGCATTCAAGCCACCAGACCCAATCCAAAAAAATGATCATAAAGCCTGAAACACTTAAAAACATGTTGAAGGAAACCTAGAGTATAGCCCCAACAAAAGAGAAATCCACTTGGAAACAGACAGGGGAATACCTGTCTCCTGAAACTAAAATATTGTATGGACTTAATAATAAACCATTATTCCAATGGGATGTCAGGTGCCCCTTAAGGAATGTGTTAATAATCTGACACGATGGAATCCAGATAAAAGTATATCCTAGTGTAAACAATGTTACTGGAAACGATCCTCCACAGTGGCACAAAAGGTTTATTCCCAGTGTGCTATTTGTCCTAAGGATAATCCACGGAAGCTCCTCCATGAGGCCCAGGGTCATTTTCCCCTTCCAGCTGGACCTTTTGAGGTATGGCAGCTTGATTTTATCCAGCCGCCATCCTCTCAAGGTTACATGTCTTAGTAATGGTCTGCATGTTTTCCCATTGGGTTGAAGCTTTTCCCTGCAGGCAAGCAACAGCGATGGCAGTTGGAAAACTTTATTAGAAAAAATTATTCCACTGTGGGGAGTCCACTGTGAACTTTACGTGATAGAAGAACTCATTTTCCTGGTCAAGTTATTCAAAATATTTGTGAAATTTGGCCCATATTTCAACATTTCCATTGTGCCTACCATCCCCAGTCCTCAGAGCTGGCGGAAAGGACCAATGGAATAATTAAAACACAATTGGCTAAGTTCATAAATGGACTTCACCTCTGTTGGCCTAAAGCACTCCCCTGGTGCTTCTTACCCTCTGGTCCACCTTGGGAAACATCAACTATCCCCTTATGAAATTATAACAGGAAGGCCCATGTGTATGGGAACCAAAATAACCAACCCAACTTTTCTCAAGAGAGATATATTGCAGTATTATAAGGGACTCATTTGTCATCTTTACAAAAGCCAAGATTTGGTAAAGAATTCCTTTCATAGTCCACTCCCTGAAGACAAGGTTCCTGGTTATGATCTGCAGCCTGAAGACTTTGTCTATTGGAAAAGACATTTAATAAAGGACTCCCTTCAACCCCAATGGAAGGAGCCATACCAAATACTATTAACAAATCCATGTGCTGCAAAAACTAGACAGTATAAACTCATGGATTTACACCTCTCATCTTAAAAAGGCACAACCTCCTGAGTAGGCTGTAACTCCTACCAAGGATCTTCACCTGCAGCTCATTAACATTGAACTTCAATCCAGGACTAGGAGCAGACCATAGCTGTTGTGGACTGCTTAAACCTAAGACACAGGACCAGGCCTGTATACAAAAGAACACCTATGAAACCCAAGACACAGGACCAGGCCTGTATACAAAAGAACACCTATGTGTATTGTATGATAGCTATTACAATTATTGTCCTAGAGATACTGGCAACTGCTATCTTGTGCAGAACAGGGCATTTGCCTTGTCTGATTTAATGTCCTTTTAGTAGTTAAAATGAATTTCACAACCTTGCTCCTATTTACCCTATGTCTCTAAAACCTCTTGCCACTGTCACCCATTGTTGCCCATAAGACAAACCTGTTTCTACAATGGGCTCAGGATTATGCAGACAGATTATAAAAGGATGCCTGTGTGATATGCAGACTCATGCCTCTTTCCAGTGGCTCCAGCCTGCCATGGTGGGTATTTCCCTTACAAGGTCAAGACTAGCTAGAATACCAAAATTTATTACATCACAGAAATGGTTTCGTATCCTTAGTGCTGGCATAACAAAAGACTAAATATATATAATTTCCCCATTAAAAACACTCAAGAGCAAGGACATGGGAAAAGATTTTCAAGGGAAAGGACCAGCTCACCAGCTCTCACTTTAGCATTCCCCCAACTAAAAGAGAAGGTGGCAACCATGCCCCAAACAACAGCCCATTTTCAAAATGGGATAATGCAAATTTGGAATGGGTTTATCTGGTTCATCCCTTCATTTGGCCAACTCAGCCAAAATGCTCCTTTATGCTTGGAACGAAGAAACGACCCCAAGGACCAATGGCCAAACACTACAAGAGATATGGGGTGGATACCTGGAGAAATTGTATTGTGACCTGGAGAAATTGGTGGCAGAAGCTATTGCTTCCAATAATAATAATAATAATAATTTGTGTCATGTCCTGTTTTTGCTTACAATGTTATTATGGTATGTCCAGATTAGTCATCAACTGAAAGGGCTAGAATAATGATTGCCCAAAGAGTTGCTCTAATTGAGGAGGCAGTAGCATAGCCTGACCCAGCTTCCAGGTTTGCTTTCCCTTTTGCTGTATATCTGGTCTAGATCCCTATATTTTTAATTTCCTCTTACCTTCTTTCCTCCCCCTATTTTAATCTTCATGGGGCACGACCTGCTAAGAATGAGCCTTCCTAGCAAGGTGGGACCTGAATTTCTGGGAATAAACCATCCTAGCAATGAAGGACCAGCTCAAAAAAAAAAAGAAAAAGAAAAAAGCAAGCTGAGACCAGAGACACATTTTCCTTCTAAAATGCTTTCTCCAAATGATTTTAAAGAAAAAATGGGGGAAATGTGAAAATAAATCTTGGGACCCCAAACTCACTAAGCCAAAAGGAAAAGTCAAGCTGGGAACTGGGTTATGCAAGCCTGCCTCTCATTTTGGTTCCTAAATAAGATGGCTACAAGATGAAAAGCTACATACCTCCCTCACAAGGAAATTCCTTGTGGTCCCCAAGATCTTCACCCTAAAGCATTTCTGTTAAAGTGCATCATGCAAATGTGAATTGATAGCTTTTCTTCACAGCTGCGGGGAACATAGGACAGAACTCAAAGTCATCCCTCTGCACACATTGTTTCCTCTGCCCTATTGTCTACATTAATCTTATGTAAAAATGCAGATTCACTGAGCCAGACCAAGGCAGGAATGGCTATTTTCTCCTACCCCTCTCACATGAACATTGGGTATTTCTCAATATCCTGCCCTTTCCTCTTTAAATATTGAAGCCCTCAAAATCATCTTCAGAGAAAGGCATAGACCTGTTTCCCGGTTGTGTGTCCTTAACTCTGGCAAATAAACCTCCAAAAATGAATGGGACTTGCCCTGGTCATTTTCCTTGATTGACAATTGGCACATCCAAAAGAAAAATGACAGCCCCCTGCTAAAAGAGCTAAAGATAAAAATGGAACAAAGATTTATACTTCAAATGTGAACATAAAGTAATATTAGGCTAAGCAGAACTTAAGGCAGTAAGTTTTATGGTTAAAAAGTCAATATGTGGTCGGCCCCATGTGTGCAAGTTGCTATGGTGGAAGTCAAAGGGGAAACAACAATTCACAGGAAAGAGTACAAAGGCATCACAAAAAAATAAAACTGATTTCATAAACACGGTGATTCTGGTTCTTCAAAGACATTTCCAAGAAAAGTTGCTAAGGAAGGTGAATCTAAAGCCACATCTAAGAACTTTGAGAAAAGTGTCACAAAACCAGGGGAAAGGGTGCGAAGCAGTTGAAGAATAAGCAACAATGGGACAAAGCACCAAGGAACAAATTCCAGCCAGCAAATAAATTCAACAAGAAGAGGAAACTCCAGCCAGATGGCAAAAGTGGTGAATCAGCAGCCAAGAAACCCAAATGGGATGACTTCAAAAAGAAAAAGAAAGAACTGAAGCAAAGCAGGCAACTCAGTGATAAAAGTAACTATGACACTGTTGTGTGGGCAAAGCAGATTTGGAAGACTTTAAGAAGAAAAGACTGACAAAGAAAAAAGAGTAAAGTTAATGAATGACTTGCAGAAGTTGATTCAAGGGAAAATTAAAACTATTGCATTTATTAGCTGGACATGTTGGCACATTCCTGTAATCCCAGCTACTCAGGAGGCTGAGGCATGAGACTCCTTGAGCCTGGGAGGCAGAGGTTGCAGTGAGCTGAGATGGTGCCACTGCATTCCAGCCTAGGGGACAGAGCAAGACTCTGTCTCAAACAAACAAACAATTGCATTTGCAAATGATTCAACTCATGTGATCCAGTGTTACATTCAGTGTGGTAATGAAGAACAGTCAAAACAGGCTTTTGAAGAATTGGGAGATAATTTGGTTGAATTAAGTAAAGCCAAATACTCCAGAAATATTTTAAAGAAATGTCTCACGTTGTGAACATGTACCCTAGAACTTAAAGTATAATAAAAAAAAAAAAAAAAGGAAAGTATCTTGCACAAGCTCACGTAGCTGGTAAGTTACATAGTTGGGATCTGAATTCAGTTGTGGCTTCATGCCTGAGCTTTTAACTACTACTACTAAACTGAGAAGGCACTTGCTTGAGTAAATTATGTCATCCTCTTAATGAAGCATTATGCAGCTGTTAAAGATGATAGATGTAAAGGTTATGAGGCAACATGAAAATATAACTCATTTATTCAATAAATGTTTGTTTCTAAATATATTCATTTGCTGAATGAATAAAATGTTAAGCCAAAAAAAAAAAAAAAAAAAGAAATGTCGCATGTATGGAAGTCAACCACAGATTGCAGAGATAATGAGAAGTTTAAAAGGCCCCGTGAGGAAGATGCTGTGGCAGGCAGAAACATCAGCCATCATGTAGGACACATATAATGACAAAGCCACTTTGGAGCAGAGGAACATGCTGACGAAAGAGTTCTATGGGAACACATTTCACCTTTACAAGTCAGTCGATCACCAACTCCAGACAAAGTATTAGGGGTACAGCCAGAAAAATTAAGAGCTTATTATGGATGAAATGAAACAGATTCTAACTCCAGTGGCCCAAAAGGAAGCTGTGATTAAGCATTCATTGGTGCATATTCTTGGACTTTTTTTTTCTTTTTTTTTCACCTATGCACCCCCCAAACTCAGATCAGAAATGATTGAAGTCATCCACAAAGCAGTGGTATACCTGGCACACACACACACGAGGGCATGGCTGGCCATGGGCCTGTGGCATGGCATGCCCAAGGACAGGAAAGTGACTGTGAAAATAATGAAGACTTAGGTTGAAAAAGTGACTGATGGCCAATACTCTCATTTGGCTTTCCTGGCAGCATTTGATTGTATTGATGATACTAAGCTTGTGAAGCAGGTAATAATCATATCAGGAATTATCAGTTCATTGCCTAGCACAGGAAATGACAAACATGAAAGGAAGGTCCTGTTGTATTCACTAAGCCCCAGAGATCCTGTATATCTACTATGAGAAATCATTGAAGTTCTGCAAAAAGGAGATGGAAATGCACACAGTAATAAAGGTACAGAAATCTGCAGATATGAGCTCCTAGAATCCATTTCTCTAGCTTTGTTAAGCTTCCTGCAAGGACATGCCCAAGAGGTGGTGCTAGATAAGTCCGCGTGTGTTGGTATCTGACATTCTGGGATCTGCCACTGGAGATGTTCAGCCCGCCATGAATGCCATTGCCAGCTTGGCAGCAGTGGAACTGCAACCTAGTGGCAAGGACCGAGAGCTTCACATTGCAGAACATCCTCCAGGACATCTAGTTCTGAAGTGGTTAATAGAGCAAGATAAAAAGATGAAATAAAATGGGAGAGAAGGTTGTTTTGCAAAATCATTTGTACAGCATGTTGGTATGAGGAACCTGAAGTCCTGGGCTAGTGTAAATCGAGGTGCCATTATTCTTTCTAGCCTCCTCCAGGTTGTGATCAAGAAGTTGCAAACAAACTCAAAGATGGACTGAAAAGCTTGATTGCTACATTGGGAAAAAAACAAAGGCACCGTCAAAGGAATAGAAACTCTACTTGAAAAATTGGGCTCATGGGTGGAAAGAGTTAAGAGCAAGATGGAATCATTTTTCCTGTTCCCCATTCTGTTTCCCAATGCAGAAAAGAAGGGCTAGGGTCCACCTTACTGGTAATTTGGGTGCTCTGTATATATGTTTCTTCTTTGTATAAGAATCTATTTATGAAATTGTTTTTAAAATGAAAGTCAATATATGGCTATAAGATACAATCAATAGTGAATTTACAGCATGGAGTTACTTTGACCAAATAACATGGCAATGAAAGTACAAAAGAAAAAGCATTAGAAACATGAGAAATCAAAATGTCACTATTGTCGTGGATGATTTTCATGCCCTACCATCAATCAAGGTAGATCAAATAGACAAAAAGACATTGGTTTAAATATATTCATATTTTTGTTTCTATATCACGCAAAACTCAGACGGATTTTTATAAAATAAGCAGAATATGTTTATGCTGGACTGTGTTTCAGCATAGGCTGTGATACAGACCTACAATTCTTTGGTGATGCTAAAGGCAACTCAAGAAAGACAAGGAATGATCCTTCAAAGCAGCTCAAACAGGTTCAACAAGAGGCTTGAGTGGAAGATACCTGCCATATGTAAAACGGTACTGTGGGCAGAGAAAATGAACAGTGTTTCAAACCCAAGCCCCAGGCTGGAAATCATAAGGACAGAATCTCTGACTGTTAAATGTAGATTTGTGATCACGCTGCTTTATGCATGCAAGACTCTGTATACTGCCATTCAGGATGAGTACCATCAGGATTCTATTTCTTTGATAAAGATGAACGATTCTCCAAAACAACACAAGAGAAGCCAGATAGGGCCGGGCGCGGTGGCTCACGCCTGTAATCCCAGCACTTTGGGAGGCCGAGGCGGGCGGATCACGAGGTCAGGAGATCGAGACCATCCCGGCTAAAACGGTGAAACCCCGTCTCTACTAAAAATACAAAAAATTAGCCGGGCGTAGTGGCGGGCGCCTGTAGTCCCAGCTACTTGGGAGGCTGAGGCAGGAGAATGGCGTGAACCCGGGAGGCGGAGCTTGCAGTGAGCCGAGATCCCGCCACTGCACTCCAGCCTGGGCGACAGAGCGAGACTCCGTCTCAAAAAAAAAAAAAAAAAAAAAAAAAAAAAAAAAAAAGAGAAGCCAGATAGTGAGTTGTATCACTGTAGTAGGCAGCTTCTAAAAGAGCTACCAATGATCCCGGTCTTCAGGTCTCCAGGTATTCATGCCCTTGGGTAATTCTTTCCCTGCAAGCATGATCTGGACCTACAGACTTGCTTCTAAGGTGTGGAATACAGCAGAAAAACATCTGGAAAGTTACACCTTTCCAAATAAGCCTTGGTTGCTTGCTCGCTCCGATGGAAACCAGCTGCTGTGCTGTGAGCTGTATTGTGGAGAGGCTCATATGGCAGAAAATGGAGGGAGGCCACTGGCCAACAGCCAGCAAGGAATAGAAGCTCTTAGTCCCACAACCCAGGAGGAACCAAATCCTCCAACAACCACATGAATGTTCTTGGAAGTGGATCCTTCCTTCCAAGTACAGCTTTGAGCCGACTGCTACCCCAGCCAATGTCTTGACTGCAGCCTTATGAGAGACCTGAGCTAGGGGACCCAGCTAAGCTGCACCCAGATTCCTCACCCACAGAAATCGTGAGGTGAGAAAATGTTGTTTCATGCTGCTACATTTTGGGGTGATTTTTTTCAGCAGTCATAGATAACTAATATAATTCATTGAATTATAATTAAATTAATGGGCATCCCATTATATATGAATCCATAGCATATTTTGTTGACAAATATGATACAAGAAATATTTATAAGCTCTGATTATATACTAGGCTACAAGAAAAATCTCAATAAATATAAGAAAGCAGAAATTAACAGTTTATTTTCTTCGATTAGGAAATACATTTTTATTTAAGTTAAAACCAAAAAGTCTCTCTGATTACATGGAAATTTTTCTTCTTTTTGTATGCATTATACATACTAAATTGTGTGTACAACATGCATATGCAGTTAAATAGTAATTATAAAGTAAATATCCATGTAGACATTGTGCAGGTCAAGAAACGGAATACTGCCAGTACCAGAAGCCTCCTGTGTGCCTTCCCTGATCACAGTCCCTCCCCCTCACCGAGATAAACCCTGTTCCGACTTTTAAGAAATCATGCTTTTGCTTTTCTTTATCTTACCCCATGTGTGCATCATAATATATGTATTCAGTGTCTTTTTCTCAAGCTTAGTAATGTGTCTTAGCTTGGATTCCTCACATGCAGTCTAGGACAAAGAGTCAGGTGCATGTGACCTGTGGAGCTCCTGCTTTCGGGAGAAAAGCGGTGAAAGCAGCAGGACAGGGCAGGGACGGAATCAAGGCAAGGATGAGGTCTCAGCTCTGCCTGATCTCAAGGGGGGGCTCTGGAGCTTGAATAGCACCACACTGTTGGTCCCACCAAGACACTTGTGAAAGCCTGTTACTAAGTTTTTGGCCCACGTGTTCCCGGTGGTACCCTTTGAGCCAAGGGCAATTTTCCAGAAAAGGGGCCAGCTCTGAGCCATTAGAAACCATAACCCACAGGGGCTGGGGGCAATGGCTTGGAAAAGGAGATCTGGATGATATTCACCATATAGTATGTTTGTGAGATTCATACTTTTTGTACGTGTAGCTGAGTTCCTATATTTTCATGGCCAAATAGTATTCCATGGTATGAATATATCGCATGCTGTCAATGGACATTTGGGGTATTTCTAGATTTGCCTACTAGAAATAATGCTGTTTTATGATTCAAGGGGCAAAAAAAGAAAAGAAAAATAAACAATGCTGTTTTAACTGTTCTTATTATGTCTTGTGTTGGACATGTGTACGAGTATCTCTAAGGCATACATCTAGGAGTGGGATTGCAGGGTTATAGGATATGTGCACCTTTTATTATATCATAAAAATTGTTTTCCAATTTACACTAACACCAGCATTGTTTTCATTGCTCTACATCTTTGCTAACACTTGTATTGTTAGATTTTTAGTTTTAGCCATTTTGGTAAGTTTGTAATGGTATTTCATTGAGGTTTTAATGTATTTTTCATATTAATAATGATGATATTGCACACCTTCTCATACATTTATTGGCTGTTTGGAAATTCTAGTTTATAAAGCTTCTGTTCAAGTCTTTTGCCTTTTTAAAAAATATAATGTTTGTTTTTCATATTGATTTATAGATGTCCTAACTACTGTTACTTTGTCAGTTTTATGTGTTGGAAAAATCTTTTCCCATTCTTTAATCTGTCTTTTCACTCTCTTTTTGATGACTTTTAATTAATAGAAATTTTTATTTTATTAGAATCTAATTTCTTAAACTTTTCTTTTATGGCTAAGCTTTTCATGTTTTATTTGAGAAATGTTTTCTAAACCTAAAATCATGAAATATTTTTCTATACTACTTTATAAAAGCTTTATAGTTTTGCCTTTCACTCTTGAATTTGAACCCACCTATGATTTATTTGGTGTATGGTGTGATATAAATATCCAGTTTTGTACTTTCACCATATAAATAACCACTTGTCCAAGTATCATTTATCAAAAAGTTTATCTTTTCCCCATTGATCTTAAATATCATATCTGTCACATATGAAGTTTCCATATTTGTATGTTTGTTTCTATTCCATTGGCCTGTTGTCTTAGGTACATTAATGCTTCCACCTAGCTCTCTTTGAAGGGGGCCCTTTTAATCTTAGTGCTTTAGTTCCACCAAAACCTGCTGGGATTTTCACTGGAATTGCACTGAATCTATTGATTAATTTTGTATACTTTTCAATTTATTTATGTCCTTTTCAATGTCTCTTTATAAAAGTTTCAAAATTTTACTGAAGTATAACATGCATACAGAGAAATATACGAATTATAAGTAGACAGTGAAATGAATTTTCACAAAGCAATACACCTAAGTTACTAATATCCAGATTAAAAAAAAAAAAAACAAAAAACACAGAATCCCAAACCCCTCCAAAATCCCTTTTTTAGCTACTGACTTCACCCACAAGAGGAAACCACCTTGAGTTCTAATACATGAATTTTGTCCACTTTTGAACTTTATATAAATGGAATCAGTATGTACTTGTTTTCTTTCACTCAGCAGTATGCTTGTGAAATCCGTCCGTGTTGTTCAGAGTTATATTTTGTTTATTCTCTTTGCTGTAGTGTTCTACTGTACGAATTCCACCGTATGAATTTACCACAATATATTAATCTATCTATTGCAGATGGACATTTGAGTTATTTCTAATTGAACCTATTACAAATAGTAATAAGCAGCCGGGCGCACTGGCCCATGCCTGTAATCCCAGCATTTTGGGAGGCCAAGGTGGGTGGATCACCTGAGGTCAGGAGTTTGAGAACAGCCTGGCCAACATGGTGAAAACCCGTCTCTACTAAAAATACAAAAAAATAAAGTTAGCCAGGTGTGGTGGCAGGCACCTGTAATCCCAGCTACTCAGGAGGCTGAGGCAAGAGAATCGCTTGAACTCGGGAAGCGGAGGTTGCAGTGAGCTAAGATCACGCTACTGAACTCCAGCCTGGGCAACAAGAGCGAAACTCTGTCTCAAAGAAAAAAAAAAAAAGTAATAAGCATCCTTTCACACATCTTTTGGGAACATACATATGCATTTCTATTAAGGATATAACTGAATGTAATTGCTAGGTCATAAGTTTTGCCCTTAGTAAATACTGCCAAGGGGTCTTCCAAAGTGGATTGTGTCAGTTCATACTTCCACAGCAATGTATAAAGGCCGAGTTGATCCACATGCTCATCAATACTTCCTATTGTCTTTCTAGTTCGGTTTAGCCGTTCTGGGGGTATCGAGTGGTATCACATTGTGGCTTTAATGTGCATATCCCTGATCCACACCTTTTCCTATGTTTATTGTCCTTTGCATATCCCTGTCTGTGAAGGATCTGTCCAGGTCTTTTCTCCACTTTTCTATTCAGTTATCTGTCTTTTGCTTATTGAATTTCAAGAGTTTCATTATCTGAATCTATTAGGTTCTTGACTTTGTGACACTACATGGCAAAATTTTGCCTAGTGTGGAAATCCTAATGCATCCAAATCTATTTGGTTCCTGGAGTTCAAAATGAAAATGTAGATAATGAAGGATACCTGAAGTCACTGTAGGTCTATTCCTGCTGATTCTGACTGATGTTACCTTATCTTCTGGTGAGCTTGGGTATTATGAGAACATGTATTCTGGAGATTCTCTGATGCCTAAAATGATGGTGCCTTCCTCCAGAGGGGATGTGCACTCTCCAGGCCCCTAGGGTCAGTCCAGGACTTCTTTAAACCAGTTCGGGGCACAGGGTTTTTTGGACCATCCAGGTAAGGTGATTTGGAGTTACAAACTCACAGAGACTGCCAGCACGTGCTTGTCACTTCGCAGAGATCAGGTTTTTCTTTACTTTCCTTCCTCTGCAGTGTTCAACACAAAAGAATTTTTTTTTCCCTTAAGATCTCCTGGGGGAGTGTTGGAGGGTTAGAGCGTAAAAGTGGGTTTAGGTTTACTTCTAGATAATTCCTGACCTAAGGAAGCAGTCCTTTTGGGTCCTAACCTTATAGAGGAAGGTTTCCTATTAGACTCCCCACCTTTGCCAGAACATAAACTTCAATTTCTGAACTTGCAGACCCTGAAAGAATAAAAACAATAAAATCCACCTTTCCTTCATTGGCATATGTCCTCAGAGGCAAAAGCAACTTCTGTGTTCTGAGACAGGGTCTGGCTCTGTCTGCCAAGCTGGAATGCGGTGGCAGGATCTTGGCCTACTGTGACCTCCGCCTCCTGGGCTCAAGCTATCCTCCTACCTCAGCCTCCTGAGTAGCTAGGACTACAGGCGCGTGCCACCACACCCAGTTAATTTTTTGTAGATATGGGGTTTCACCATGTTGCCCAGGCTGGTATCGAACTCCTGATCCCAAGTGATCTGCCTGCCTCAGCCTCCCAAAGTGCTGGGATTACAGGCATGAACCACCACCCAGCTGCAACTTCTGCATCCTGCTTTTCCCTCTAGATTCTCGCTGCCATTTAGATGTTATCATGGTAAATCCTATCTTATCACCTTTCTCATGCTTTTCAGACTTTTCCAATTTTTGCAGCATTTTTCAGTTGTTTTCAACTGGTGGATTAGTCTGAATAGTTTACTGACTACGTTACCAAAAATATAATTCCTTTAAGTTTGCAGACTGTCAATAATTATGGAAATGGGCAGGGAATCTCTTAAATGAAATGACTAAAATTATTTAGTAAAAAGTTGAAACAAGATCGATCAGTTCACATAAAACTGTACAAGATATAGTCAATCCTATAATTTAGAGGTAAATCATAGCAATAAATACTTTTCTTGTTCTTGTTTTTGTTTGCTTCTTTGGAAACAGGGTCTCTCTCTGTCACCCAGGCTGGAGTGCAGTGGCATGATCATAGCTCACTACAGCCTCAAACTTCTGGCCTCACACGATCCTCCTACCTCAGTCTCCTGAGTAGCTGGGACTACAGGCACATGCCACCATGCCCAGCTAATTTTTTATATTTCTTATAAAGACAAGGTTTCACTATGTTGCCCAGGCTGGTCTCATACTCCTGGGCTCAAGCAGTCCACCAGCCTAGCGCTCCCAAAGTGCTGGGATTACAGGCATGAACCACTGTGCCCGGCTGGGACAAGTAATTTTCAAAGTCAGCTTCCCAGAGCCTCGCAAGAGTAGGGCACATGAGAGGAGATGGCAGAGCATCACATCGGGAGGGGTCCAACCTTTTGCCATCTGGTCACCCAGAGCAGCTCCATCAATATTGATACCTAGACTTGACCAAAAATACCACACAGAACAGATAAGCATTACAAATTGCGTCAAGGGTCCCAAGACCACCCCTGGTTTCGAGGCTTCTCTAGACGGACTCGCAGGACTCAGCACACAGTTGCACTCATGGCTATGGTTGATTACACGGAAAGGATACAAAGCAAAAAAACAAAGGGAAGAATCACATGGAATGAAGTCAGGAGGAAGCCAGATGCAGACTTCCTAGAGGCTTCTCCCATCAGAGGCACACAGATGTGCTTCCTTCTCCAGCAACAAGGTAACAATACGAATGAAGTGTTACCCATCAGGGATACTCACTAGAGACTCAGTACCCAAGGTTTGGGGAGAGTTGGTGGCGTAGGCAGCCTATGCCTGGCACATACCAAAATTTCAAATTCCTAGACAAATAGCAGGTGTTCGGCATAAACTATATTGTGTGCAGAAAGCAATCCCAACAAAATAAACCACCCTTATCATGTAAGAAATGGTGGGAACCCTCCAAAAATCCAGGTTACCAGATGTCAACCATGGACAACCTTGCAAGCAGGTCTTTCTAAAAATAGCAGTCTCAGGTCTGCTGTGGTGACTCTTTACTACACACACAAGAAGAAATATATCATTTAAAAATGATATTGTATGTCTATAAAATATAAAGGAATTATCTGATAAACTATTAAAATAAATAAGAGCTTATAAATATGACAATATGGAATTAATAATATGTTTATATACTAGCAGAAACATATACAAACCAACGAACAAAAGGTCCTATATGCAATAGCAACTAAAACATATGTAATGCCTGGAAATAATCTTAACAAGACATGTAGTGACAACATGAAGTAAAAATACAAATTATATTGAGAAATATAAAATAAAACTTGAAAAAGTAACCAGATGATTATTCCTGATTAGGAAGACTGGATATAAAAATAATGTTCAAAATTAATTTATAGGTCTAATGTAACCACAATCAAAATCTCTGCTGCTTTGAGTTCTTTCTTTAAAAGAAAAACATAGGTTTTGGGGGGTTTTTGCCTACTTTGACAAAATGATCTCAAAGTTCACTCAGAGAATAAAAAGGGGAGAAAATTCAGAAAAAAAATATTTGTTAGATGGTGAGTCTTATTCTGTTTTAATCATCTTACAATGATATGATAATTAAAACAATGTGGTAAGTGTACAAAGAATGGCCTAGATCAATGAAACAGTTAAGTCCAAATACGGTCTTAGTATATGAATAACAAAGAATGCCTCACAAATCAATGAGGAAGACAAAAGTTGTCAATCTATGATTTAGGAATAACTGTTTGACAATTTGGAGCACATTCATCTAAACCCTAATTTTTTTTTTTAAAGAAAGCCAATCCTGTCTGATCTTTTTATTACTGCAAATAGCCATTATGAAATATAATGAAAACCAAGATGTGTTTGGCTTTGAAAAGGTTACAGTTACATTAGTATTTGCTACTTCTTTATGTCAAAAAAAGTAGGTAAAATAAAAGGGCAGACAGGCCTGGGAAAAATATTGCCAAGAGTTAATGTATTTTATATATTAATAAAAATATACAGTCACATATTGCTTAATGAAGAGATACATTCTGAGAAATGTGTGATTAGGCAGTTTGTAGTGAGAACATCATACCCCGTATTTACACAAACCCAGATGGTACAGGTTTGCACACCTAGGCTATATGGTATGGCCTATTGCTCCTAGGCTACAAACCAGTACAGCATGTTACTATATTGAAAACTGTAGGCAATTGTAACACAGTGCTAAGTATTTGTGTGTCTAACATATCTAAACATAGAAAAGGTGCAGTAAAAATATAGTATTAAAGGAAAAAATGGTTCACCTGTGTGGGGCACTTACCATGAATGGAACTTGTAGGACTGGAAGTTGCTCTGGATGAGACAGTGAGTGGGTGGTGAGTGAAGGTGAAGGCCTAGGACATTACTATACACTACTGTGGACTTTATAAACATTGTACACTTACATTACATTTATTTTTAATTAAAAATAGGGTTTTTTCTTTGATAGTAAATTAACTTTGGCTTACTGTATGACCACCATATACGCAGTCCATTGTTGACAGAAATGGCTTCATCAGGACATGGTTCTATTATATCTTTATATGAAGCAGAGGCGATAGTAGAAAGTATTTCGTCCATGGCCATGTGGTCTTGGATAAGTCATTTAGCTTCTCTAAACCTCAATTTCCTTCCTTCTTGCAGGTTGTGGCAAGGCATAAATATACATAAAGCTCTTGGCATAATATTCTACTCATTATGGTTGACCAACAAATGATAGCTAATTAGTAGTGGTGGTAGTGGTAATTATACTTGTAATGATCGTAAAAGCTCACATAACTAAGAAAGCATTGTCCCCAAAGATAAATGCGTAAAAAACATGAACAGAGAATTCTCAAAGGAGAAAATAAAACTCATGAACTTGGAAAAATGTTTGACCTCACCAAAAGTCAGAAAAGTTCAAATTAAAGCCATGAAATGGCATTTTTTCACCCACCAAATTATCCAAACATTTTTTTAAAAGTAGTACCCAGTGGTGGGAGGGTGTGTTGAAATCGATATTTTCATACATTGCTGATGATTTATAAATTAGCACAACTGTGTTAGGAAGTAATGTGTAAATATGTACTGTCATTTCCCCAAAAGATCATATTCTCTGATTTAGTAATTTCAAGGCTGAGATTCACTCCTTGGAACAGACCCCAAACATGAAAATGCTACATGCAAATGAATGTTCAATGTAGTTGTTCTTGAATAATTAAAAACAATCTAGCTGTCCAGCAGTGGGAGAAATTACTACAATTTACTCAGTAGATATGATAATTAGAATGTTACTCGGAAAATATAAGAAGTAAGGCCGGGCGCGGCGGTTCACACCTGTAATCCTAGCACTTTGGTAGGCCGAGGTGGGCAGATTGCTTGAGCTCAGGAGTTCGAGACCAGGCTGGGCAAAATGGTGAAACCCTGTCTCTACTAAAATATAAAAAATTAGCCATGCATGGCTAATTTTTTACGTGTGGGCGCCTGTGATCTCAGCTACTTGGGAGGCTGAGGTGGGAGAATCGCTTGAACCCGGGAGGCAGAGGTTGCAGTGAGCCGAGATCACGCCACTGCACTCCAGCCTGGGCGACAGAGCGAGACTCCGTCTCAAAAACAAACAAACAAACAAGAAGTAGTCCAGGCGCGGTGGCTCACGCCTATAATCCCAGCACTTTGGGAGGCCGAGGTGGGCAGATTGTTGGAGGCCAGGAGTCAAGACCAGCCTGGGTAACAATAGCAAAAACCCCGTCACTATCAAAAATACAAAAAATTAACCGGGCGTGGTGGCAAGCACCTGTGGTCTCAGCTACTCATGAGGCTGAGGTGGGAGGATCGGTTGAGCCCAGGAGGCAGAGGTTGCAGTGAGCGGAGATTGAACCACTGTACTGCATCCTGGGCGACAGAATGAGACCCTGTCTCGAAAAACAGTTAAAAAATTAAAAAGAAAATACAATATGAGAAAATAAAACAGGAAGCAGCATTGTATGTGTATTGTATAGCAGACAAAAGTGGAAAGACATATTTCAATTTAGAAACAGTAATATTAAAATGTATGATTATGGAGAATTGCTACTTTTATAATTTATAAATTATAGTTAATTAAAATTAGATTTTGATAATTATTTCCACATGAGTTCTTTCTTCTTTAAATGACACCAAAATTTAACCTCAAAATCTTGGCAAACACTGACAGCCCTGAGTTTTTTTATATTGCTCCTCTAGAGGGAGCACAAGTGCTTAAAATACTTCATAACCATGACAATGTTTCACAATAGTCAAGAATTTTAGAAGGGCAAGAAAACACAGTAATCTACTGCAGTTTATCAGTAGTGTAGTCTGGTGTAGATAATCTAGTCTTAGATACAGAAGACACCCTCTAGCTATAAATAATTTATTTTCTATTATTAGAGCTGCTTTTAAGTGACATCAATTTTCTTGCATTGAATATATCATCTTTTTGAGTTGAAGTTCCCAGTAGACAGGAAAATGATGAAAAGGAAAAGAAAATCAAGGATGCAAGCTACTCTCAAAGTCCTAATGTTACTGACATGGAATTATAGTTTAATAACTTTTCCTTAAACTTCCAAAGAAAAGTGCTATCAGCCCATTTAATTTTTTTTTTTTTTTTTTGGTTGTTGTTGTTTGTTGTTGGTATCCTATTAATGTTGAGTTCCGCAGAGCACCAAGAAAAGGAAAGGAAAGAATTTGTATCTTTGATGTATTAGTTAATTTGACTAGGTGCCTACCCAGGCAGGGCAAATCTGATCAACAATCCAATGTGTCTCTTGCTATGCCAATTGCAAAAGGAGATGGGGTTTCGCTTTGGACGGTCCTCAGGGTCAGCCACTTTCTAGCTCTGAGTCCACTCTAAATGTTCTCAAGTTTGTTCGATTTGAATTTCAAAAACCCTAATTACGGTGCATAATTTCCTTCTGTAACCCAGTTTTGCCACAAAGCTTCTTGGAATCAAGAGCAACATGAACAACCATAGCTTCTTCACAAGTACTTATTCCTCCTTCCATCTTTATACACCCAGACAACAAAAAAGGCAATAGAAGATGGGGATGATAGGAACCTGAGAACTCTTTTTTCTTCTGACCTGAACAATGAACATCTTTTCAAATAACATAACAAGTCGTAAGAGAACAGCAGATGAATTATTTCACATGGAATCTAGAGGTAGAAATGCCCCATAAAACTTTTCTATTTGGGGAAGGCTTGCTCAGGAATCTCATTTCCTCTATTGGGTGTAGTCTAACAGATGAGATAAAAGGCCAGGATCCTGCAGGACCATCCCCGCTGTGGAGCCCTTGCCCAAAACGGAGGTGGTGAGCTTCACTCCCTGCCTGTCGGGACATCTTCATCCATCTTCTTTGCACTTTCAAACTACTACTACTACTTAGTATTGTAATCACTTTTTATTATTTAAAAGGATGTGAGCATTGTAGAAAGTTACCCTCCAAAAACCCAAAACCCCTGCTAATTTAACTTAAGGTTCTCCAGCTTTCCATATCAATACATTTTTATCTTATCTAATATCTAGTCCATATTCAAGTTTCCACAATTTATTCCCAAAGTGTCCCGTATAGTTCATTTGTTCAACCCACAGCCCAATCCAGAACCATGCATTGCTTCTGGCTGAAATGTCCTTTGAGTCTCTTGATCGAGCCCGATTTCTCTTCTTCTTCCTCCTTTTTTTTTGTTTTGCGACAAAGTCTTGCTCTATCACCCAGGCTGCAGTGTTGCAGTGTAATCACAGCTCACTGCAACCTCGACCTCCTGGATTCAATCAATCCTCCTGATTCAGCTTCCCAAGTAGCTGGGACTACAGGTGGGCACCACCATGCCCAGCTATTTTTTGTGTTTTTAAATAGAGATAGGATTTTGCCATGTTGCCCAGGGTGGTCTCAAACTCCTGGGCTCAAGCAATCGACCCACCTCAGCCTCCCAAAGTACTGGGCTTACAGGCATGAGCCGCTGCACCCAGCCCTATCTTTCTTCTTTTTAATGACTCTGACTTGTTGAAGAGCCAACCAGGCCAGTTTTCCTAATTCCTGACTTTGTCTGCTTGCCATTTACCATGGCATTCAACTTGTTCCTCAACTGCTGAAGTTTACATCTGAAGTTAAAACTAAATACGATGAATTCAAGTTAATTTTTAAATCTATCATAGATGGTGGTATACTTCACATTGCATCTTCATCATATTAGAGAACATAAATAGTAATTGCTTGCTAAGATTCATCCCTAGGTTAGGGTAATAGTCTAAGCCTTTTATTGAGTGACAGAATGCTGATTTTCTAATTCTGTCATTCTTCTACATTCTTGGCAAGCATTCTTCTGAAAATAGAACTTTCTCTTTCAGCTGGAGCTATTTGGTTACTCTAAGATACATTTCTTACATAAAGGTTAGATAAATGCTTAATTCTTTCTTTCATTACCAATTGTCAAAGTATGAAGTCAATTGTCAAGCCATCTCAAATGATGGCTTACAAGTTCTCTTTTTGGCTTTCTCTTTTTTTAATGTCCCTATAGAAATATGGATTTTTAAAATTTAGTGTGATTCAATTCATTAAATCAATATTCTTTTTGATGTTCAAATTGTTGCAAATTTGGGTAAGGGTGGGCTCCCAATTTGGACATACTTTTTATTTTTATTTTCCATTAAAAAATATTTTTAGCATTTCTTTTGTATTTGTCTACCTATTTATTTTTGTACATGAATAAGTTCTTTAGTGGTGATTTCTGAGATTTTGGTGCACCCATCACCCAAGCAGTGTACACTGTATCCAGTTGTAGTCTTTTATCTCTCACCCCACTCCCGCCCTTTCCCCCACTCCCCAAAGTCCATTGTATCATAGGCCTTTGCATTGGACATACTTTTTAACTTAGATTTTACAGATAATATTCCTTCCTCTGGGCATTATCTCAGTCCCCAATTTATGCTTAATATTTTCTGTTTATGTTCTTCTCTGTCATTGATTTAGAAATACTCTTATACCATATATCTGTGTACGTTTTGTCTACTATAAAAAAGTTTCACTTTTTAATTTTCAGGTTTACAATTCATGTCATAAAAACTATCCTTATTTGCCAACTCAGTGATTTGTTGTCCATTTTCTTATCAGTTTTCAAAATTTTATTGTTGTTGTCTCTTCTCCGACAACAACACGGTCTCGTGGAGAGGTAGGCAGGAGCCAGGGCATGAAGAGTCTTATATGCCAAGTTGGAGAATTTAGACTTTCACCTGAAGGCGATCAAGTGACATTGAACAGGCATTGCAGAGGAGTATCATGATCAGATCTCCTTTTTGGAATGATCAGGTGATCAGGCTACAATATAGAGTATTTCACAGACGTGAATAGGACTAGAGGCTGGAAATCCAGTGAGGGACCTAACCTGCAGTGATTTAAGTAACCAGCCCTAAGAAAGTAGCAGTGGGTATACAGAGAAGTGAACAGCTCTCAGTGTGTTTAGAAGTAGTCACAAGGGCAAGATGCCATGGCTCATGCCCACAATCCCAGCACTATCAGAGGCCAAGGCAGGAGGATTGCTCAAGCCCAGGAAGTCGAGGCTGCAGTAAGCTAACGTGCCACTGTACTCCAGCCTGAGTGACAGAGAGGCCCTGAATAAATAAACAAACACATAAGAAATAATCACCGACGGGATTTGGTGATTATTTAGATGTAGAGGCCAAGGAAGAGGAAAGAGTCAAGGATGACTCCAGGTTTCTAGCTTGGGCAACTGCATGGGCAATGATGCCATCCACTGAGATCTAGAACAATGGATGTGAAACCAGCTTCACAAGGAAGTGTGGCATCCTGCCTTTATAAATGCCAAGTTCCACTACGTTTTATCCTCATTAGGATATTAATGACCACATTTTCCCAGTGAATGCACTTTTCTATTTCAGGAAGTAATACAGATCTTTTCTACTTGAAATCACCAACATTCCCTCTTTTTTTCTTCCACAACCTCCTCATCCTGCGCTACCAGCTCCAGCACACTACCGCACCTGTGCCCACATACACTGGCTTCCATCCTGCTTCAGTGGAAGAAAGGCACCTGCTGCTCTCCATGGCACTCCTCTACTTGTGCCCAAAATCCCTCTCATGTTCTCAAGGTGTCTGCACTGGCAAGTACACTTTTTCTCTTCTGTATCATCTTTTTCTCCCTCCCTTTAGGATGATTTCCATCTATATGCTATTATCCATTTTAAAAAGCAAACTTCTCTTGACCTCATGGCCCCTCCAGCTACCACTAAATTTTTCAACACCCTCAAAGCCCTTCAAACTCATTCATATTGTTGTCTTCATCCCTAGCTTTACTTTCTCACCTTTTATTTCTCCCCCATTCTCTTCCTTAGCTCCTCTCTATTCAGGTTTTTATTCCCACCATTCCACAAAAAGAGCTCTCAGCAGGGTCCCAGTGTACGTACATTCTACAAAAGTCAAGGCCAGTTATCTGCACTCATCTTATTAGACCTTCCAGCAGCACTGGCCAAGTCTCCCACTCCGTCCTTCATTCATTCAACACATCTGTATTGAGCACTTACTCTATGCCAGGCACTGTTTTAATCCTTGTGGTACAACAATCATTTAAAATGACAAAGATTCCTGCCCTCTGGAGACTTATATCCCAGCAGGGGGAAACAGTTAACAAACAAAAAACAATAAATAACTAGATTACATGGTATGTTAGAAGGCAATAAGGGCTATGGGAAGGAGAAAACATAGAACTCAGCAATAGCCTTGAAGAGTTTCCCTTTCAGCACATAATTATCCCTATAACGAAACACACCCTCTGTGACAATATTTGATATCAAGTCAAATTACAGAATACATCTCTACATCCTCACATAATAAAAATGAATCACATTTTCATCTGCTATCTTTCTGAAGTCAGTGCTCTCCTCTCTCCTAATTCTCCTGGATTTGATGTGAGGACACTGGAGAAAACACAGAAGGAACAGCTGAAACTCGAGAAGGGAGAGTGGGGATTTGGTATTTCCCATTGCGATACTATGTATTGGATCCTGGGGGCAAGTAACAGAAATGGAAGTGGCAAACGTCCAGGGTATAAGCTGACTCCTTTTTTGCCCTTTTTCCAATTATGTCAAGTGATAGCTACTTTCTCACAGTAGAGAGTGAGTCAGAAATTCAAAGTATGATAAATGGTCCAGAAGTGAAATTCTCTGTGGGTTAATACTTTTTGTTTTCATGTGAAAGAAAATAAAGCTATTGTGTAAATATAATAATTATGGTAAGCATTGATTTTATACTAGGAATGGCAGATTATTTGCAAAAATGACTAAAATCATTCCTTCATCGCTGTATGCACACTGCTCCCATCAAGAGGTACTGTCTGTTTCCCCCTCCTTTTATCCAGTCGGGCCTTGGGACTTACGTTGATTAGCAGAATGTGGTGGAAGTGATGGTGTGAAACTTCCGCATGTGGGCCTTACAACATCCACTTTCACCCTTTTGGAACATTATGCCACCATAGGAGCCAGCCCAAGCTAACCTGGTGGGAAATGAGACAAGAGCTGCCAGCTGAGGACTCCCAGACAAACCAATCCGCATTCAAGCCACCAGGAGACTACAGCCGCAAGAATGAGTCCATACAAGACCAGCACGAGAACCTCCTAGCTGAGTCCAGACCAACATAATTGACCCACTAAACATAAAACAATAAAATAACTTGGTTTCAAACCAATTCATTTTGAAGTGGCCTGTTATACAGAAATAGGTAGCTAATATACTAGGTATTAAATATTTATTATTTATTAAAATGATAATTGTTTTAACATTGAGCTTTGTTCCTTTAATAAGTAGAATTTGAATAAGTAAATTTAATGTTTATGAAAAGAGATAACAGTGAGGAGTATATACTGGAACCTTTTTTTCAATAAAAAGTCCACTAGCGGCCGGGCCCAGTGGCTCATGCCTGTAATCCCAGCACTTTGGGAGGCCGAGGCGGGTGGCTCATGAGGTCAGGGGATCGAGACCATTCTGGCTAACGCGGTGAAACCCCATCTCTACTAAAAAATAAAAAAAATCAGCCGGGCGTGGTGGCATGCCCCTGTAGTCCCAGCTACTCGGGAGGCTGAGGCAGGAGAATGGCGTGAACCCGGAAGGCGGAGCTTGCAGTGAGCAGAGATCACGCCACTGCACTCCAGCCTAGGCAACAGAGCAAGACTCCGTCTCAAAAAAAAAAAAAAAAAAAAATCCACTAGCCCTATATCTTGGTATAAGTGTTTATTTTTATAAAAATTAACCACATTATACATAGTGTTTCATGACTCACTTCATCCACTCGACATTGTAGATAACTACCCATGTCAATACATGAAGAGGTATATTTTTAAGTAGTTGCATAATATTCCATTGAACAGATACACATATTTGTACGACTCCCTTTTGACTGACAGCTGGGCTAGTTCCCAATATTAATGTACTATAGATAATACTGAAAGGAACTTCTTTATACTTACAACTTTGAATACTTACTGTTTCAGCCTCAGTTTTCTGATCTGTAAAATGGAGATATATCTGACCCCTCCTATAGAATTGTTATAAAGATTAATGACACTGTGGGAGGCTGAAGCAGGAGGACTGCTTGAGGCCAGGAGTTTGAGACTAGCCTGGGCAACATAGTGAGACCCTGTCTCTACAAAACTGAAAAATTAGCAAGGCATGATAGTGCACATCTGTAGTCCCAGCTACTCAGGTGGTTGAGGCGGGAGGATGGCTGGAGCCCAGAAGTTCAAGGCTACAGTGAGCTATGATTGTGCCACTTCACTCCCGCCTGGGTGACAAAATGAGCCTCTATCTCTAAAAAAAGAAATAAGATGAATGAAATAATGCGTATGAAGCCCTTAGCGGTTTTAGGAATATAACGAGCCCTTAATAAACTGGTTTTGTCATCACTATTATTATAAACTTCATTAGGGCACAGACCATGTCAGCATGGTCCCTCAGGGCCTGGCACATTATAAGTGCTCAACATTAAAACAGCTGACACCCGCTGAATGCTTTCTATGGGCCAGGCCCTGGGTTCAACTGGAACTTATGAAATATTACAGGTACTGCTATTATCCCCATATTACAGATGAGGAAATTGAGGCACATAGAAGTGAGGTAACTTGCTTAAGAACAGAGCTAAAGTTTGATTTCACAGCAATCTGACTCCAAAGCCCATGCTCTTAAAACTATACCATGCTGCCTCAGTAAATATATCCCCAGTAAATACAGAAATCAATATGATAGATTTCTAGAAATGCAATTTCTGGGTCTCAGGACATACATATTTTAAGGCTTTTAAAACATATATGTAAGGTAAGTTATTATAATGTTAAGTTTTTGAAAAGCAGTAAATAAAATTTTATATGCAATGTTATCATAACTATGAAAAACAATGCACAGAAGAAAAATGGAAGGAAACTCATCAAAATGTTAAGAGTTACCATTTCTGAAGGACAATTCATAGGTGACTTTTTTCCTTCTATTTTTTTTAAATTTTCTATAGTGAGTTGTTACTTTATAAGAACAAATTAAATAACCATAGCTTTGCTTTTGGTGTTATATGTGTTGTTCTACCTCACAGTTGGTTCTGTTCTTGAAAGCAAACCTAAGAAAAAGAATTTTCATGATTAAATGGCACTCTTTATCCTCTATCAATCTTAGAAAGGAAATTAGGGTCACAGGTAATCTGCCTTCCTAAAACGAGCGTGGTAACTTGTTTGATCTAACTCCTGGCGCTAATAAGGAGTATTGTAGATTTACCTGTCTGATATTTCCTGACTGAGGACAAGAGAACTGTTGTGCTCTTGCATCCATTTGCAAAGTGCTTTTTATTGACTCAGGGTTTTGCAAAGACTTTATCAAATTGTTTCACAAACAATCCTGTGAGGTTGTAGTGAGTTCCACTGAACCTTGGATACACATACACACCTACATGAAAGCAAATGTAGCCGGATAATAATTTGACATATCAACCTCTGTACTTTTTGCCCAGTACTTCCTGATACTCCAGAGCTTTCCTCAGTTTTAGCAGCAGCTAGGGTGTTCTCTGCTTACTCCCTCAGAGAAAGAACAATATAACAGACCTTGAAGAACACAGGTATCAATTCTTGACTTTCAAAAGCCTAGGCTTAGAGGAGGCCCAGATGACAGAAAATGAAGAATAGCAAAGTTTCACCACTTCTCCCCCATCTAGTTCCTCAGCCTGTGAAGGAGAGAGGGTAAAGCTCAAGAGAAGAAGAAGAGCTTAGATGTTAACACAGAGATTTGTTAAAAAAGTGGTCCTGTACTCCCAAATCTCAGAGAAGTTTCAGGGATCTGACATCACAGAAAACCTATGCCTCACTTGGGTATAAACAGGGTGAGCAGGAGAAAACAATAGTTCCCTAAGCCTTACACGGTATGGAAAGAGTGAGAATATCTCCCATGAATGCAGAAGTAATGAGGACATGGAAAGAAATGACTAGTCATCAAGTTCACTCTTCTGCCAATTCCAACCTGCTGTAAATTTTAATTCTGGAATTTCCGTTGGGTTCTTTTTAGAGTTTCCATTTCTCTACTGAGATTCCCTACTTGTCCATTGACAATTTCTCTAATTCTTTGAACATATTTATTAAATTCAAAATCTGGGCTATCTGGAAGTCGGTTTCTATTGACTACTTTTTTTTTTTTTTTTGACATTTTGGTGGACTAGTTACCACCTTTAGGAAAAAGGAACTTCCTGGCAATGCTAGTGTCAGAACTGGATTAAGCAATGACATTCGGGGATGACAATAATCTAATGTCGAAGTAGTTGCTTGAGGTGAAGGAAGGTATTATTTTGATAGAAACGACACATCATATGTAATGGTTTCCAATCTTCAAGTAAGCATGACAGTTGTAAAACCCTTGTGAAAAGCATAAGAATAGTATCTCCAATCCTCTTGATTGGCTTCAAACAGCTGGCATGACCTGCCCACTCATTAAAGAGTAGAACTGGAAGAGAATTTAAATCATTAACATCTAAGTCCCCGCCTTCTACTAAGTAGGAAGACTATGTCCTCCAATGATGATAATGTTTTTTCTAATCAAAAATCAGCTTCCTTGCATTCTAATATAAAGGTAATACATACTTACAGAAAAATCAACCAAAACAGACAGGTATAAAGAAGAAAGTACTACTTAATTACTATTAATATTTTGTTGAACATCCTTATAGATGCTGTTCTATGCAAATCCTTATGCATATAAATATTGCACTCATACTGTCACCAACAACGGACCCATTTCTCTATGTCTGATTATACTGGGTGTGCGTAATCTTTCCAAACTTTACCAATCTTTACCATCAGACAAAAAGTAAGACTCAAATTTTTCTGAGTGATTTGGTTCTAGTGCTGAGGATGAGCATCTTGCCATGTACTTCTTTCTGGCTTTTAATGGACAGTATGTGCAATATATAGTGGCCTGGAGAATAAATAAGATGGTTTGCTACCATACTCCCAGATATATTGCACTAACTCTGTGTGTCCTTGAGTAAGCCACTTAACCTTTCAATGCCTCCATTTCTTCACATGCAAATGAAGGATTTGGAATAGGCGTTCTTGAGCTTCTTCTCTAGCTATCAGTAGGGGAGTGATGGGGAATGCACCATGCAGATCTGCAGTAGGCATCTTTGGGTGACTAACTCAATAGCCATTCCCAGCCCCTCTCCCTTCCCTGCTTCTATTCTAGAAGAGGCTGGAAAAACCCAACATCCCCTCTGTAGGCCTTTTTTGGAGTTAAGGGATGACAATATGACCAAATTCTGGCTAAAAAGACAGAGGGAAGTCTATCTGGATGCTTCTAGAAAGCCTTTTGCTTTCCTGATGGAAGAAACAGGCACAAGAGAGAGCAAGCTCACCAGCACTGTCTCTCCTTTGCCCCTGGCTTCCATGTAGACTTGATGCCTAGACCCGTGGGACAGTAGTTGGCTTCGTATTGTGTTGGTCCAGCTAAGCAGCATCTGTTACGCAGAATCCTCCCATAGTTCCAGGTTAGCATTGGCCACAAGGGAAATATTGCATGAGATCTGGGAGGCAGCAACCAAGCAGCAGCCATGGTTTTTATGCTGTGAAGGACAACACAAGGCGTGAGGAACATTGGCAGTTCTCACGCATTGTCGCTGACCTGCTGCCTCACCTTGCTGGCATGGGGCAGCAAGACTCACAGTTCCTCCTGCTCCCACCAGATCTCCTCCTATGGCTTCTTCAAGTCCTAAGCCAAGTGCATCTGTAGCTCGGTAAAGGGTGCCAGCATGTTTTGCAGGACACCTGTATTATTGAGGCTGGAGACAGTGAGAGACACAGGCAGATCCGGTCTGTCCTAAAGGACTTCAGTCATTCATGAATTTCAGTTTGTTCTCACAGATTCCAGTCTGTTCTTGCTATCATCCACATCCAACTTTCTGCCCTGACTGAAATCCTGACTGACCTATAGTGACTTCAGACTCAACACTAGAACCGAAGACAACAAACAGCCATGCCAGGACTCCTCCACCAGGTCTCACATCCTGCAAGGTCTAGGGCAGCACTGTCCAGTAGAACTTTCTGTGATGATGGAAGTGTTTTATTGGGCACCTGAGCTGCCCAATATGATACCCACAAGTCACACGTGGCTATTGAGCATTTGAAATGTGCCCAGTGCTGTAGAGGAGCTAAGTTGTTACTCTTATTTAATGTTAATTAATTTAAATTTAAATAGCCAGATGTGGCTAATGGCTACAATATTGGTCAAGGGAGGCCTAGTGCCTAATAATAAATTCCATGTTTTCTTAATCACTCGTAGTGGCTCTGTTTCTCTGGTTGAATCCTGACTGATACAGGCAGCAGCTGCTAGCTACATGGGGAGAGCATGGAGACACAAAGCCAGCATTACTAGGAATCACAGGGCTAGAGGAAGAAGCAGCCTGGCTCCTGGAAGTTCAACCAGCCTACAACCTTTGAACTTCTTAGTAAGAAAAAAAATAGACCCCCAGTGGGCAGTGAACTATCACTGTGTACTTCCAATAAACCCTGTCTCTTTTCTTGGTGGCTTCTGCTTCCTGCCGTGAAGTGTAGACCTTGTCTCAAATACCACAGGACACAGATGGTGTTCTTAGGACTCAATTTGAAAAAAAAATGTATTTATGCATGCATAGGAATCATAAAATATAAATTTAAACTCGTCTTTTGAACGAGGAAAGTAACATCAATAAAACTATGAACAAGAATTAATGTTAGCTTTTTGCCCAAGCAATTCTCCTTTCCTTCATGTTTATCTTTGCTTTCTCTTGAAGAATGACCTAAAGGAAGTAACCCACCTTCCACAGTCCTTTGAATTCATGGATACATAAATGAACACTATGAACTTTAGACTTTAAGAAGTGTATATTAGTCAGGGTTTGCCAGAGAAACAGCCAGTAGGATGGATATACATAAAGATATTTATTATAAAGTATCAACTCATGCAATTGTGGAGGCTGAGAAGTCCCACAATCTGTCATGTACAAGCTGGAGACCCAGTAAAGCTGGTGACAAAGTTTGAAAGTCTGGGAGCTGAAGAGCCAGTGGTGTAGATTCCAGTCCTGGTCTGAAGGCCTGAAAACCATAAGTGTCAGCGGCAGGAGATCAATGTCCCCACTCATGCAGTGAGGCAGAGAGTGAATTTCACCTTCCCCTACTTTTTTAGTCTATTCAAGCCCTAATGGATTGCATGAAGCCCACCAACACTGAGAAGGGCATGTGCTTTACTCAGTCCATCAACTCAAACACTAATCTCCTCCAGAAACACTTTCACAGACATACCCCGCCATCATGTTTAACCAGCTACCTGGGCATCCCATGGCCTAGTCAAGTCGACACATAAAATTAACCATCACATAGTGTTCCCCACATACAATGGCCCCACAAACAGGAACTAAACAATTAGCAAAGCTCTATGGCTCAATTCTAGAATTGAGGGTGTTAATCTGTTTTCTGTTAAGGAACTCTAGGCTCTATGTAAACTGAAACTGTATCAAAATGCTGACACTAAAATTAGAAATGGGAAGAAGTAGCTTTTAAACCACAAAATTAACTGGGGGTAACTGACAAGCAAGATTAGACTTGCACTTAAAGGAACAAACGTGATGGTCCAGTTGCTACGTAGCGACAGCAAACTTATCAACTCTCCTACTCAGCAATCTAGCAACAGGGAACACAGCAAACTGCTAAACCAAACACACACACACACACACACACACACACACACACACATATGTATGTATTCTGTCCAAATGCTGGAAGCAATTAAAAGGAGTAATTTGAACAAGCAATGCTGAGCAGCACAGTAATTAATAGGATACTGGCCTCCCAAGATTTATAGGGCCCACTCTAGTCTTCCTCTTGTCACATACCTTACCACAGGTGAGACACCCTCAGGGCACTATTCACCCAGACCCCATTACCCCTCCATTCTAGACCACCTTCCAGGTACCTGAGATCATGAAATTTCCTGCTCAAATGTTGGTCCCATAACTCGCTTCCAGGGCTTGATCAGGCATCTTCCCTAGGTCCATCCAATCAAGGGTCATTTGCATGTTTGAGATGCATATTCCCAGGACCAAGGTGGCTTTGGGGAGAGAGCTTGGTTATCAACAACTATAGTGTCCACATATTGAACTATACTGTCCACATATTGAACTATACTCTCCACATATTTCTGTGCAAGACTCCTTGTGGTGCAAGACTGAGTCAGGGGTTAGGAAGACAAGGGGGCAGGGGCCTGGGGGAGGATCTTCAACTGCACTCTTGCTCTCGTATTCACAAAAACCAGGGGCCGGCCTGCCACCAGGTACCCATCCAAAGAAAAGCTAGAGACAAATATATAGGAAAGGTTAAATAGTAGGTTTTTGTTGTGAGGGGCCTTATGAAAATTAAAAAGGTATAAAAATATTCGGAAAATAAGCACTGTGCAAATTCAGTGAATCTAAAATCCCTTATTTAATAGTAAAACTGCAGTGCAGAATTATGCTATAAATCATAGTGTTTTCCTATTAAGAAATACTTCTGATTTAAGTTTGATGTTTCCCCATTGCTTGGGGTGAGATGGGGGAATGTTGGAGTAGGGGAATAGTCAGAGATGGATGGCAAAGATTGGTAATAAGTTGTTACTGACCTGCAGAGTTTACAGCTTGAAAGAAAAACTGTAGGAGTTAAGATCCTCTTTCCTAGGAATCCATGCCATGAGAAGTTTAGGGATTGAAGTAGTGCCTGCTGACATGTGAAAACCGGCCTGTAAACTTTGCAAGCGATCCAGTAAATTATGCTTGTTCTAGTGGGAACCACCCCCCCCAACTCCGCATTCCAATCCCCAGGCCAGAATCATCAAAGTTGGCAAAAAATATTCATGGAGAGTAAGCAGGCTGTAGCAAGATAGGCTCTTCAGCAGGCAATCTTTGCTTCCTCCCACGTTATGACTGTCTTTCTTGCCAGTTCCCTAGGCAGATCAGACCCTTCACTTCCCAGTTGGCCTCCCTTCCCCAAGTGAATGTGACTTCTTACAGAACACAATTACCTATGTTGTCTGCCAAACTGGATTTTGTTTTGTTTTGTTTTGTGTTAAATATCAGCCCATTTTCACGACTCTGCAATTATGACAATATGTGGTAGGAAACCATTACTGTCAGCTCCAGTCTGAAACTGGCCACTTACCAATACACTTTGCCAGGAACAAGTCTTTCTGGATGGATACTACGTGGTTAACAACATGTAAAGATAAACGGCTAAACAAAATATCAACATTTTCTTACAAGGCTCAGCTTAAGGACAGAACAGTGATGTGCAATGGTTTTCATGTTGTATCCACAAACACAATTCTGTATAAGACACACTCCTCTTTTTTTAATGGTTGCTTAAACAAGTGGTTATCCGTTATGCTGTTGACATAGGAAACGGTGAAATGCTAGTAACCGAATCAAAGCGGCAGTGCAACAGGCCGCTCGGTGGTGCGCATTGTGTGGTTTGGTTCCTTGGATGGACACACTTGCTTTACGCTTCATCCCAATTTTTGTCCCAACCTCTTAGTGTATCTTCCTGGGAATAGTAAAAACAAAGCAAAACATTCTGGTCTTACTTCAAGCTGCCTTTGCACTGTTATTCCCTTGTTCCGCTCATTTCACGGGATTGGGTTCTCCTAACTTCATTGTTTGGTGAGTTGCTTTGCTTTGCTCGTTGCCCCGATCTTCTGTGTATTCTGCGCAGACCCCGCAAGTGCTCCTGCACTCCCTCCCAGCCCTCTGCTGGGGCTTAACGCTTCCCAGCCGAGGTCAGACTGCCGTGCGCTTCGAGTACCGGACCCCGAGGAAGCGAGAAACGCCGCTCCCGCCGGTCGCGGGCAGCTTCAGTACACCGGCAACACGCGCGCCTCTGCCCAGTGCCGCGCCCAGCGGGTGCTCAGACTCCTTCTCTCCCTCCCCGCCGGCGCGCCCCAGGGACTCGGAACGCCCCCGCGAGTGTGACGCGTCCTGCCTCCCCTGCAGCTCGCGGACACTCGCACTTGCAAGGCCTGGCCAGCACTCTTGGGCCCGCCCCCCGACAGTGCGGGGGCGGAGACGACGGCTCCCCTAGGCTCTGGCTCCCGGCCTTGGCCGGCGCGGGTAGGCGCGGGAGCCTCGAGCGCCGCTCGGATGCAGCAGCCGAGCCGCCACTCGGCGCGCGGCGGGAGACCCAGGGCAAGCCGCCGTCGGCGCGCTGGGTGCGGGAAGGGGGCTCTGGATTTCGGTCCCTCCCCTTTTTCCTCTGAGTCTCGGAACGCTCCGGCTCTCAGACCCTCTTCCTCCCAGGTAAAGGCCGGGAGAGGAGGGCGCATCTCTTTTCCAGGCACCCCACCATGGGCAATGCCTCCAATGACTCCCAGTCTGAGGACTGCGAGACGCGACAGTGGCTTCCCCCAGGCGAAAGCCCAGCCATCAGCTCCGTCATGTTCTCGGCCGGGGTGCTGGGGAACCTCATAGCACTGGCGCTGCTGGCGCGCCGCTGGCGGGGGGACGTGGGGTGCAGCGCCGGCCGCAGGAGCTCCCTCTCCTTGTTCCACGTGCTGGTGACCGAGCTGGTGTTCACCGACCTGCTCGGGACCTGCCTCATCAGCCCAGTGGTACTGGCTTCGTACGCGCGGAACCAGACCCTGGTGGCACTGGCGCCCGAGAGCCGCGCGTGCACCTACTTCGCTTTCGCCATGACCTTCTTCAGCCTGGCCACGATGCTCATGCTCTTCGCCATGGCCCTGGAGCGCTACCTCTCGATCGGGCACCCCTACTTCTACCAGCGCCGCGTCTCGCGCTCCGGGGGCCTGGCCGTGCTGCCTGTCATCTATGCAGTCTCCCTGCTCTTCTGCTCGCTGCCGCTGCTGGACTATGGGCAGTACGTCCAGTACTGCCCCGGGACCTGGTGCTTCATCCGGCACGGGCGGACCGCTTACCTGCAGCTGTACGCCACCCTGCTGCTGCTTCTCATTGTCTCGGTGCTCGCCTGCAACTTCAGTGTCATTCTCAACCTCATCCGCATGCACCGCCGAAGCCGGAGAAGCCGCTGCGGACCTTCCCTGGGCAGTGGCCGGGGCGGCCCCGGGGCCCGCAGGAGAGGGGAAAGGGTGTCCATGGCGGAGGAGACGGACCACCTCATTCTCCTGGCTATCATGACCATCACCTTCGCCGTCTGCTCCTTGCCTTTCACGGTAAGTCACTCCCTACGTTTCCACAGCCCGGCTCTGCTCAGCCTTCTCATGCTCTCCCCTGACGCCTCCACCCTTTCCACCGCCCTACAAACTTTTTGCAACTTGTAAAAATATGTCCTAATTTGTAAAGATCTGTAGCCTTCCCCACTAGTTTCCCCTCCTCTTTAGCCCACTTCCTTATCCTGGCTTATGGGCGTTGCTAGGCTAGAGTTTCTTATACAATAATACAGACCGTCCGAAAGGGAGTCCTGGGCCTCAGCTAAGCTAGCCAATCTCCTCATCCTAGCCCTGGGCAGTGTCCCTTTCTCGCTGTTGCCTATCTTGGCTTAGTAATTGAGAAAGAGGCAGCCCCTTCCACCTTAGGATGGCTGTCACTGTTCCAGCCTGACGACCTGGAGCTGCAGTTTGCTGCCCTGTACCTCTCATCCACTGGTGCTGGTTCTCCATGCTTGCCTTCTGTTCCTGCCAGGGCAAAATGTAGTACCCAACCCATAGCATTCCAGCTGCCATTGAAAATGGTCCCAGATGAGAAGGGTCCCTGAAGCAGAAGTTTAGAGCATTTGTTATTTGTCCTAAAAGTCCAACAAACATCTAGTTTATAGGTTTCCCAATTTATATATTTGAATGTAACTCTTTGTGGCCATGAAAGTTTATAAAACCATAATGATAACTAGAGGAAATACTTGGAGGAACATCTTGCTAAGCATTTGTAATATCTTGCAAAACACGCTCTTAATGTCACTGTCAGAAATACACACAGGTGTCCTTCAGCTTACAGTTATGCACTTGATGAGCACAAAGCCACAGGCAGGAATGGCTGGTCCCTCTCAGGAAGGGAAGAGTGGGGCTACCTGGGGAACTGAAGGACAAGAGACCAAGTCCTGGCATCGTGCTGCCTTGATTTGGGGCAACTTTAGCAGTTATTTGATGCTAACTAACTGCTAAATGATATGAGGCTGTGAGTTCAAGTCTCCTCAAGTGTAACGTTTTAGCTGAGCCTGGAATATGTCCGAGAATGTGCTGGCCTCTTACGGGGGCTAGGAATTGGGAGTTGTGGCAACTCCACTTCCTAATCTTCAGAAGAGCAAGACTGATGCTGCAGCATCAAAGCAGTTAATAGTGACTTCCACCTGCCACAATCTTGGAGAAAAGAGATGGGCAGTGCCTACTATTAACAGGTCTGACCTGTAAAAGCTGGAGGAGAAGTAACTTTATCCTATCTCCTGCCTCCATTACTGCTTCTTACATCTTCATGTGCTCATCCTCAGGGATGGGAAGGGACACAGGGTCCCAAAGGTCTGAATATGATTCTCTCCTCCCCAGCCCAGTTAACTCCCTTAGCTACGTTCTCTTCTCCCTGGTCCCCACTGTCCTCACCCTTCTACCCCATCCTCTGTCAGGGCAGAAACTGTTCTGAATTGGTTACACTTTGAGGGAATGAGATAGAATATTCAAAGACGCCCTCTTATAAAATGAAGTCGGACTGTGGGAGGCTGCATCTCCCATACCACTCTGAGCAGGGGAGTTTATGCAACAGAAACGCTGTGATGTAGAAACCCACATGGCTTATATGCTTTTGATTTATTTTACTGGTAGGAGCTTTTGATTATGTTAGGAGCTAAATCAGCTTTTGAAGGTCAGCACTAGGATGCAGAACATATATCTATGAAAGAAAGCATTTCAAGTTCCACCAAACAGCTTTGCATTCAGCTTGGGGATCAGAAACTATTCCTGAAAGACTGTCTTAGGGTGTTGGGAATTAAGATAATCAGTTCTTAGGGTTTTATCTGTCATTTGTGAGTATATTTATAAAAATATCCCCCACTATCAGCTACTTAAATAGCCTGGGAATGGGTTTGGGGTGATAACACACTTGTGAAACGATTTTTAGTCTCTTTCCTACACGAGCAAGAGGAAAAAGTTCTCCTCTTTGATCATGACTGACCCATTGCATAAACTGTATTTTTTTTAAATAAAGGTAGTGGTTTCCAACAGGTTGCCCTGTTTTCATGTAAATTGGCCTTTTACCATGAGAATTCCATCGTTGCCTTATGTTTTTGTAAATTCAAATATATGTGTGTGGATATAGATATAGATATTGTTTTCCCTCCCTCAGTTAATATTAGGCCAAGGGCTGCTCCAGAGTTGCCAGATAGAAGGGGCTTAGCCACAGAAATCTGGCTAAAAGGTGTTGAGGGAGTAGGAGCTTTGCTTTGAAGCTGTGTTTTTATTTCAATTTCCTGTTTATGGCTTAGGGGGAGCCAGATGGAGACTATGAAGGGGCTTTAGCTCCCCCAAACCACCTCTAAGCATTGACACTATCAGCAAACTGCTTTTGCTTCTGGCAAAGATTCCCAAAGAGCCGGAGAAAATCCTAGTGTGAACATAATCAGAAAGCCAGCCTCCCTGACTTCCATTGTTGGAGCTACCATGACACCATATTCAGATGAACTATACACAAAATGGAAATTGGAAGCATTGTCACCTCTTAGTAAGAAAATTTATATTGACCACTGATGGATTTTATTTTGTCAATAGATTATTGGGAATAATTGCTAGTATCTTTCACTTACATAGCACTTTAAGCTTTATGAAATGCTGTACTATCTTGATTTAAGTTATTTCTTGAAGGGCTTATCTGAAAATTCAAGCTCATGGCTACTGTTTGGTTCATACATTCTGCTGTTCAGAATCCTTGGCATGTGCCTCCAGGGGAGGTTGCTTTTTCCTCCAAGTCCTTTTATTCTACTTGGCCCACACTAAAATTGTGGTCAGAAGTGGCCTATACCAATCTCCCACCTGAAGCAGGAATCATTTCCACATGTCCTAACAGGGGGCTCTAGAAGCAAAGGTTTATGGTTGCCTTCAGAAATGTTTCTGTTTCTCTAACGGAGTGCACATGATCTGATAGAAATACAGTGTGAACCACAAATGCAAGCCACAAACGGAATTTTAAATGTTCTAGTAGTCATATAACAAAAAGTAAAAAGAAACAGAGAAAATTAATTGAATTACATATTTTATTTAACCCAATATATCTAAAATATTATCAATTCAAAATATTAGTTATGTAAAATAATTATTAATAAGCTATTCCAAGTAAGTTTCTTCCTTGTATCCCAGAAAATAGTAGCAATCTACTCTATCTCTTCCCACTCCTTCCTCAGGATAACAAGCTGCTTTCTTTGTCCCTCAAAAGTGGACCAAACCACTGGCAACAAGGAGGACAGCTGTACCCAGTGGGACACCAGTCTATTCCACAGCACTCCAGTAGTGGACAGAGGAGGGAAATGGGGGAATTCAGAAACCTAGAACTACTAATGTCAGGCATTGTCCCAAGGTTTGGGCAGGTTGGAATTACTGCTTCCTCCAAAGATGCCAGTCTAGGGCTTCCAAAATTTTGGAAGTAAAACTGTAGTTTTTTTTAAAGGCCCAGTCCCTTCAAGTGAAGTCCAATTCAACCTCATATGTCATTATTATCGACCACAAAATCAGACTTTTGAATGCTAACTTTTGCATTAACCCATTATCTTCACAGCACCGTAGGAAATAGTATGATGATTTCTATCGTACAGACGAGGCAAATGACTCACCCTGTGTCCCACAGCTAATGGGTGGTGGAACTGGGACTCAAAGCTAGGCAATTTAAGCACTGAGCCAATTAACCTAACCACAACACTATCCAAGAGAAAGTACTCATTTCAGGGGTAACAGATGAGAAGATTAATCTAAGATTTCATAAAAGAGCTGTGAGAATGTTATAAATATCTGGACCACTTTGCCTCTTAATTCCAACTAGTTAGCTTTAAAAATAAAATGGCAAAGACCTTTTTCTTCATGTCAGCTCAAGGGAGCTGAGCCAGGGCCAACTATGTGGTTCCCTTTCTTTTCTCCACAGACCTATGAAATAAAAGGCTGAGACTCAGATTCTAGGAGATTGGCTAATGTAAATGCTGGTCTAAATTAAGAAATAATCAGATTATCCCTCACATAAAATCTTTCATCAGAACAAATAAAACATCTCTTAAGTGACCAAAAACCATGTGGTGTTTGGGAAATGACATTATTTTGGCTGCCCAGTATGAAATTCTGCATGGAACCAACAACATATTCCAAACTGTTTATTCACTAAAGGGATATTGTATAAATTAATAAATTCCTCCTTATGTTAATCAGCTTTGCCATCGTTTTACAGAGATAAATAGAAACTTTCTTCCTGAAATGGAACAGAACACAGGAAATATATGAGACCTCTATTCTTGCCTCAGATACTGTTTGTGTCTTCATATCCAACTCATATCAAGCCCCTTTCTCGCCACTTTTCTAATTGTGGATAGCTTCTGGCCATTTTAAACTGTTTTCCACATGCCATGAGGATAAAGTGCTTATGTATTTTTATTCAGTTCTAAAATTTCAAGAGTAAACCATTGACTCATACTAAAAAGTTCTCCATCTTTAGAAATTCTTTAGGGTTATAACTTCTAGGTAAATCTGATTAGTGGAAATCTGATCTTGGCAATACAAAACAAACTCCAGTAAACAGTACTAGAGTTTCCTTTTCATTCCTGGTACTCATTATGTAAAATATAACATGAATGGGGGTTGAAAAGCTGATATGACATTGGTAGATTATATACATGCCAAATATAACAATTCTGGTAGGAATGAAAAAGAACTCCAGACATCTCTACGTATAACCACAATGAACTTTGCCTGGTGATAGTTTAAGTTAATGTCCATAAACAACTGGAAGGCCCTTTATCATTTAAGCATCATTAACCATGTGTTTGGGGATCGATGAGACAGTTTTAATACACATGATGTTTTAAGAGAAAGTTCCTCTATATGAGTGTTTTCACTTGACGTCTTTTCTCCTTTGCCATTTGATATTATGAATGCTGATTTGAATAAAGACACAATTACACTGGTTTTAAAAATGTAAACAGAAAGAACCTTAGTTCTTTTCCCAAAAGAGAATTTGTGCATTATGTCCACACCTTTGGTCAAGTGGGTCCTCACTGCTATCTCAGATGGTTTAGACCAGGTCCTCAGCTTAAAGAGAAACACCTTCTGGAGATGGTATATTTCTTCTTTGGCATATCAAAAACCAATCACAGTATTAAGTTTAAAAAAAGAATAGAAATGGTGAGACCGTGTTTCAGGAAGGCAATGAACAGGTCTCTTTCCAGCTAGAGGCTTAAGACCCAGTTCATCTGCAACTCAGTCTGCTCAGTTGGCTTCTCCTGTCCTGTTTTGAAATTTCTGACCCTCTACTCCCTGTCCTTATCTTGAGCTCAAGTCCATTGTACCTCAGTTTATATTATCAAGGTGTACCAAGCTCCATTTTTCTGAGAATATTTTGCTGCCTAAAACTGCCCCTAACAGAAAACTAAACCTAAGAACCTTGCAGCTGGGACATACATGTGATGGAAAGGGCCAGGGATCGGATAAGCACATTTAGAAAGGCTGAAAGTTCCTCTAGAGCAGGGTCCATAACCTGTGCTGCATGGAAAGTGCCTGGATTTTCTGCCTGAATTCATTTGCAAAAACGTTTATATGAGTTTATGTTTATATGTTTGTATGAGTTGTGGGTAGATGGTTCATAGTGTCCATCAGTTTGTCAAAGAGTTAAGAGCCACCATCTTGGAATAAATAGGCCCAGAGGTCTAAACCTTAGCATTTGCTCTTTTTTTGTTTCCAGTTCTGAGAAGCACAAGACAAAGGACACTAGTCCTGGAGCCACATGGATCCAGTTTTTCCTATTGCAGGAAAATAGGCTTCTGTTTCCCTCTACCACAAAGCACCTGTGATTCAGGCAAAGGGACTTCTTTAAAGCATCATATACCTGAAAAATAATCTCCCCCCAAAATGTTTTTTTTTAAAGAATGAATTAGGCAAAGTCTATAGTCAGGACACCTTAGTGTCTTTCAGAAGGCAGGTAAACATATAACAATCTATGCTTGCAATTTAGCTGTGGAAAAGTGTGGAGGAAAAACAAGTCCCAGAGAAAGCTAAGTAGCTACTTAGAAATAGCCATGGTTTTTCAGTCCATAAACAGGAACCATGATATCCATAAACTTTTGAAGAGAAATCTTTGAAGAGAAATCTCCTCCAAACCCATAATGTGGTCAGACATTTGTGAATTTCATGCTAAGCTTTACATTACAGGCTTTTTATATAGATGGCAGCAGAGTGTCTAGTGGCTAAAAGCCAAGTTTGGTGTCCCATGGATTCAGTTTGACTCCACATTTTCTCTACTTACCCAGACTGTAATTCTATGCAAAGTAACTGATCTTCTAAACCTTCATTTCCTTCTAACATAGGAATAATAATACTTCGTAGGTTTATGTAAATATTAAACAAAATATGCCTTATAAATTGCTTGGCACCATGCCTAACACACAGTAGGTGTTTAATAAATGTTAGCTGCTATCTCTAGGGGATTCCATTTCAAGGGAAAATCAGATTGTATATTAATGGTCAGGAAATGAATTCTGAAAGCTCAAAGTCATTTGTTTGATTGACCTAAGTGGGCCTTTTGTTTTTAAGTGTGATAAATGAATAATTTTAAACTATTCCAGGTTTTAGATAAGGTTCTAAAGGGATGTCTCACACCCTGGCTGCATATTAAAATTACTTGGAGCACTTTGCAAACCTTGATGCCCATGGCTCAGCCTAGACTAATTAAGTTGGAGTCTCTGGGTATCGGGGGAACTCACCCCCAATATTTCAACTTAGGTTCTTTCTATTTTCCATAAGTGTTGGCCGGCTGAGAAAGAGAAAGAGTACGAAGAGAGGAATTATACAGCTGGGCCGCTGGGGGTGACATCACATATCTGTAGGACCATGATGCCCACCTGAGCTGCAAAATCAGCACGTTTTTATTAAGGATTTCAAAAGGGGAGGGGGTGTAAGCAGGGAGTAGGTCACAAAGATCACATGCTTCAAAGGGGAAAAAGGAGAACAAAGATCACATGCTTCTGAGGAAACAGGACAAGGGCAAAATCAGAAACTCCTGATAAGAGTCCAACAAAGATCACAAGGCAAAGGGCAAAAGCAAAGATCACAAGGCAAAGGGCAAAAGCAGAATTACTGATAAGGGTCTATGTTCAGTGGTGCACGTATTGTCTTGATAAACATCTTAAACAACAGAAAACAGGGTTCGAGAGCAGAGAACCAGTCTGACCTCAAATTAACCAGGGTGGGTTTTTTTCCCCACCCTAGTAAGCCTGAGGGTACTGCAGGAGACCAGGGCGTATTTCAGTCCTTATCTCAACCGCATAAGACAGACACTCCCAGAGCGGCCGTTTATAGACCTCCCCCCAGGAATGCATTCCTTCTCCAGGGTATTAATTATTAATATTCTTTGCTAGGAAAAGAATTTAACAATATCTTCCCTACATGCATGTCAGTTTATAGGCTCTCTGCAAGAAGAAAAATACGGCTCTATTTTGCCCGACCCCACAGCCAGTCAGACCTTGTGGTTTTCTTCCCTTGTTCCCTGAAAATCGCTGTTATTCTGTTCTTTTTCAAGGTGCACTGATTTCATATTGTTCAAACACATATGTTTTACAATCAATTTGTACAGTTAACACAAATATCATAGTGGTCCTGAGGTGACGTACATCCTCAGCTTACGAAGATAACAGGATTAAGAGATTAAAGTAAGACAGGCGTAAGAAATTATAAGAGTATTATTTGGGAACGGATAAATGTCCATGAAATCTTCACAATTTATATTCCTCTGCCGCGGCTCCAACCAGTCCTTCCATTTGGGGTCCCTGACTTCCTGCAACATCTGGGGAAGGGAGAAATGCCTCAGAATATTTTTATGCATGTATGTATGTATGTATGTGTGTATGTATGTATGTATTTATTTTGAGACAGAGACTCACTCTGTCACCCAGGCTGAAATGCAGTGGTGTGATCTCAGCTTACTACAACCTCTGCCTCCTAGGTTCAAGCAATCCTTCCCCTCAGCCTTCCAAGTAGCTGGGATTACAGGTGCCCACCAACACGCCTGGGTAATTTTTGTATTTTTTAGTAGAGATGTAGTTTCACCATGTTGGCCAGGCTGGTCTCAAACTTCTCACCTCAGGTGACCTGCCTGCCTCGGCCTCCCAAAGTGCTAGGATTACAGGCGTGAGCCACCGCACCCAACCTATTTTTAAAGCTCCTCAGGTGATTTCAATGATCGGCCAAATAAAGCCCTCATTTGCTCTAAAATTCTGAACCCACTTTGTAATTGCATTAAAGATAGAAAAGTAGCGCAAAAGAATAGTACCTGGTCAGTGCCAAAATGAAGTTTTCTATGGGAGGCTGCTTCTATACATGACAATGCTAAAATAGCACTAATTCTCATCTGTGCCACTTTGTAAATGTCACAACAAGGCTTTACCTTCTTAACAAAGCCCTGTAGAGACAGCCTGCCCTGAGGAATTAAAATTCACTTGACTCATTGGGATTAGCACTTGGTATTTTTCTCATAACAAATACATTGGTAGTGCACACAAAAAGATGGATAACTTCTACCAACCTCTGAAACTGAATTGCCGAATATCACTGACATATTATTAATTAATTATCTTATATCCTTTGTGACATCCTTTAACTAAAAACTCAGGACTGGCCGGAGGGAGAGGAGAATGGGCAGTTATTGTTTAATGGGTACAGAGTTTCAATTTGGGATGATGAAAATAATTCTGGAGATGGTAGTGATGGTTGCTGTTCTTTGTTCTTTTACGTGGATGCAGTCAAGTGCATCCACAAGAAGAGACACAGGAGATGTTCAGGAAAACACAGACATGGTGGACCACTCAGGGCCACATGAAAAAGCATCGGTTTCAGTCAGGAGGCAGAGAGGCAGGAGGGTGGGGAGGACCTGGGCCAAGCCTTTATTGGAGTTTCCACAAGAAAGGCAGAGCAGGGTAAACAGTTTAGGATTGGTTAGGTTGAATAATTTCAGCAGGCTCTAAGCTATAGGGGTGGTCCCTAGTTGCCTGGTACCTGGCATTGGAATGATAAAAGCAGAGGAATAAATATTTCCTTGATAGAAGAGTTCTGGCCCTGGATAGGTTAGTCTGTATATCAAAGACATGCTCCCAGCCTAACTCTTTGCTATCTCTACAAATTAGCTAGCCCCGGAGGGGCATTCTCTCCCAGCCAAGAAGAATTTAAGATGTCAAAGCATAATATGCAGAAAAGTGAAAATATAAACAATATGATTGCCCCACAATGTAAATGTATTTAATGTATAGCTGAAAATGGCAAAATGGTAAATTTTATGTTATATTTATTTTACCACAATTTTTTAAAATCCCAGTATCCATAAGATCAAAAATATAGTAATCTAGGCAAAAGACAAGAACCAAAAGAAAAAAATGGGGAGGTAGAAGACAAAACTTACATCAAGAATTTCGAGGGTCACTGAAGTATGTCTCTTCTCCAAGTATAAAAGAAGGAACTGGCTGGGCGCAGTGGCTCACACCTGTAATCCCAGCACTTCGGGAGGCCAAGGCAGGCAGATCACTTGAGGTCAGGAGTTCAAGACCAGCCTGTCCAACATGGTGAAACCCCATCTCTACTAAAAATACAAAAATTAGCCAGGCGTGGTGGCGGGTGCCTGTAATCCCAGCTACTCAGGAGGCTGCAGCAGGAGAATCACTTGAACGCAGGAGGCAGAGGTTGCAGTGAGTGGAGATCACGCCACTGCACTCTATCCTGGGCGACAGAGTGAGACTCCATCTCAAAAAAAAAGCCGTCTTCTACAAAATATTGGTCACCTCCAAAGTGCAAATTTTAAGCAATTCTCAAAATTACCCAGCATAGTAGATGATAAAGGAAAGGAAACAGTACAGAATTGCTTCATCCTCTACAACCAATTTTCACTTCTCATTATTCTGTCACGCTCTAAAGACATTCAGGAACTCTGATGTGGGTTATTCTCCCCTGAAAACCTGACTCATCTTAATGTGTGAAGCTGCAACACCAGAGGCTATGCCTTTTCTGCACTTCTTGGCTGGCCAATTCAGTGTGAATATGTTCTCTGGTTAAACTAGATCATCAACTCAGCTGCAGGCCCTTTCTACAGGAGTGCTCAGTTATGCATCATGTGCACACGTGTGTGTGCATATGTAATCACTAATATGTGTTTTAATCTGTAGACCTATGTGCATCATTATCCTGAATTTCTTACCTCCAAATCACTCTTTTAACACACCAGCCTGTGTAGTTTTCATCCAAAATAGTTTAACTGACAAGAAAGCTATTGCTCCATTGCACCTCCTCACCTAGCTTTCCTCTACTCTCTGGGAAACCCACCATCAATTCTTCTTTTTCCTTACTCATCTGCCAAATCTTTTCTCCATTCCCTATGCCAAGATTCTCCGGCATAAACACCTATGGCTGCCAAACCTTCCTGCTCTTGTCCCAACATAAGCAAACTGAAGATGACTACCCTTTGCGCTCTCTGCAATTTGCTTTGTATATCCAGTTGCCAGATGCCTGCAGAGTAAGTACTCAGAGAAGGGAAACAAGCTGCTCCTTCTTCTGCAGAAGGCGAGTGAAGAAAAGAGGGGCTAGGTGTCTAAAGCCATTGGTAAGAAAGACCCTGGAGCCTTATAAAGCACTGGTTTTAAATGACTAGGTGTGATCTACCTTTGTTTTCCTCTTTTCTGTGAATTTTGTAGAAGTGTGATCTTTATCAAGATGCATTATTCCATTCCTTCCAACCTGCCCAAACATTTATGTTGCTCCCTAAATAACTAAGAAATCGTTTGAGGGCTGGTAGAGCAGTTTGGTCCATATGTAAAGATGTGTCAGCTTTCCAGTGTTCAGGACATTGTTCTGAGGCCTTTGCTCTAATACAGGCCTGCACGTAGCACACAGTGAGCACTGCACTGGCATCAGGAGAGTTGGAATTTGCATCCTGATTTGGCCACTAACCAGCTCTGGGTACTTGAGCAAATTATCTAATTTTCTATACCCCAGTGTCTGCATTTGTAAAATGGATATAATAACAATGAACACTGTGGAGCACTTAGGATGTGAGCACTGATCTAAGTAGCTTACACATATCACTTCCTATCATCCTTTCAGCAACTCTATGAAGTGGGTATGTTATTATTATCACCCATTTTAAAGATGTCAAAACTGAGGCACAAAGGTTCATTATTAATATCTTGCCATTGATCTCAAACTATATACAGAGGTAGGATTCAAACCCAGTCCAATGGCCAGAACTCATACTCCCACTCAGGGTGTTCCATTGCAGACCCTGTCTCGCTGAATTGTGATCATTAGATTTAGTATTTGGAAGTAAATGTAACATGTTATTAGTTTTCCTGAAGTTCACTTCCCTATCTGTTAAAAAGAGACAATCTCTAAGTTTCAGAGTTTCTATAAGGAGTAGAGATAAAGCGGGGTTAGTACCCAGAACAATTCATGACACATATATTAGGTTATTGATACACTGGAGCTACTAATATTATCATTATTATTTATATTGTTAAAAGATTCTATTCTAGATGACAAGAAAAGTTTATTTCTCTCCACTCCCAATGACACCAAGACATTGTGCATGGTGTTAATGTTAATTGCATTCCACAGAAAACATGCTTTCATTGAGTTCAAGGGGAAAAAATACATTCATTATGTTACAGTTTACATAAGGAAGAAAGGTAAGATTCCCAACCCCCACCTTTCGTTCCCCACCACTACCACAGACAAAACATGGTTTTGCTTTTAAATCTCAAGACATAACATAGGGTCTAAGCCTGTCTACTGCTACGATGTAAAACTAACATCATTTTTCCCCTTTGCTTCTTACAGATTTTTGCATATATGAATGAAACCTCTTCCCGAAAGGAAAAATGGGACCTCCAAGCTCTTAGGTTTTTATCAATTAATTCAATAATTGACCCTTGGGTCTTTGCCATCCTTAGGCCTCCTGTTCTGAGACTAATGCGTTCAGTCCTCTGTTGTCGGATTTCATTAAGAACACAAGATGCAACACAAACTTCCTGTTCTACACAGTCAGATGCCAGTAAACAGGCTGACCTTTGAGGTCAGTAGTTTAAAAGTTCTTAGTTATATAGCATCTGGAAGATCATTTTGAAATTGTTCCTTGGAGAAATGAAAACAGTGTGTAAACAAAATGAAGCTGCCCTAATAAAAAGGAGTATACAAACATTTAAGCTGTGGTCAAGGCTACAGATGTGCTGACAAGGCACTTCATGTAAAGTGTCAGAAGGAGCTACAAAACCTACCCTCAGTGAGCATGGTACTTGGCCTTTGGAGGAACAATCGGCTGCATTGAAGATCCAGCTGCCTATTGATTTAAGCTTTCCTGTTGAATGACAAAGTATGTGGTTTTGTAATTTGTTTGAAACCCCAAACAGTGACTGTACTTTCTATTTTAATCTTGCTACTACCGTTATACACATATAGTGTACAGCCAGACCAGATTAAACTTCATATGTAATCTCTAGGAAGTCAATATGTGGAAGCAACCAAGCCTGCTGTCTTGTGATCACTTAGCGAACCCTTTATTTGAACAATGAAGTTGAAAATCATAGGCACCTTTTACTGTGATGTTTGTGTATGTGGGAGTACTCTCATCACTACAGTATTACTCTTACAAGAGTGGACTCAGTGGGTTAACATCAGTTTTGTTTACTCATCCTCCAGGAACTGCAGGTCAAGTTGTCAGGTTATTTATTTTATAATGTCCATATGCTAATAGTGATCAAGAAGACTTTAGGAATGGTTCTCTCAACAAGAAATAATAGAAATGTCTCAAGGCAGTTAATTCTCATTAATACTCTTTATTTATCCTATTTCTGGGGGAGGATGTACGTGGCCATGTATGAAGCCAAATATTAGGCTTAAAAACTGAAAAATCTGGTTCATTCTTCAGATATACTGGAACCCTTTTAAAGTTGATATTGGGGCCATGAGTAAAATAGATTTTATAAGATGACTGTGTTGTACCAAAATTCATCTGTCTATATTTTATTTAGGGAACATGGTTTGACTCATCTTATATGGGAAACCATGTAGCAGTGAGTCATATCTTAATATATTTCTAAATGTTTGGCATGTAAATGTAAACTCAGCATCAAAATATTTCAGTGAATTTGCACTGTTTAATCATAGTTACTGTGTAAACTCATCTGAAATGTTACAAAAATAAACTATAAAACAAAAATTTGAAAATGGAGTAGTATTTTATGAACTCCCTCAAATAACATTTTGTGATTAATATAAACATAGTATCTTTTAAATGAGTTCAAAGTGGAAAAATTATATTTAATTTGGCAGATTCGTAAAGTGTGGTTGCCAGGTTTTAAAGTGAGGTTGCAAATTAGAGTTTAAAATATTCATTATAATACTTGGTATTAGAAGATATTTTTTTCCTCCAGTTTTTACCCTTCCAGTATGATCTTTAAAATAGTAGAATCATCTTATTTTTTTCATAGTGATATTATTGGATAGCCACTCCTTAAAAAAAAAAAAGAGATGCTTGTTTTCTCCAAAGTCTCATTGAGTTGTTTATCCAAAGCTATTTCCTTTAAGCAGTTATCAAACTAGCTGATCACTTAGAATGATTTCAAACCAATCTAGGCATCAGTGTATTTTGATACAAACAATCTACGTCAAATCAGCTCTTAAGAAGAATAAATAAGTGGTTTGCTTTTCTACAAATTTAAACAAGCCAGGCAAAATTTAACTTAACTAAAATCTAGACATGTAAATAAATCTTCCCTGTCCACCAGGCATTCTAAAGTTAAGAAATTATTCTAAATGGGACTAATTAGGCCCATGGGTAATTCCTAAACATAAAATTCTGAAGTTGCTTTGAACTAGAAGATTAATTACTTTTATCAGATGACTTGTTTTTCTCCAGATGAAAATGTCAACTACAATTTTTCACCCCACCTTACTGCCCCCCTAAAATCCCAGAATAATGCCTGAGAACTGAAAACAAAAACACAAAATTGGACATAATATCACTAGCAGGAACAAAATGATTTGCTCTGGAGCCCAAAGTATAAGAATTTAAGCCACTTATTTAAGCACTGGTATATTTCTAGAACTCTGTTTCCTCATGTACTCCTGTTCCATGTACTGTGCTGAACGACTAAATCCTGGTATTTCATTTATACCAATATATATGTAGAAGGAGTTGAAAGTAAAAATACTCTGTAATAGTCATTACCTCCTATTAATGGCAATTTAAAGGTAGCTTAGAAAAAAATTACTAAAATTAGATATGTAAATATTCCCTTTCTAAAAATCCTGTCACATCAGACATACCTGTTTAAGTTACTGTTTCATCATCAAGTTAAATAAAAGAACAGAATTTACTTAGCCTGATATATTAAAGACTGAATTGTGATAAAAGAAGATCTAGACTTTATTCTTTGCCCCTAGTAGTCAGAATGAAAAGGGAGAAAGAAACCATAGTCGGGATTCCCTGCAGCATGCCAGCCCTAAGTTTAGGTGTTTCGATATGAGATGGACCAAGCTCTCTGCTCTGAGCTGAATTGTTCCTAAATGGTTCAGTGTGGCCCTGGTCATCTTTTCCAAGAAAGAACTGAAAAATTCTGGTGCTAAATTGTGGCCTTGAATCTCCAAAAATCTGATCGGGATCTGAGTTTGTTTAGAAGGTATAAGATGACTCTAGAAGACCTGCATCACAAAGTGGGTTGGACCCATGACAACCCAGAGCAAGACCGAAACTCTAGAAACCACTCCAACTCCAAATCATGATGCTTGCAGAGGTCTCGAACCCTGAGGAGGGAGGGCAAAACTGATTCACATCACTACACGCTCATGTAACTCAGTTACACTTTGGCATCTCTGTCTCCTCAGCATCAGTGCACTTTGAGAGAGGGATTGTCCTAATGCTAATGGCAGGTCAGCTCTGATCTGAACCAAGAAATAACAACACATTCCACTTTAGAATTTGATGACTTTGAAAGGCAAGGGGAGACAATTAGCTCTCACTTAGGCAGAGTTTTGTTTATTTCACTTAGCTTAAGCCAAATCTAATGGTTTTTGGAACTTGGGAAGAGCCACTACTTGAGACAGTTATAGAGAGAGATGCATTCCTCTCTATAAATGAGTATTTCATTCATGTCGACTTGCAATGCCTGCTCTTACTTGCTCTGTTACAACCTGAATATTTGATGCCTCTCTTCTGCCTTCATCAAACACTCACTCCACTGGCTTTCCTCTCAATCACCTAACAGCACTATAATTGATTTTTAAATTTACAAGTCGTTTTGATGACCTAAAATACACACTATGGAAAGAAGTATTATTTTAGCAATTCACAAAAGCTACATTTTAATTTATACATGGGCCAAGGCCATGTATTAGGCATTACTTATTTCAGAAAATTACTTTTTTTTTCCTGGCAGCTTTTGTGTTACTATACAAAAAGAAATTAAGTATATTCTCTTGAATGATATATTTTTATTTCTTATGAAATGTATGTATTATTTAAGGTCAATTTTAGTGGTTTAATTCTGTGATCCATGTATTTCACGGCACATGATAAATCCTAATAAGGTTAGGGATTAGTATCATCTTAGATACCCATTTAGTGGCCCCTCTGACCTCTTTACACACATCTGGCTCTTATTTCTGATTCTCAATGGCGGTGGTGGGTGCTAGGGGTGATGCTATATATTAATTAACTCTGAGTAACTGTCAAGAAAAATGATAATACACAAATGGGACAAATTTGCGTTTCATAGAATGCAATGAAGATTGGTACACATGGGAGAATGTAGAGGAATGAGTAAGTATAAAAGAGAGAGGAGGCCGGGCGCGGTGGCTCACGCCTGTAATCCCAGCACTTTGGGAGGCCGAGGCGGGTGGATCACGAGGCCAGGAGATCGAGACCATCCTGGCTAACACAGTGAAACCCCGTCTCTACTAAAAATACAAAAAATTAGCCGGGTGTGGTGGTGGGCGCCTGTAGTCCCAGCTACTCGGGAGGCTGAGGAAGGAGAATGGCGTGAACCTGGGAGGCGGAGCTTGCGGTGAGCCGAGATCACGCCACTGCACTCCAGCCTGGGTGACAGAGCGAGACTCCGTCTCAGAAAAAAAAAAAAAAAAGGAACAAGAGAGACAGAAAGACAACAGGGCATATGACACCTCACCATTTTGGTGCCCTCCTCCAGATCTTATCCAAGTTATCAGTGCCCATCTAAAAACAGTGGGCCAGAACCAAACACCAGTAATTCTAAACCAGTCTTACCAATACTGAATGCTGATAGATCAGTTCCTGGCTTAATCTGGATATTATGTTTCTATTAATGCAACCTGGGATTACAAAGCTATCTAGAAACCAGGTCCTGTCTTTAAAACCTCCAACAGATGGAAGAAGCAACAGCATTCCAGTTTACATAGAGGAAAACTGGGTGTGCAGGGGTGAAGTGAGTTGGTCACTAGGGACATCCTCATAAGATACCCTTATGATTATGGTGCTGATCTTGCCGCCCTGAAACCACACAGCCATCATTTCTCTCTTGTCTCTTATCTCTTGCTTTTGGATTGGCTGTGTACACTAGGGATAGGGAGCTTTGGGCTTGTCAGTTGAACCTGGTCTTTTGGGTTAATAATTTTGCCCCTGAGATTATGTGCAACTAGATGCCAGTGCCCTACCCCAGAGAACAGTTCTCTTGAAGTGGAACTCACTGCTTTTAGTTATCAAACAACATTTTTACTAGAGTTAATTGGCAATACTCATCTCAGTCCTAAGAGTGTGCCTGATAGATCATGATAAATAAAATGTTTAACAATTCAACAGCAGCACAAGCAAACCTTTGAAGACATAGTGGAGACTTTTTCAGCTCTTACAGAGCTTCTCAGTGTGTCCACATTGTGAAGTGTTCAGAGAACAAGCCAAAAAGCCCTAGAGTTTTGAAAACCCAATGTTAACTTTTTATGTTTTTAAAAATAAATGTCCTCATGTTCCCCGCAGGATGAAAGGTATGATAACCAAAACACTGTGGGCTGCATGTTGTGGTGTACTACTCTCTGACCTGTAAAAATAAATTTTTCTGGTGTGAGTAGGCGTTCCGATAAAAGAAGAGCAAGCCTAATTGTAAACTAGAGACTTTATTCTCTTGACTACCTATTATGGTGATGAGGGAGCTGGACACCCACTCCAAGAGGAAACACTTTCAGATGTTCACATCTTTCCATGACATGCCAGTCTGGAAAACTAAGGAAGGTGAAGAGTCAGATTCCTGTCTTCTACAAATTTCTTCTGTGTGTGTTTTTTGTGTTTGTTTGTTTTGTTTTGTTTTTTGAGCCACAGTCTCGCTCTGTCGCCCAGGCTGGAGTGCAGTGGCCCGATCTCAGCTCACTGCAAGCTCTGCCTCCCGGGTTCACGCCATTCTCCTGCCTCAGCCTCCCGAGTAGCTGGGACTACAGGCACCCGCCGCCACACTCGGCTAATTTTTTGCTTTTTAGTAGAGACGGGGTTTCACCGTGTTAGCCAGGATGGTCTCAATCTCCTGACCTCGTGATCCACCTGCCTCGGCCTCCCAAAGTGCTGAGATTACAGGCGTGAGCCACCGCGCCCGGCCTCTTCTGTGTTTTCAATGAAGTTATAGTGAACTACAATGGCTGCAAAGAAATATTAAGTGGGGAAACAAAATCATCCTGTTATCAGTGTTAAAGGCTTTTTCAAATAATAAGGACTTTCCTTTATTTCTCTATTTGAGCACATTAAAATGCTACTAACTGGAATCCTTCATAGCAGGAATTTTGGATTAAGAGACAAATCACATGGGGAAAAAAGCCTGATAACTTTATTTTTAAACTAACCACTGAAAGGTTAAGTGAGAATCGTGACACTGGGATTGGAATGCAGACGTCTAATCAGGGAGATCTTCCATCTAGGTGAACTTTCCATTACCCAGGCCTCCTGTCTCTCCCCCTGCTCATCGACTCCAACCACACCGGCCACCGTGCTGGGCCAGGAGTACACCCAGCAAGCTCCCATCTCAGGGTCATTGCCCTGGCTGTTATCTCTGCCTGCAACAAATGCTCTTCCTCCAGGCAGCCCTGGCTCACTTCCTCACCTTCTTCAACATTTTGCCCCAGAGATGCCTCCTCAGTAAGGCCATTACTGAACCCTCTTCCTAAAACTACACGCCCCTGCCCTCCCCATTCCCTTTGCCCTCCTCTATCTATGAGTGACCTTAAACATACCTCAAGATTGACTTATATATAATACTCATGGTCTGTCGCCCCCGAGTAGAATGTGAGTCCCAAGGACAGAGATTGCTGCCTGTTTTGATATCTAATGTTATGGTATCTCACACTTGCCAAGTGTCCTATACACGTAGAACTATATCTTATACATTTCAAGGCCTTTTTCTATTTTTTATTTACTCAGTGTGTTAACAGTAGTGAGGGCATATGGGTCGCAGCAACTCGATTTTTGCCTCAGGAGGAAAGAATTCGGCTGAGGGGCATAAGGCAGAGGGAGAGACTGAGGCAGTTTTAGAGCAGGAGTGAAAGTTTATTAAAAAGTTATAAAGCAGGAACAAAAGGAAGTCAAGCACACTTGGAAGAGGGCCAAATGGGTGACTTGAGAGATCCAAGCATGCTGTTCGGCCCTTGACTTGGGGTTTTATACATTGACATAGTTCCAGGGTTTCTGTTTCTCCTCCCTTGATTTTTCCCTTGGGGCAGGCTGTCTGCTTGCACAGTGTGGCCTGCCACATGCAAGGTGGGCCACATGCAAGGTGGTTACTGAAGTTGTGCGCATGCTCATCTGAGGCACTTTTCCCTTATCAGTCATGTGTTCCAAAAAGAGGGTCATATACCAGTTAAACTCTGCCATTTTGCCTCTTAGTGCACATGCTTAAGCCTGCTCACCCAGCTCCCAAGATCTTATTGGGAAGGTGCTGATCATCACTTTCAGGTGTTTTCTATCTATTGAGACACAGCCTTTCCCTGGCACCAGCTGCAACCAATTATTATTTTAAAGAGACAGTTTAACAACCAGCTGACTACCACCTAATGGCTGCCTGACATTCCTGGGGTCGGGGACTCTCCTGTCCAGCTCATGTCTGCCTAGCTACCTACTCTAACAAGTATATTCTTCGAAAGATATTTTGAAAATGATCCCATACCATGTTTTGAATGTGGTAAATCTCATTTAGTCTTCAAAACAACACTGTAAGGTAGGCACTGTCCCCATTCTACAGATGACAAAACGTATTCAAAATTAAGCAAATAGCTCAAGATCACACAGCTTTTAAGGGAAAGTTAAAAAATTAAACTATTTTCTGGCCAGGCACAGTGGCTCATGCCTGTAATCCCAGCACTTTGGGAGGCTGAGGTGGGCAGATTGCGAGATCAGGAGATTAAGACCATCCTGGCTAACATGGTGAAACCCTGTCTCAACTAAAAATACAAAAAATTAGCTGGGCCTGGTGGCACACGCCTGTGATCCCAGCTACTCATGAGGCTGAGGCAGTAGAATCACTTGAACCCGGGAGGTGGAGGTTGCAGTGAGCTGAGATCGTGCCACTGTACTCCAGCCTGGGCAACAGAGTGAGACTCCATCTCAAACAAACAAACAAACAAAACAACAAAAAAGAACAATTAAACTGTTTTCTGATTTCAAGCCAGGGATCATTCTACTGACCCTACATAATGGAGATCTATAATGGCCCTCTATTTCCGACTCTATTCCCCCGGAAGGAAAACCCCATTGGCATGGCCCTGGCCTATCACCACCATATTTGCAGTATCTAGGATCATGTCTGATATGTAGTAGGTGTTCATAAATATTTGTTGAATGAACGAATGGCTAGTGTCAAGGATACAATCTCTGTCAGTCTCTGAAAGACTTCATCTTCCTCCTGTTTTCTTCCCCTCCTCTCTGAACAACTCAATGTGAAGCCCTTTGGGTGGGGCAGACTAAGGCAGGCTTCTGCAGCTGGGGGTGTGAGAGCCCACGCAGGGGCCTGGAGCGGATTGTTCAAGCTCAGGTTGGGCGAGGATGGGGGTGCTGCTGTGCAGAGTATGGAGCCCTAGTGGACTGGGGAGAGTGTTCACACAGAAAGGCAGCCTACAGTGGGCATCAGAGTCCAAAGCAGATAAGAAGGTTATTCACACAGGGGGTGTGACATGGTGTGGGGCACTGGAACCCAAACAGGGAGGGAGTGGGTGCCCTGGTATTGGGTTGTGGGGCCTGAACAGATTGAAGCAGAGGAGGGTGTCCATTCACAGGAGCAGCCTTGCATGGACAATCAGAGCCCAGGGGCCTGGGGAGGCTGTCCACATGGGGTGAACTGCTCTAGGGAGGCAGAGCCTGACTGAGAGGATGGGGCATCCTTGCAAGGGGATGGCCCAGTGATGGGGTTTAGGAACCTGAGCAGGGTGAGATGGGCATGCACTTGTGGGATGGCCTAGCATGAGCTGTCAGGACCCAAGCAGGGTGAGCATGGCCTCCACGTGGGGTGAGCTGGGGACTCAGATTGGGGACTGACAGCTTGAGCAGGAAGAGGGAGGTGTAGGGAGAGGAAGATGTTGGAGATGGGAGATTGGCTACATACAGAAGGATTTATCAAATAAACAAATATATTAAAAATAACAAAAAACAGTTTAGTCACTGTTACAGAAAAATGAAGGGGAAAAAACTGGAATGGATGCTGTGGTGTTGGATTGGAATTGGGATATTGTGTTAGCTCATATTTTTCAATATATAGAGATAAATATGGAAATAAATTCATATGTAAATGTGTGTGTGTGTGTGTGTGTGTGTGTGTATCCTCTAGCTCTCTCCACTGAGAATAGCTGGGATTAGCAACCTCTTCCCCATCCAATAGCAATGAGCACACCTAGCTCATAGGTCTTGTTTTCTAAATACCATTTTCCCCTGAAAGGAACCAGGGCTCCTCTGAGAAATGGCTGACTTCAAAACTGGGGCAGGGAAAGTATAAAGCAAGCCTGGAACATCTTAATTATAAGGAAGTGCTTGAGGAATGAGAGAGCCACCTCACAAGAACACAGAAGCCGGTTTGAAAGGGGATTCCCACTGACCAAACTGGGGACAATTTGAGCATCAACATATATAATGATAATAATAGATTATGATCCCTTGAAAAAAATAGGAAACAGTGATTCCACACAGATAAAAACAAATTTAAAAATGAAAGTTTAATGAGAAACAAGCGACTTACAAAGTTTCAAAGTACCTGACCATAAAATAACCAAAGGGAAAGAATCACTTTACAGTAAGAAATCCTGACAGACCCTAATGTAATCGGGAGACCAAAGTAAACTATCATCAGTGACAGAACCAATTAAATTCTAAGCCAGAAGACAAACTGCACTAAGAATACAGTGTCACTTCTGGGATATTTCTTCTTATCGAAGAAGTACCTGAAAGAAGTAGCCTAACCCTAATCATGGAGAAATACCAGACAAACCCAAATTGAAGGATTTCTACAAAATGACTGGTTTGTAATCTTCAGAAGAGTCAAAGTCATGAAAGTCAAGACAGTCTGAACTATTCCAGACTGAAGAAAACTAATGGGACAGGACAATCAACTACAACAGGGGAATCAGAACTAGATTCTGTTGCTATAAAGAGCATTATTGCGACAACTGGCAACACTTAATAGGTCTTGAGGAATAGATGTTAGTAATGCATCAGTGTAAACTACCCGATTGTGGTTATTAAATTGTGGTTCTATAGGAAAATGTCCTTGGAAACACACAATGAGGTACTGAGGAATGATGATGCACCATGTCCACAACCTAATCTCAAATAATTCAGGGGGAAAAAGTTATGTGTACTGTGCTCCTAATGTTTCTGTGAGTTTATGATTGTTTTGATACTCAAAACAATTAAAAAATAAAACAGTAGGCATACTCCCTTCAAAAGAAAGCAAACCAAAAAAGGTCCATACTGTTTGCACATAAAGATACATTAACAATGTAAACTAAAATCAATCTAATTTCTATCACTCTAATTTTTCCTCATATATTTTGTTTTTGAGTTGTGAATGAAGATGCATATATGAAACGAATATCAAAACTAAATGCCAGTGATAGCTATCTTACTGGTTGGAGAATTAGGTGGTCCACAAAACTGCTATCTATCTATCTATCTATCTATCTATCTATCTATCTATCTATCTATCTAGAGACAAAGTCTCACTCTGTTGCCCAGGCTGGAGTGCAGTGGTGCAATCTCGGCTCACTGCAACCTCCGCCTCCTGGGTTCAAGTGATTCTCTTGCCTCAGCTTCCCGAGTAGCTGGGACTACAGGTGCGCACCACCACGCCCAGCTAATTTTTGTATTTTTAGTAGAGACGGGGTTTCACAGTGTTGGCCAGGATGGTCTCAATCTCTTGACCTCTTGATCTGCCCACCTCAGCCTCCCAAAGTGCTGGGATTACAATCATGAGCCACTGTGCCCAGCCAAAGCTGCTCTTTATAAGAGTGGTTGTCTTACCAACTTGTTTACCAACAAGTCAGGCTAAGCATTTATATGACATGAAAGGAATTTATATATTTATCACTCTGTTCCCATTAGAGAGAAATAAACCAAATACATTGACAACTGTGAACTGTTATTTAAATTTACATGACTTATTTTGGAAAAATAATGCAGTTATTTCAGCATTAAGTTAATGATAATTTTAGCTATTATATGAAAAAATGATTCTGTGCAAAAGAAAACAGTAGTCTACCCACTAGAGGTCTAGCCCACATTGTGATTATTTGAATTTGTGGGCTTTTGCAGCTTCCTCAGAATAATGAGTTCATTCTTAACTACAGAATAGCTGCACTTCAACCTTCTTGTTACTCACTTCAACCTGCACAGATGCAACAAGGTTTTGAATCTCACAAATGGAGATTTATTATTCTTAAAGATGAATTTCCATAAGTCCTTTCGCATAATGAAATTTCCATTTAACTTTCCATGCATTTCCATAAGAGCAATAAGGAAATCTGTTTGCTCACTTCTCCTGTCAATCATAAATCTATGCTCAAAAGCATGGAAGGATTGTGTTTACTCTGCAGACTGTGCACCAGGATACCCAGGGGAGGGAGCAGATTGTCAGGAAATTAGTCACAAGTACTGCCTCATCTACTTAGTACTAATCTCCTCCCCAGCCCATCCTCCACCCTGGTGTAGGGGTATTGTCCTTGGAAACAGAATAGCACAGTGCTTGGTATAAAATTTGAACTTTGAAGTTGGACAGACCTCATTTCAAATCCTAACTCTGCCACTGTTGTGTAACCTTGAATAAGTTACTTAGACTTTCTAAGCCTGTTTTTTCACCTTCATCATGAGGGTAGTAGCTGCCCACCTCATAGGATTTCGGCAAAAAGTCAAATGATAAAATCATACCAAAAAAATCACATGAGGCATATGAAATACTTAAAACAATGTCTGGTACATGGTATGATCTTTAAAAATGCCGGTTATTATTATCATTATTGATATTTTAAAATGAGAATCTGATCATGTTTTTAGGATCCCATACTTATAGTGTACTGATTTCCAATCCTCTGCTACCCAAACCTTTCTCATCATGTGG